>NC_000008.11:24708587-25011617 GCF_000001405.40 Homo sapiens | reverse complement strand
TTATTACATATTGCATGCCTGTATCAAAACATCTCATGTATCTCACAAATATATATACCTATTATGTACCACAAAAGTTAAAAACTAAAAAATTAAAAATCAATCCAATACACAGTTTCTTTCCATGAAGTACTAACATGCTAGTTGGGGAGATAAGATTTCTGCAGAACCTCTCTTTCAGGAAGGCTTCATAAAGCTGATGGGTTCTTAGCTGTCTGAGAATATACAAATGTTGGGAAAGTATAGGAGTGGTCTCCATGGTGTCTCAAGGTCCCTACTAAACTTTGGAGACCCTGAGACCTGTTTGATGTTATCATCAGTACCTGTAGCATTGGCTTCATCCTGAGACTTGATCACCTATCTGGCTCACTGAACTCCAGGGGGCTCTAAAAGTTTTTCCCATCCTAAGGCAAACAAACTCCTTCATTGATCCCAAGTGCAAAACCTAAAATGACTGTATAACTCTTTCTACCCTGACCCCACCCCTTTTTCTTTTGAGGACAAGAAGGCTTCAAAATTAAGCCAATCTGCTATTTGTAGATTTGGAGAATGTTCTCCCCTTTCAGATTTTCAGGTTTCAAGTTGCATCCAAAAGAGAAGAGACTCAGTCCTCCTCTCCACTGACAGAATACGACCTCAACATGGGTAGGAAAGTTCACAGACAGAAATAAGCTTTTGGGAAGAATGGAGCCAATGAGGTTTCATAACAGAAGGAGCACAGGATGGAGGAAGAAAGCTAAAGTTTTGCTGATTCACAAATGGGTCCAAGTTCAGGTGAAGACACATTCCCATGTGGGCAGATTGTCCAGTCTTTGCTCCCTTGGTGTCATTTTACCCCCAGTAACAAACTTTAATTATAACAGACCCATAACTCGGCAATTAAGAATAATTTATGTCCCTTTCCTAAGGGAGAATTAATCGCATATGCCAGACAGGATCCCTTTATCATTTTGTTAACTAGATAAGAAGCAGAGAGCTCCTTTTATTCGAGCCACCCTAAATATTGCAGTCTTTGCCATATAGCTCTAGGCAGTAGTTATCTTTCATTTTGTACCAAATACATTCTGAGTTCTCAATCTCTCATTTCAAAACAAATGAAAAACAGAAAGAAACTTAAAAGTAACAGGAACAAACTGTGCTTTCCTCGGCTGTAATCAAATTATTCCTTTTGTCCTGGCATTAGACAGTAGCTGGCAATAAAGAAAACCCCAGGAGCACAATATTCCCGTGATTGCGTCAGCATGGAAGATTAAACTTCCATAGCATTCAGGATGTCTCAGCTTTGCCCCTCAAACAAGAGGCTCTTACTGTCATCTCCACCATTTCATAGTGAAATATGTTTCTGCAGTGTTAGGGAGAATTTATGAGTAGCTCAAAGCTTCCTGTCTGAAGATACTTTCTCCCAGAAGCAAAGGAAAGGCAAGAAAAAAAAAAAATCCAACGCTGAAAATCAAAATAGATCTTTGTTTAGTTTTATTTAAGAAAATTTTATACCTTTGCAAAGCCCATATTGCCTGTGTAGGTTTCTAAACTAGAACAAACAGAACCCTTCAAAAAATTCCTAGTGAAGCAAAACTTTCATAGAATCACAATTTATTCTCTCAGAAGAGATGAGTCATTGTAATTTGGGTATCATGATTCACTCCTGCGCATAACCAGAACACTGGAACAATATTAATTACTCCAGCCTCATTTTCACTACAAAAGTCACTTCCAACTCCATCAGTTTTCAGTCCAAAAGAACATACCAAGTTTGGTAAAGAAACTTGAAGATCATTTTCTCTCTGCTTTGATCTAATTTTTTTAAAAAAAGACTTTAAGTTTTCAGATGATAGATTATATTCTTGAAAGCTGGAACGCAGATGCAGCATCTCACAATTCTACCAGGAACAGAAGAAATCTGGAATTGGAATGGAAGATGAGGTTGCTGTGAGCAGAGAGGGAGATGGGGTTTGTATTAAATTAGCTTCCTAGGCCCACTGTGGTGGCTACACTTGTAACCTTAGCACTTTGGGAAGCCCAGGAGGAAGGATCACTTGAGGCCAAGAGTTTGAAACCAGCCTCGGCAACATAGTGAGAGCCTGTCTCTACAAAAATTTTGAAAAACAAAAAAAGTGGCCTGGTGCGGTGGCTCACACCTGTAATCCCAGCACTTTGGGAGACCGAGGCTGGCAGATCACGAGGTCAGGCATTCAAGACCAGTCTGGCCAACTTGGTGAAACCCCATCTCTACTAAAAATACAAGAAAAATTAGCCAGGAGTGGTGGCAGGCACCTGTAATCCCAGCTACTCGGGAGGCTCCAGCCTGGGTGACAGAGCGAGACTCCATCTCGAAAAAAAAAAAAAAAAGGAGAAAAAGAAAAAGTTTCATAGGCAGACCAATGACTGTGGAGCATCACAGTCTAGGAGTGCAAGGTGAAAACCTTTTTATTTCCACACAGAGGTCAAATATTATTTATATATGCATACCAGGAAATTACTATAGCTGACGTTTCACAAATCAGGGCACCTGGTTCCCTATGACAGACCCCAAGTGTTCCCTGATTCAAGAATTTATGAGACAGTGGGCTCCCAAAGAGGCAGTCAGTCACCTACTCAGTGTATAGCAGTGCCAAAAGACCTCTCTATCCCCAGTGTGCCCCACCCTGCTGACCTTGAGACCCTCCCCATAACGTTGAAATTATCCACTTTTAAATTACTTATAGGTAATTAGAAAAAAAAAAAGGTAACCCAAGGTGATGGTGTATTTCTGTAAGACCCATGATAAAGCTGTTGATAATTTTCTGGCCTCTACGGTACTGTCTTTTTTTTTTTTTTTTTCTGACTTCTTAGGTTGCTAAAGACTCCTTGAGAACTTTATGCAATCGGTTGCTCTTTCCAGAAAAATATACAAATACATGGATGTTAGTGTGTAAATTCAGATGGATCACAAATCTCCTGAAGTCCACCCATGAAAACTACCCGTCTCTTTGCCCCTCAATTCTGAATATCTTCCCAACAGCTCACTCTCACCTCCTGTACAAGTCTCACCTCCTCCATGATGTCTTCCATGGTTTCCCTCATCTGAACACTTACAGTTCATCTGAGCACCATCTTCACTGCTCTTTTGCGCTATTGCAGAAAGTGAGTTTTCTTTTCATTCACTGGTGTCTTGACTTCCTGAATAATGATACGCTCCTCGAAAGCACGCATGTTGTGTTCTTGAACTTTATATCTCCATAGCACTGGGGAGGAAAGAAGGAATTCTGCTACGCCTAATACCCAACACACACTTTCCCTTTTCCAGTGTACATTTCTTTCCTTTTCTTTTTTCTTTTTCTTTTTTTTTGAGAAGCAGTCTCGTTCTGTCACCCAGGCTGGAGTGCAGTGGTGCGATCTCAGCTCACTGCAACCTCCGCCTCCCGGGTTCAAGGGATCCTCCTGCCTCAGCCTCCCAAGTAGCTGGGACTGCAGGCGCCCGCCACCATGCCCGGCTAATTTTTTGTATTTTTAGTAGAGACGGGGTTTCACCGTGTTAGCCAGGCTGGTCTTGATCTCCTGACCTCGTGATCCGCCCGCCTTGGCCTTCCAAAGTGCTGGGATTACAGGCATGAGTCACCACGCCCGGCCTCCAAAGTACATTTCTAATAAATTCAACAGTTTCATAAACAACATATTTATTGCAACAATATCACAACATTTTGCAACAGCTTCAGAAATAGTGATTATTTATTGTGACAGTGTTGCAACATTTGTGACAGCTTCAGAAATAGTGGCATTTATTGCAACAAAGTGCAACATTTTAGAAAGTTGCAGCTGATACATGTTTCCTCCTCCCACTCTAAACAGAGACTTCCAACACAGAGGGAACTTGGAGAGTGCTGGGGGGTACTCAGCAGAATGGAAGCCTAACCGTTTCCAGGGAAACAATCAGTAAAGACATTTCCCTGGAAAGCCTGCGTTGCTAACTGCAGTGCCACCCCTGAGGGCTCCATTCATGATTTAAACACTGGATATGAAAAATAATCAGAGATTTAACCAAGGACACTACCAGTTTAAGCCCTTGTAGAGACACTCCTAATTGGAGCAGTTTCGGTGTGATCCCTCTTTTCTCCTTCACACAGGCCCCAGTGGCTTTAACCTACATTTCTGTAAAATTTGGAGCTTCTACCACACACGCATCAGGGGTCATCTCCCTCAAGCTTTCCTGAGAATGAATTTAAAGTCTGATGATTCTTTCAGTTACTTGCCTCCTTGTCATCCATTAGCAGTAAACTTTCACTTTTTCTTCTTTTCCCCTCATCCTAGGATCATGTTACAATTTAGTGGTTACGAGCTTTGGTATCAGACTGACATGATTTTTAACATTACCAGCTGTGTGACCAGGAGAATATGACCTAACCTCTGAAAACCTCAGTTTCCTCATGTGTCAAATGGGAATAATTGTACCAGTTTAAATTTGTTGTAGAGATTAAAAAATGAAACCAGGGCCAGGCGCGGTGGCTCATGCCTGTAATCCCAGCACTTTGGGAGGCCAAGTTGGATGGATCACGAGGTCAGGAATTCGAGACCAGTCTGGCCAACATGGTGAAACCCCGTCTCTACTAAAAATACAAAAATTAGCCAGGCATGGTGTTGGGCACCTGTGATCCCAGCTACTCAGGAAGGAGGCTGAGGCAGGAGAATCACTTGAACCCGGGCGGCAGAGGTTGCAGTGAGCCTACACTCCAGCCTGGGCAACAGAGCAAGATTCTGTCTCAAAAACAAAAACAAAATCAAAAACAAAACAAAACAAAAAAACAAGAAACAATGTGCACAAAGTCTACATTAAAATAAAATCGTGTATACTGCAATGTCTAGCACATAGTAAGTGCTTAAGGAATGAATAGTCCATCACAGTTTCTAGATCCTTTGCTAGGTTATACTGAGATGACTCTAGAAGCCATCAGATTGTGCTAAAATTTCTCTGTCTTGAGTAGATATGAAACTGACTTGGACTGGGACCAAAGGACTCAAGCAATATCCTACCAGGACCTGCTTCCAAATTCTTCAACTATGGACCATAGCTGTAGGAAATAGTAATTTCTACCACAGTGTTGATGTGTACATTAAATCAGCTTTTAGATAGATAGTGTCTAGCCTGCTACCTATCACGCAGGAAGTACTCAGTACAGGCTAGCGTCCCATCTGCAGCAGTTGTACCAGCCAGGGCATAAGAACAATTACCTTCAGGGAGGCTTCTCTAAGAATGTCTGGACCTGGGTTCTCTTTTATATTTGTCCATTTATTTACCATTTCCAGCTTCTTTGTTCCTCCTATAGATCTTCCATCTGGTACCATTTTACCTTAGTCCTTGGATCTTCACCATTTCTTATAGTGCAGGTCTGCTAGTAACAAATTGTCTCAGATTTCATCTATCAGAACATGTCTTTATTGATCTCTTTTTTCCCCCAAGGATCTTTTCATTGGACACATAATTATGACTTTACTTTTTTTTTCAGCATTGAAAAGATGTCTTTCTTTCTTCTTTCTTTTCCTCCCTCCTTCCCTCCTGCCCTCCCTCCCTCCCTCCCTTCCTTCCTTCTTTTGTTTTTGACAAAGTGTCTTACTCTGCTGCCCTGGCTGAAGTGCAGTGGCTTGATCATAGCTCACTGCAGCCTCAACCTTCTAGGCTCAAGTGACCCTCTTGCCTCAGCCTCCCAACTAGCTGGGACTCCAGGCACATGCCACTGGGTCCAACTTGAAAAGATGTCTTTCTGTTGTCTTCCGGACACTTTCTCATAAGAAATCAGTGATCATTGTTATCCTTGGTTCGACGTATGCAGTGTGTCTTCTCTGGCTGCTATAAGACTTTTTTTTTCATCTTCGATTTTTCCGCAATTTGGCTGTAATATGCCTACGAGTAGTTTAAAAAATGTTTATCCTGTTTTGTATTTGTCAAACTTCTTGGATCTGTAATATAATCAGTTTTGGGATTTTTTTTCAAAATTGCCTAATCTGACTCTCTTTTCTTTCTGAAGTTTCTAATTATAATTATGTATGTTAGACTATTTGTGTTGTTCCACGGTTCCTTGAGTTTGCATTTATTTTTTTTCAGTCTCTTTTCTCTTGTTTCTTCAGGTTGAATAGTTTCAGCTAATCCATCTTCAAGTTCACTGATTCTTTTTTCTTGCCATCTCTAATAAGCTGTTAGATTTTTCATTTTAGTTAATGTACTTTTCAGTTCCAGAATTTTGAGATAGTTATTTTCATTACAGTTTTCATTTCTCTGCTAAGATTTCCTATTTCTTCATTTTCAGACCTTGCTTTTTCTTACATTAAATTTTTTTTTTTAATTTTAAGTAATGGGGTCTCACTATGTTTCCCAGGCTGGTCTTGAACTCCTGGGCTCAAAAGATCTTTCTGTCTCAGCCTCTTGGCTAGCTAGGATGCACTGGCATGCACAACTGTACCAGCTTCTTTCATTCTTTGAACACATTTTTATTCAATTTTTTGATATATTTATCAAAGCTGATATAAAATATTTTTCTGCTCAGTTCAATCTCTGAGCCATCAGGTTGGTTATTATTGACTGCTATCTTTCTTGACTACAGAGCATATTTTCTTACTTTCTTGTTTGTCTAGTGATTTTTTTAATTGAATACTAGATTTTGAATAGTATGTTGAAGAAATTCTAAATTCTGTTATCTTCCTCTGAAGAGTGCTAATTATTGTTTAGCAAGCAGTTCAATTACTGGCTGATCACCTTAATCAAGTCATTTCCCAAGTTCCTCTACCTTGATGGGACTTGGCCTTCAAATTCTGTACTCCCCACCCCCCAATTATTTGTCAAGGCTCCGTTTTAGGCTGTGTTACTGCAATTCTGGAATAGGTCTTACTCTAGAACGAGCATGTTTTGACCCTCAGACCAATCCTGCCTACTCTCTATTTTTGAAAATATTGGAAATGAGTCTTGGAACACAGACATGCTATTAATTTGAGTATTTTTTTATGACTGATTTTCTGTTACAACAGCAGAGTTGAGTAGCTGCAGTACAGACCATATAGTCTGCACAGTGAAAATTATTGAACATATTGCCCTTTACAAAAAGGTTTGCTCATCCCCGCTGTAGAGGTTAGCCCTTATTGCTAAACAAAAGCAGTTCTGGTGTCTTAGCTGGATTTCAGGAGTGTTAATAAAGTGTTTTTGAAATCTCTATTCTTTCCAGGTCAGAATTCCAAAGTCTTTGGGCACAACTCTTCCCCCAGCATTGCTAGTATCTTTTCCCCCACAAATATTTGCTAACCTGTGAGTCCCAGGTGGTCTCCTGCTCATCTACAGCCCAGTCCGCAGTCATGACCTCACAAGGGGTCCTCATATGGGATTAGGGTAGTATTCTCTATAAAGCTACCTCCTTGTTGATGCTCCACCCTGCAGATTCAACTATTTCAGCTTTGCTAAACTCTGTTCTCTCTCTGTTCGGCCCAACTCTTGAGCCCTGCTTGGACCTCAGCTCTCTGTGCTACAGTTAGAAAAATCTCTTCCAGCAGAGAGCTGGATGATTTGGGGGTTCACCTTGTAAGTTTTTCTCTCTCAGAAATAACCATCTCTGGCTGTCTGTTGTCCACTGCCAGCCTCAAATATTTTCTCCTGGCTTTCTAGTTGTTTAAAGCTAAAAAACTAGTCCAGTACCAGTTACTGCATCATGACTAGATGTACAAATCCTTAAAGTTCTTTTTAAAGCCTCATCTCCCTCTTGGCAGATGATATCTTTCAGAGTCTGTGGCTCAATTTCTCATTTCTCCTCCAACTCCCAGCTCAATGTGTCTTCTCTTCTTTAAAGAGGCCAGGTTCTCTTAGGAATTTGCTAGTAATTTTCTATTTTCTCTCCCAGGGACATCTGCAGTTCACAGCCCATTTGCAAAAGGAACCAACTAACAGCCCCTGAATGTAATGACTGATGCATCCCTTTCCAACTCTGGTAACTAGCTCTGCCCACTCCCTTTTGTTCCCTAGGATGACTCAGGAAAACGTCCACACACCCTTCATGCTTGTGAGGCTTTAGAATTATACTTCACAACCACAAATCTTGTTAACCTTAATATGCGTGCACATTTCTATCTGTGGAAGAAGAATGATTGATCACAGGCTCATGCACAAAATAATCAATAGATAACCCAGTCAATTCTCATCATGACCAAGGAAAGAAGGAAAATAAAGTTTCATTTATTCAGGAACAGTGATGTGCCAAGAATTCTGCTAAGCACTTTTACATACATAATATGGCTTAATTCTTACTGTGACTTTGGAAAGATGATATTATTAATCTTTGTCTTGAATAAATAAAAACCCCGAGGCTTTGAGAGATTAAATAATTTATACTAGCTCGCAGCAGTCCATGGTGAAGTCCTAAAGCTGGGTAGGTCTGTGTGACTTCAGAACTCTTTCCCAAACATCAAATGACCTCACCAAAAAGGATAAGCCCCGACATGCACAGTTTATAAGGCTACAAGTTTTGTGACTTACTCTTTTAAGTCTGTTCTTTGTTTAAACTGATTTTACTTGCATAAAAATGTTAGGATGGGAAATAGTACATGGTATGCTTTTTCCTAAACTGAAATCAGCCTGTCTGGATACAGGAGAAGAAGCCAAGAATGGAAATAGAAGTGTTGTTGGTTTAAGAAGCCAAATTTTCCTCTTCTTTGATCTTAGTATTTATAAGAACATCATCTATCATTGATTAAGCACCTCTGTCCACCCCTGTGCTAAGCATTGCAGATGCATCTAATTTAAGCCCCTCAGTGAAACTGTGAGGTGGGTGTTATTGCTATGCCCCATTTTTAGAATAAAACAATAAAGTTTGGAAGGTTAAGTAATTTCTAGTAGATGGTAAGCTGCAGAGTCAGGGTCTGACCCAGACTGTAAGATTTCTGTCTGTGCTTTCAAATTCTGTGCTATTCTCCTTTCTAACTGCAACTGCATCTACCCTAAAAAATTTTGATTTCCTAACCTTGGAATTCAAAATAATCCAAACAATCTTGGCTTCTTCAGCCTCCATGCCCATACTCTTTTATGAGATAGTAGAAGAGCCTTGAAAATAGGATTGGGTTCAAATCCAGATCTTAACACTGTAAAAATGAAGAAAATTATTCTTGTTTTGCCAGAGTTGTGAGAGTTAAAAGGGAAAGATGGTCAAATGTCCATTACTTACATGATTGCAGTACTAAGCATGCACCCCAGAGATACAAGTATGGCCTTCTATTTAATTTTATCTGATGGTAGCTGGCAGGGGCAAGTATCTCTGCTTTCAAATAAAATCTTCATGTGTGGTGGAAAAGTCCAAGCTATTCTCTCAAGAACAAAGATAAGGCAACCAACCACAGCTGACAGAGTAGCCTTCCCCTACCCAATTCTGTAAATAATACAGCCTGTCGAAGGGATATGCAAAAACCCATGGGAAAACTTTACAGTCCAGTGTCAAAGTCTGATAGGAAAAGCGGAAAAATAAGCTGTTTCCTAGAACCGAAAGAAAAGCTTTAAACAGCTAGAGAGTGAATCTTATTCCAAAGGGCTGTGAGGACAAGTGATTAATCTGGAGCCCTGTTCAATCGACATCAAAAACTGGTGCGCAGCCTCGGGAACCTTGAAGACCAATTAGATCGAAGTGAAAAAGTGGAGAAATTGGGCCAGAGCCGTGGAGATGTGTGGGCTACAGGCTCTCCCCGCTCCCCCAAAACACCAGCCTCCGTTCCAGAGTGGCCCACGCTCTCTTTCCTCCCGGCACCGATCCTTGCATTAAAGGGATCGGGCTAACCTGGAAGGGATGAGAGTTGAGAATACAATGAGAACGGCACAGATCACCTGTGGATCCCCAAAGACAGCCTTCACCCGTATTCCGCCCAGAAAGGGCAGAGTCACCCTGGTCCCCAAGCCTGGCGCGCGGGCGGCGGCGTCCTTAGTAACGAGGGACTCTAACACCCGCGACGAGCCACTTGGGAACTGGCTTCTCCACCTCCCCGACCCCGCGGAACCTCAGCAGTCAGTCCCTGTTCTGCCTTGGGAAGCTGCCTCGGGCAGCTGCCTCCGAAAGAGCAGAAACGCCACAAAGTTCCTTAAAAGCCAAAGCATTCATGGGGAAGAGGTTCAAGGAGGGCGTATGTGTGCGGAGGTGGTGGTGGTGTTGCGGCACTCGGTGTAGACCAGCAGAATTCCGGACTGGGTGACCGCAGCGTCTTGCACAAAACAGCACACATCTCCCCGGGTGTGGCTGGTGCCTGCGGTAGTAACTAGGGCCTGAACCCGCTCAGTGAAAGGATGAGGAAGGACAGGAGGGGGCCTGAAGAAGAGAAAAGAGAGGAACTGGGAAAGAGCAGAGATGGAGAAATCGCAGACATAGTTTTTTAAACGGGCATTGAAGATACTTTCGGCAAAACGCGGAAGGGGGCACTGGCCTTACATGGGGATGGGGACAGAAGCCCACGGAGTTAAAATACAAAAGCCAGAGCAACACGGCTGGCACCAGGAGCTCGGGAGCCCCGGGCCCGGAGAAGCCCTTTCCCCACTGGCATCACCATTTCCCAGATTTAAAACAGGGGTTGCTCCCGAGGAGCAAGGCTGAGCCCTCTTTTGAGTCCAGACCCTTTGAATGCGAAGAAGGTTATGTATTGTTTACTCCCAAAATGCGCCCATGCACGAATGCACAAGTGGGGCGCATTTTTAGGGGGTTCCTACCAAGCCCCAACTGGTCGCTCGCCGGGGCTCCCACCCTCTGCCTGCGGGAAGCCCTGGGGGTGCGGGAGCTGGGAAGAGGGCGCTGCGCCCGGGCTAACCCGCCAATCGCGTGGCTGGCTGGGGGCGGCCGTGGCTCAGGCGGGAGTGACTCAGCAGCCTCCTGCGGCGGGAACCGGGGAGGGGAGCCAGGCACCGCCCGAGCCTGAGCTCCCCGGCGCTGGGAGTTTTGGGATGTCATCCCCAGCCCCGATGTCTCCTTTAGCCTAGGAACATCCCTTTTTCTCTATGGCCTGACATACCGCCAGCTCTGGGTGCGGCTTCCCGGGTCATCCACACCACACCCCTGGGTTTGTGCAGGGTCAGGGGACCCTCGCCGACGCACCCCACCATGTCCCAGTCCTCAGCTCCGGATGACCGGTGGGCAGAAAGTTCAGTGGCCCTTACTGACCGCGGGACTGCCCTTCGCCCCTTTGCAGTGGCCGCTGGCTCGCTGTCCCTCCCTTCCTCCCTCCCTCCCTCCCCCTCTCAGCGCTTTTTTTTTTTTTCTCGATATTTGCAGCAATATTGAACTTCTGCAGGAGAGAATGAATGGTGCAGCGGCAGCTGCCGCGGAGCGCGCATAGCGGGAGAGTGTAGGTCTCCTGCCACGCGGGGAGGGAGGGTGAGTGTAAAACAGATGTCCCGCATTTAGTGTCCATCGAAGAGCGCAGCTATGATGACCCCGACTCTCAGAGCACAAGCTGTAGGCGATGCCCTGGGAGGCCAGTCCCGGCTCTGACACTTGCTTTCTCTGCTTGCGCGCCCTTCCCAAGCCACCAGCAGGGGCGCTGTGGAGCTGTACTGTACCCAGGAGGGGACTTGGCGGCTATTGCTGCGCTGCGTTCTACCAAAGAATGGAGGCTGCCGGGCGTGGCACGGAGCTTTCTTTGCACGCCTGCACCAGTTCAGGGAAGAGGGGACCAGAAAAGTTTTTCCAGAAGAAAGGCCCTGGAGACGTGTAGCTGTTTCTCGTTATTTAGTTGTCGGCTGAAAGTCTTATCAGTCAGCCAGATAATTAAAAATGTTATATATAAATAAGGGCCACTTGCTTCCTTCTAAATTATGCCACTTTCTAGCCCAGCTTGCTTAAATATTTACCCCCAGGGACCACCAAGGATTTATTTGAAGATATCTATCCAGATTCACATTCTCGCTAATTCTTCAACTTGTTTTATTTTTCTTAGGGTGGGGTACCAGGTTCCAAGATTCCCTCTTGTCTTCTAATGCTTTGAATTGCCCCCTTCATTCTATGCCCGGCCAAGAAAGGGTCATTCATTCATCCATTCATTCTCACATGCACCAGGAATTCCCTTTACAACCCATACTTTTAGGGTCTCTTTTAGAATAGAAGTTTGGATCTTTCCTTTTCTGACACCAACGTGGACAGTCTGTGGTTCTATCATTCTTTTTGTTCCTTTCCGCCTTGAATTAATTGTAGCCTCTTCTTTCCTGTGTCCCTAGGAAAAGGTTGCCTAATGACATAGCAGAACTATAAACTAAATAGGTGTCAGTGACAGTGCAGAGTCTCAGTGCTTAGGAGACTCTTAATGAGATATAACTTCAGCCTCTGGCGAACTCTGCCGATGAGATAATGTCTCTGGCAGGGGAGAAGAGGAATTTGGGCTGTAACCTGTTAATGGCCCAACCAACCTCAGGTCTCTCTGTGGACTTTCCCTGGCACAAGTCCGAGGCACGTCGGTGTCTTTCTCCTGCTGCAGTTCTGATTAACAGATGTGCTATTTGAGGAAAACACAGTCAAGCTGCAAATCGGACCCCACCAGAATATATACAGTGTCCGTGTCAGAAGCAGCCATGCATGTCATTTACCAATGCTACATCGTCATGACAAAGGTACTGTACACAGGAAGGACCCCTTGCTTCTATGACTCCTCTCATTAGCCTGAAATATGCCTGAAGACCCCACCTGTGGACTGGTTCAGCTGTCTCATTTCCCAAGTGGGAAACTGAGACCTGGAGATGCTAAGGGGCTTGTTCAAGCTTAGAATGCAAGGCTCCTAGTTCTCCGTGCTGTGCCTTCGCTTCTGTTCAATGCTTCTGTTTCCTATTATGGCCTGGGATACTCTCTTATTACCTACCTACACACACACACACACACACACACACACACACACACACACACACACACACCCCTACACCCCTTTGGGAGGATTGATGCCCTAATGCATTGATATTTCAGTGTGAATTCTTTTAGTATTACAGGTTAGTAAGTTAATCATCTGGAAATGCCTCGAGGAAGGAAAGAGTTGCATGGAGAAGTGGGTAGTGAAAAATATTGCCACAGTGCCATCTTTTGCGATCCACTTGGCACATGGGGGCAGTGTGGGGTAGCAGGTAGGCCGAGAGGCAGGAAGGCAAGAGGATGTGGGAGACAGCGTCCTGCCTAATGTGCAGTCTGGCTGGAAGACAGACACAGAGCAGTTCTTAGGGTAGGTCTGTGTGCCGCTCAGACAGCAGCTGAGATGTATTGCTCATAGAATATGCTGAGATGTATTGTTTATGACCCTTCAGTCATTTTGTCTCCCCTCTTGCCATTGCCCCGTGGAGTGGAGGAGTGGGGGCTCATTAAGCAGTAGGGAGCTTCACACTCAGGAAAACACCCCTAGCTTTCAATTTAAACTGTCCGAGTGTGTGACATTTTAATCCATCTAAAAGCTCTCTTCATAAATGAGCTGGCTGCAGGTCGTCACTTGTCAGTGTTAAGGAGGTGAGCTAAGCTAAGAGGCCTCCTTGTCAGAACAAATGCAATTGCTGCGCCTAGGAGATGTGGAAAGTGGGGGCTGTGCAAGGCAGCTGCAGTGGGCAGGCCAGGAAAATGGCATTTGGGTTTCGAGTCCTGAATTTTAATGCAGACTTTTTCCGCAGCAATTTGCCTAGTCCTCAGTGTGCTTTTATATTTTTGAAACGAGTCAGAGTTTTATAGGCAATAATGCTAAGCTTCTGTCAGCCATCCAGCTTTATGAAATCCAAAAGGGACTAGGAAAGGCATGTGCATAATTTAAGAAATATGGGTTCCCTGACCACTGCTTAGTTTTTCTTTTCTATTAAAATGATCAGCATAAAGCCACCATGCCAATAATTCATAGATGTTTAGCCATGCTCATCACTTCCTCCAGTCCCGTTGGGTCTTGTAATATCTTCCCTCTGGCTAAAACAACGTATTTGCTCCGGAAAGATATCTTAAATTTTACCCTAATTCTAATAATGCCTAATCATAATTCATTTCTATTGCCTAGGTAAGATTATGGGAGGAGGAAAACATATAAACCAAGTTTAATGTATAATACAGCCAGTAAGGTTGTTCAGATTTGCTTTTGGCTAGAGATGTGGTTAAATATAAAAGCCATTTGATGATTTTGTGTTTTTAAACATAGAATGAGGGGCTCAATGTACTCCATCGTGAAAGTTTCCAGAGAAAATGTTACGGGATAAAAATTATGTGACACCAGGGGTAGCACACAAAAGAGGAGGGAATATTCAAATAACAAAATTCTTTTTTCTATATACTTCCATTTTTTAGTAAAAATGCCAATTTCAAGAAACAAAAGATTTTAATGAAGGATTTTGTATACTCTAACCCTTAATTAAGAGGGAAAATAAAAAGCATTCAAATAAGGTAGAAGTAGGTTTTCTCTTTCCTATTAATTCTTATGCAGCAAATTGCCAATTTGGTTCCAATGCATCTAAAAAATTATACATTTTTATCAGGGCACTTCAGAGCAAGCTTGTGAAATTCTCAACATTTTTTATTTTTTGAATTCTCTGGCCTCTCTGATCCTGGTTCTTACTTCCCCACATCCTCTTCCTCTTACACAGCCAAACCTTTCCTTAAGAAAGGATCTGATATCCATCACTTAGACTTTAATGGGAACGTGCCTTGAAATAGGAACTCCACCGGGACAGTGACATTTTAAGACATATCTGAGTTTGAAATGAAAAAAGCTTGGAGTCTAGAATATAAAGCATTCTGAATCCTAAGAGGAAATGGAGAAGGTATTTGGGAAGCAGCAATTCTTTCCCGAACACGTTGGAAACAATCCCACTGAGGAGCACCTCATGGGAGGCCAGGCAAGTTCGGAAGGGGTGCTCATGTCTGATCACAAGTTCTTACATGGCCCATACACTCCTCCAGCTTGCACAGCTGAATTTGTGTGCTAAAAGCAGGAGCACCAGCATCAGACTGGGGTGAAAGAACCCCCACACTTATCAGTTACTAGTTGTGTGATTTGGGCAAGACTTTCTTTTCCTCTGTGATAGAGTGTTTCTAAGAGTACTGGCTTCACACAGACTAGTGGGAGGATGAAAAGAGATCCTGCCTGCTTAGCACAGGGTCAAGTGTAGGGTTGGCCTTTGATAAATCCTAGTCTTTATTATTTTTCTGTGGCAAGTGACCCCAAACCTAGGAGGGAGGAGACCAGGTTTCCTGCTTGTATTCTGATTTTTGACTGGACTTTATTGTTCTAAGAATTTTCTTCTTCAAAAGTTGTCAAATCATTTGGCAAACATTCCATTCCAGTCTCCCCAGTTCTTGTGCCAGTCACTGGCAATAAATTACACTCTAGGGAATGATCTTAAAATATGCTAAAAAATAAAGACCTTTAATTTTGCCAGGCTAGAATTTAAAGTTTTGTAGTTGCCATTACTTTTATTTACTCTCCCTTAGATTAAAACTCAATACACATTATCGAGCAACTATTTATTGAGGTGCTGCATTGGAAATATTATCTCATTTCAACATCATGGCAGTAAAGTAAAGTAGGAATTATTGTTGAGATTTATAAATGAGGAAACCAAAGCTTAAAGGGGTGACATGGTTCCTCGTGAAAGATCACACAGTAGTGTACTAGTTAAGACAGGATTTCAATACATAAACATTCTTGAAACTTAAATCTGGATTTTTTTGGTGGCGGGGGAGGGGTTGGGGGAAATTCTCTTGGAAGACTAGTTGTAAATTTAGAATAATTGAAATTTCCTTAATCTCTTAGTTCTCCAGAATAAAAATGATCTCTTCTATCAGATCTTCAACCAAGCACACAAAAGAAGAGATGGCTGAATCCTGCATTGTATTAAATTGTCCCCAGATGGTTTAATACAATTACTATATCTGCTGGCTGCTGGAAGCTACCAGCAGGGAGGAATCTAGAAGTGTGCATGCGCACACACAGGCAGGGGAGGGGGGTGTGAATGATTCCACTAAGTACAGAAATAAGAGAGAGGAAGATATTTCTAACAGCTTTCTTCAGGGTGGGAAACTGAGTCAGCTCATTTGAAAATAGCAACTTCTAGATGTTAAACAGCAAAGCAAAAGTAATACAAAATAACATTAGATTCACTGTGTGTGTGTGTGTGTGTGTGTGTGTGTGTGTGTGTGTAAGAGGTAAAGAGAGAGAGGTAAGTAACCGCAGAGATGTATCTTATCTCAGCATGACGCAATTCTTCTGTATGTGAAAGCAGTAAAATAAATGAAAAAGGGGAAAATACTCACCCATTTAAAAGTTAGTTTTTCATCATAAATATGATGGAGAAACATTTGATTAGAAATTGATAGAATTTAAACTAAAAATCCAAAAGAGAAGAAGAGAAAGGACACACAAACTCAATTTCCAAAAGGAAACTACAATGGCCAAGAAATTTAAAAAAAAATTATTTAGCTCACTAGTAATCAGATGAACTGTTCAATAAATAGGTTAAAGCAGCAATAATATATGCTATCATATAACGAAGATGTAAATATTCATTATGCTCAACATTAGTGAGGATGGGGGGGAACTAGAAGCCTTTGTACTGTGCTGGAGGGAGTATAAGCTTAAAAATTGTTCATAGACACTAAAAAAAAATAAGGTCTAGGGATATATCTTAAAGTAATAGTACAATGTGGGACAAACATTTGTGTATAGGGATATTTGTGGCCATATAATTTATATTAATAAGAAACCTGGAATCTATCTGCACAGTCGACATGATGAGACACATTAAATACACTATGATTCATATGAAAGAGTATTAAACAGCCTTTCAAATGAGTCATGGGATGTTTAATTACTTGAAAATATGATTTTAAAGTATAACATCAGATTTAAAAGCAAGATATAATATTACACAGAGCATGAAACCAGTGTAGACAAAATTTTATATAAACATATACATATGCATTGACGGGTCTGGAAGGAAATATGCCGATATGTTAATAGTGATCTCCTTGGGCAGCAAGATTTAACTTGAATTTTCTACACTAGATGTGAGGCTTTTAAACCAACCCCAAGCCACCGCTTCACTCATCCCCAATCCCCCACAGCCAGTAAATTTAAAAGCATCCAAAGGAATCCATCATGATCACTCACTTAGTTTTTATTAGATGTTTGTATTTGTGTGACACTGAAACCAACTTCTGACTCCAGGGCCTTATTTCTGTGTCACAGAAAGCTGGCTGCCTGGTCTTTTGTTGGTTTGTGCCTCAGTGCGGTATTTATGTGTTCCAGAGTTTTAATACTGGGGTCTTTAGACAAGAGGGCTGATGAAATCTTCATTTAGTGGGCTTGTTTGGGCATCGTATGTTTTCTTTGTCCTGAGTCTCTTCTGAGAAGAAGTAAACAGCAGTTTCACCTATAGCACACATCACTGGCTGTCTGCAGTCATGGAAGTCCTAACTAATATAGTCCTGTGATTAGAGGCACTGAGGTTTTCTTGCCTTCATCCCATTTACTTTGCCCCATAAAATGTCAGAAAATATGGCAGAGTACATGCAATGGAACACCATCTGTACGAAACACATCCATGTAAACATATAAAAATCCTGGGTTACATCCTTTGCTGAGAACCACCCTCAGTATTTTCAGCCTAGGAAAAATACTACCTTTGATGGAAAAATGTGAATATGATATCTGTCCCCTCCTTCTTCCCTCACCCTCAGTTTTGATATCATTTGGATGAATGGCAACAGCAGGGGCTCAAATATAATTACTTTATAAATAATTAATAAGGTACTATTATTATTACTTAAAAAAATCCCATTTTGGAATGAGTCTCTTGATAGTAGCTGAAGCTTAATTTAGCCAAATAACTGTTCTGCCTTAGCTAATGTGACCCATTATTTTTAGGCTCAGAAGATTATTTCCAGATGCACTGAGACAATGGCTATCCATCATTCATTTCTGGGGGCCACTTTCTTGGCATGCCAGTGACATATCTGGGTTTATTACCACTTTCCATGGTCACAGTGGTGAAATTAGTTTAGTATTATCCAAGTATCTGTAGGAGACCCTATGTAATTCAATTCAACGCTGTAGAATTCAAGTTCTAAGTAGCCCCCTGACGCTTTTAAAAAAATACTTTTGATATGATGTTAAGTGAAAATGTCTCACACAGATAGATGATAGATTAGATAGAGATGATAGATAGATAGTTGATAGATGATAGATCAGATAGATAGATGATAGATTAGATAGATAGAGATGATAGATGGATAGACCCAGCGATGTATATGTCTCTGATTATAATGTTTGTGCATTTTTTTAAAACCTACCAGAATGAACTGTTATTATTTTAGAGTAAAAAATTGTTAAAACTGTAATATTTATTTTCTTCTCTACAGTTCCATGTCTTCTTACAATAGGCATATATAACTTTTATAATCAGAAAAAAAAGAGTTGTTTAAAAAAAAAAAATTCTTTTTGAGGCCTTTGTCCTGGTCTCACAGAATGCATGATGAGACATTTCCACAGTGTCCAGAGGGAAAATGCAATCCTTGGAACTTTATTACCTCCATCCTGTCATCTGTGGCTCACAGTAGGGAAAATGATACTTTGGGTAATTACAGATCACCTATATTTTGATCCCAGGCACTTTGTAAGACTCATTACAATGTGAGCAAGAGCCTCTTCATATATCGTAAATCCAGCCACAGGATGCTTGAGTTTAAACAAATAACAAAGATTTTACATTTCTCTCAGAAGTGTTATTAGTGTTTACTCTGCAGATAGTAGACCTCTGTGCTGAAAACTCCTAAGTCTCTGCTTCCATATTACCATGGATTCAAAGGCAGAAGCCCTACAAGTAGCTCCCCACCATCCACTAATGTGATTTGCAGCCACAGAGCAGTCACTTGGCTTGAGTTAAAATGCTACATGTTCCTTGGTCTGCATTGATTCTGGTTACCTATAGGGTGAGCACTTTGGGCTTCGGTAGCACTTAGGACCAAATCCAAGTCTCCGAGACCTGGTCCTGGGGATGCCTGGAGTTTCCCTACACCTTTCCTGGCTGCTGTCCATCCCTGGGCACTGGCATTGCCCCCAGTTTTTTTTTTTTTAATTTAATTTTTTAAACTTTTTTCCTCCTATATTACTATAGTGCTGACCTCCCCCCAGTTGTGGAGATGAGTCCTTTATTGACATAATAACTCATGGATTCCAGTGAGACCTGCCTTTCCCATGCACTATCACTCTGGCCTTCCAGAACCACATCCCCAGTCTCCTGGGGAATCCTCCCAGTGTTTCCTCCCAGGAAATAATAGAATATCCATACCTGCAAGCCTGTCTGGAACTGGATTCCCTCTGCTATGCCCTCTTGGCCTTGATCTCTGACGCTCAGGGCCTCACTTTGTCCTCATTTTGACTTCCACCCCTGTTGGTATCAACCCCCTGAGAGTGTTCTCTTTCCTTGCAGTCTTAAAAACTTTCTGACACTTCTTCCTAAAAATGGCATCTAGACAGCAGGCCCTGATACCACCTTTTCACTAAAATATCCATTACTTAAAAGGTGAGAATACACCACCTCTAAATCCAGCACAGATGTTCAGCCTAATGTCAGGATCTGGGAGGATGAGGATACCAGAAGCTACAGGAGTCAAGTATTCATGTCGGTCTTCTTCTTTGTGTTGTAACTGCATCACACCAATCTGGTTCAACTTTTACGTAGCAATATTGTGAGTTGTTTTTCAGTTGCCATGGACCCCCAGGTTGAAGGTCATATTACCTGAGCATGCCCAGATGAACCAAGTATGCAGCCACTGGTGGAACCTAAGGGCTTAGACGGAGAAGCAGGGACTGAATTAAGAAGCAGACACCATATGGCAGGATCCAGGATCCAATCAGATTGAGCTCTGGTGTCACCTCATGGCAGGAACCAATCAGATCACTCCTCCTAGCATCACCTCATTACAAAATCCAATCAGATCATCACTCATTACCCTATGCTTATAACACCTGCCCCAACCCCTGCTTGGGGAGACACTGCTTTGGGAACTATTCTTACTTGTTACAAGTAATAAAATCCCCTTGCTAAATCCTCCTTGGTTGTGGTCATTGAGTTGATACTGGCCAGGAGACGGAATTCACCTGTTGTGTGGGTAAAATGCTATACTATGAAACCTGCTTCTTGATGTTAAGTGAAAATGTGAATTCTAAATATCAATATTGATATCAATATTCAAATATGTTTATTCTACAAGAAATAAATGATAAATGTAGTACAATACTATCAAAGACCTACCAAAATATTTTTAACTTGGCAAAAATGTTTCTAAAATTCATCTAGAAGAACAAACACTTGAGACTGATAAAAAACATTTTGAGGCCGGGTGCGGTGGCTCACACCTGTAATCCCAGCACTTTGGGAGGCCAAGGCAGGCAGATCACCAGATGTCAGGAGTTTGAGACCAGCCTGGCCAACATGGTAAAACCCTGTCTCTACTAAAAATACAAAAATTAGCTGGGTGTGGCGGCAAGTGCCTGTAATCCCAGCTACTCAGGAGACTGAGGCAAGGAGAATTACTTGAACCCAGGAGGCGGAGGTTGCAGTGAGCCAAGATCCTGCCATTGCACTCCAGCCTGGGCAACAAAGTGAGACTCTGTCTCAAAAAAAAAAAAAAGAAAGCAAAGAAAAGCATTTTGGAAAAGGAAAATAGTGGTGAGGACTTACCATATAAGATTCTAGAGTTACACAAAAGAGAATGAAAAGAAAAATATAGACTCTATTGTATCTGATATTTTGGTATAGGATAAAAAATATCAGTTTCAGTCTGTTTAGGAAATAATAGACTATTTAATAAATGATGCTGGAGTAATTGGCTAACCATATCTTCCTTCATACATCAAAAACATTTCTAATATATTTTTAAAATTAAATAGATGAGGCCAGTCACTGTGGTTCATACTTATAATCCCAGCACTTTGGGAGGCCGAGATGGGTGGATCACCTGAGGTCAGGAGTTAGAGACCAACCTGGCCAATGTGGTGAAACCCCGTCTCTACTAAAAATATAAAAAAATTATCCAGGCATGGTGTTGCATGCCTGTAATCCCAGCCACTCGGGAGGCTGAGGCAGAAGAATTGCTTGAACCCAGGAGGCGGAGATTGCAGTGAGCTAAGATCATGCCACTGCACTCCAGCCTCAGTGACAGAGCAAGACTACATCTCAAAAAAAAAAAAAAAATTAGATGAAACAAAAAATTCTAGAAGAAAATATAGGTAAACACTATGGGTCATTGAGATGCAGAAGGACTTTCCAAGCTTTAATGCAAAGATTTTTTTTAAAGGAAGAGATGATAGGTTTGAATAAAGGAAAGATTTTAAGCTGTTATAGTCAAAAACCATCTGTCTTAGTCCATTTGTGTTGCTATAAAGGAATACCTGAGGCTGGGTAATTTATAAAGACAAGAGGTTTATTTGGCTCCTGGCTTTCCAGGCTGCTCAAGAACCATTGTGCCAACATCTACTTCTGATAAGGAAGTTGATGTGTGCAGAGATCACATGGTGAGACAGGAAGCAAGAGAGAGAGAGAGGAGAGAGCTTCCAGGCTCTTTTTAACCACCAGCACTTGGGGCATTCTCTTGGGAACTATTAGAGTGAGAATGCACTCATTTTTGAAGGCACCAAGCCATTCATGAGTGATCTACACTCATGGCCAAGCAGAGGTGGGAAGATTGCTTGAAGTCAGGAGGTTGACACCAGCCTGGCAACATAGCAAGACCCCATCTCTATTAAAAATAAAAGTAAAAAATTAGCCAGGCATTTTGCTGCATACCTGTAGTCCCAACTACTTGGGAGGCTGAGGTGGGAGAATTGTTTGAGCCCAGGAGTTTGAGGTTGTGTTGAACTGTGATAGCACTCCTGCACTTCAGCCAGGGCAACACAGCAAGACCATATATCTTAAAAAAAAAAAATCTCAAACTGTATGTCCTCACCACACACACACACACACAAATGGTAGATATGTGTGGTGATTAATGTGTTAGTTCATTTGGTTGAGGCCATGATTTTACAATATATATGTGTATCAAATCATCACATTGTACCCTTTGAATATGTACAATTGTTATTTGTCAACTATACCTCAGTAAAGCTGGGGAGGAGGGAGAAATTACAGACCAATATCTCTTATGAATATAGCTGCAAAAAAACCCTCAATAAAATACTAACAAACTGAATCCAGTAACATATAAAAGGTACTATCCCATAACCAAGTGGGATTTATCCAAGGAATATAAGGTTATTTTAACATATAAAAATCAATCAGTTAAAACATGTTAATAGGATAAAGGGAAAAAACCATATGGTTATCTCAACAGACAGGGAAAAGACATTTGACAAAAATCAACACTCATGATAAATGAAAACAAACAAAAAGACAAAAAAAATCCACTCAAGACTTAAACTGTAGAGATTTAAGTTTTGGGGAAATTCAATTAAAGATGTAAAGTGGGCTGGGCGCAGTGGCTCACGCCTGTAATCCCAGCACTTTGGGAGGCTGAGGCGGGCGGATCACGACGTCAGGAGATCGAGACCATCCTGGCTAACACGGTGAAACCCCGTCTCTACTAAAAAATACAAAAAAAAAAAAAGTTAGGCGGGCGTGGTGGCGGGCGCCTGTAGTCCCAGCTACTCGGGAGGCTGAGGCAGGAGAATGGCGTGAACCCGGGAGGCGGAGCTTGCAGTGAGCCGAGATTGCACCACTGCACTCCAGCCTGGGTGACAGAGTGAGACTCCATCTAAAATTAAAAAAAAAAAAAAAAAAGTAAAGTGATCTTGCACTCAGAAAAGGAATCTGGACAGGACCCATACATTTTGGATTTCTTGCACATGGATATTTTAAACCATGGAGTGGATGAGATTTTCTAGGGAGCCAGTGTGGGGAGAAACAGGAAGCAGGACTGCCTGAGAGGTAGAAAGAAAACCAGGAGTTCAGTTAGACAAGAGGAATGAGTTCAATAGCTCTACTGTACGGCATGGTGACTGTAGTTAATAACAAGGTATTGTATCCTTGAAAATTGCCAAGAAAGTAGATTTTGGGTATTCTCATCAAAAAAATGATAAGTATATGAGGTAATCTATAGGTTAAATAGCTCTATTTAGCCATTCCACAATGTATACATACATCAATGCAACATGTAGATAAATATATATTAAAAAAATAAATTTAAAAATAAAAATAAATGTTTTTAAAAAGAACATAGGCTCTGGAATTAACCTCCCTAGGTTTAAATCCTGGCTGCACATATACCTGGTTTGGGGAAAGTTATTTAAATTTTCTGTGTGCAAGTTCATTTGCTTACAAAATGAAAATTATAGTGGTACTTACTTCATAGGGTTATTAGTATTAAAATAAATAATATGTATAAAACTACTTAGCAAAAAAAAACCTCTCTATAGATAGAAAGGAACCTCATTAACCTGATAAACAGCTATTATGAAAAAACTCCCAGTGAATATCATATTTAATGCTAAGGCACAGAATGCTTTTTTCCTGAAGTCAGGGAAAAGACAAAGATGTCCACCTTGCACACACTAATTCGACACTATATTGCATGTTCTAGCCAATGCAATAAGGCAAGAACAATAAATAAAACACATGCATATCAAGAAGAAAGAAAACTGTATTCACAGATGGTATGATTGTCTAAGTGAAAAACTCAAACAACATAAAAAAGTTTCTTAGAACAAATAAGTAAGTTTAGCAAGGTAATGATAAAAAAAAGAAAAAAGTGAAAGAAAGAAAACCAGGAGAGTGGTATGTTGTGAAAGCCAAGAGAAGAGGAAATTTCAGAAAGTCAGAAGCCCAGAACTGAATGGATCAGGAAAAGAGCAGGTGTTGAAGTTGGATCTTGAAGGACAGGAACGGTATTCCAGAGAAAGAGACTACAGACAGTTCTCGACTATGATGGCTTCATTATGATTTTTCAACTTTATGATGGTACAAAAGTGATTACTTGCAGCAGAAACCGTACTTTGACTTTTGATATTTTTCTGGGTTAGTGATATGCAGTATGATACCTTCTTGTGAGGCTGGGCAGTGGGATTGAGCTGCAGCTCCCAGTTCAGTCACATGATCGTGAGGGTAAACAATTGATCTTGTATTCTACAGTGTACTATTCAAAAAAATTACATGAACTACTCAACATGTTTTATAAAATGGGCTTTGTGCTAGATAATTTTGCCCAACTATAGGGTAAGGTAAGTGTTCTGAGCATGTTTAAGGTAGGCTAAGCCAAGCATGGTGTTCAATAGGTTAGATGTTTCTAAATGCATTTTCAACTTATAATATTTTCAACTTTCTATGGGTTCGTCAGGACATAGCTCCATCATAAGTTGAGGAGCATCTGTAGTATGGGAAAATACAGAACAGAAAAATCAGAGTGCACCGTTGAGCTTGGTTAAAGCATAAGGAAAGTTTTGGAACATTTCATAAGAGATGCGGAACATAGACTGAAGTGGGCCATGAAGAAGTAATGAGCAATTTTGAGCAGGGCATTTAAATAGCTTGCTTCCTCCCTGCATTTAGGTTTCTGCTCAGATATAGTCTTATTGGAGAGGTCTTCCCTGCATACCTTGTGTAGAGTCTCTCTTTTGATTGATGCTCTACTCTGCTTTAGTTTTCTTTTCTGTAGTTGACATCACCTATCATTGTTATAGATGTATATGTTTACTTGCTTATGGTCTGTCTCTTAAAATTCTAGAAAGGAAGTTCAATGAGAGACGGGACTTAATTTTGTTCACCGCAGTATTTCCAGTGACTGCATAGCACCTACCTCCTGGGAGGTGCTTAATAAATAGTTTTTTTTTAAATAAATGAATCCATGCAATACAGAAGAGTACCTAAAAGTTAGGGGAAATGACTAGAATAAATAGTTTTTTTTTAAATAAATGAATCCATGCAATACAGAAGAGTACCTAAAAGTTAGGGGAAATGACTAGAATATAGGTGGAAAGTTTGAAAGTTAAAGTAAAATTATAAAATTTTAATCAATGGATAATGTGAGACTAAGTTTACTGTGTTAGGACTTCTGGGCAGTGTTGAGTGCCCATTTAAGAAAGGTAATCATGAATGGTTGTCTTCAGTAACATTCCAGTGAATAGATGCTTGAGACAGAAAAGTCAGATATCTGGGTTTATCCACGGCTGGAATTTTGTCACATTCATGCAGCAGAGGGAGAATTGGGCAAAGAATTGAGTGTGATAGGTTGTGGAATCTATTCTGCATAAAGTAGACAGTCAAGACAGGAATAAGGGTAGATTGGAGAAAGAAAATGGTGGGGTCAATGGATTCACAGTGTATACCAATGTTTACAGCAGCATTAGTCACAATAGCTAAAAGGTGGAGATAACCAAAATATCCATCAATGAATGGATGAATGGAAACATGGTATATACCTACTATGAAATATTAGCCTTAAAAAGGAAGGAAGTTGTAATATGTGCTACTGCATGAATGAACTTTGAAGATATTGTGCTGAGTGAAATAAGCCAGTCACAGAAGGACAAATATGATTTCACTTATTTGAAATATCCAAGAATAGGCAGATTCATGGAGATAGAAAATAAAACAGTGGTTTCTAGAGGATGTGGGGAGTGGGTAATAGTGAGTTAATGTTTAATGGGTACAGAGTTTCAGTTTGGGAAGATGAAAAGCTATGGAGGTGAATAGCAGTGATGATTGCATTTAACATACTTAATGCCGCTGAGCTGTCCACTGAAAAATGGTGAGAATGGTAAATTGTATGTTATGTTATGGACCACAATTAAAGAGAGAGAGAAAATTAAGAGACATAAAAATATCAGGTTTAAGTAGTTTCCATAAAATCCCCACAGCGCTCTGAACACGGTGGATTCCCACATTACTTTACAGGCTGCCTTCCCCTCTATAGCCAGTGTACGATGTGCTTCAGAGTCCTTAAAGGGTGGGGCTAAGTAATATTAGGGGGGTTGTTTAGTCATGTCATTTCAGTCTTTGAAACACACCAACATATCAAACCCATTTTTTAAGAATGAAACAAATGGCTGTCTTCAACAATGAAACATGCGGCCAGTTAAACAAATGGTCTCCTTCATTTTGTGATATGTCATTTAACTGATTGAGACCTGTTTTCTTTAATCGGCCAATTGCAGAGGACTGTGACCTTGGAGAGTCTTCAGAGAGGCTCTTCCTTCCTCCTCTTACTGTATTTCCTTGGATATTGATGTTCTTATGAACACAAGAGTTCCAGGCAGTGCATCAAAAGAACTAAAACAGAGGTAGGAACCCAATTCCATGAATGAGTACCAATCTTTTATGGAAGCCCTGGCACCCCCCAGTCCTCTGATCCTTGAGGCACATCATTCTCCCAGTGGTTTCTCTGCCTTAGCATCCCCTCCCCCATCCCAATCCAGCCTGTCCACTGGTGGCAAAGGCCTCTCCTGGAGTTTGCCTTGGACGCCTACTCAGAAGTAGCCCTTGTTCTTTATTAAGCTTCCAAACTGAACCGTGCTTCTAGATGTTCCAGTTCTCTGCCCCCACACCCTGTTCCCTTTTCCTAGACTGTCTTCTTCCTTCCACCAAGGCTTAACACAAATGCTGGCTTCTTCATGTCACCTTTTCAGATTTTCCAGCCAGACATCATTTCTTCATCAATTCTGTGAACTTCAACTTGTTGGTTCTACTTTCGCTTTCCATTTTGACTTGAGACAATTTGTGTGCATGCCATTAGTCCTCTACAGATAAAGTTGCTGGAAGGTGATATGGCTATCTCAATAATTTCTGGATTTTCCAGACATCCAGGCACATGGTAGGTACTGAGGATGCTGAGTGAATGTTGACCAGGATATACCAAGCTCTACTGACTCACTTCTGGAGTCACTTGTAGAGTATAAGTTCAACTTAAACTCTTGGCTGCAAGTATTTTTTTTTTTAACAGAATGCTTCATAATTTTACTTTGTTGGCATTCTCTATGTCCTTGATGAGTGATTCCTGCCTTTCCCTCCCACTGTTGGCTTAAAAAGATTGTAAGAGCTGAACCTGAGATATAGTGAAGGAACTATGCCTGAGACAGGCATAAATAGAACTCCTGGAGCCACAGAAAGTAGCTGCAGTGCAGATCGACAGCACATCTTTGAGCTACTGAACTCGGCATATAACATACTGATTATAGCTGGGGGCGGGGGGGCAGAGTGTGACAATAACACTGCTCTTTTCCTTATTCACAGAAAAGAGTGTCTTGCAATGCAAGTTTGCAGATAGGACCATTTTTTAAAGACTCTTGCTGTGTGGAGCTAATATTGCATGGTCAAAATGTGTTCTGTGGGGTTTGGGAATCTGACTTGTACTTGAGGCTGTATAGATTGATGATTATACTGATGTTTGTCATTGATTGGTCCCTTACAATGTGCTGGGCACTGTGCTGGGCATTATGTGTGCTTTTGCTCTCCCAGCCACTCTCTGAGTTAGTCATTACAGTTAGCCCAATTTATGGACTTGAAAACGAGGGCTTATGGCAGTTAGGTGACCTGCCTTGGTCCAGGTCACAACAAAGGTAAATGGGAGAGGTGGATTCTGAGTCACCCTGAGTGCCTCCAGAGCCCAGGCTTCTCTCTCAATAGCGTGCTGCATACTCTGTGAAGAAAAGCCCTGGACCGAGGGCGGGGGCTTTGGCATCTTCTAGCTTGGCAGAAGAGTAGAAAAGTGCATTAACAGAGAAACCTGTCAACGTTCTGTTTCCAGAATGAATGTTTCAGTGATCCAGTATTTTATTTTATTCCTATACCTGCAATTTTGGAAATTGTGTGTTTGGCTCCAATTGATCTTTTATGCCATAATTAGTTCTGATGGCTGCTTTAATGTTTTAAGTTTTAAAACATTAAAGTTTAAGGCACTCGAGGAGAAAAAGGTACCAAGAATCTTGTTTATTCTCTTCTGTTCAGGGATCCCAGCACCTTTAAAAAATTGTTTCTGCTGGGCGCGGTGGCTCACGCCTGTAATCCTAGCACTTTGGAAGGCCAAGACGGGTGGATCACTTGAGGTCAGGAGTTCAAAACTAGCCTGGCCAACAAGGTGAAACCCTATCTCTACTAAAAATACAAAAACATTACCCGGGCATGGTGGCGGGCGCCTGTAATCCCAGCTACTGGGGAGGCTGAAGCAGGAGAATCGCTTGAACCTGGGAGACAGAGGTTGCAGCGAGCTGAGATGGCGCCACTGCACTCCAGCCTGGACTCCATCTCAAAAAAAAAATTGTTCTATATTTAATTTTCTAAAATGTAAGTGTTTATTCTGGATACAGCGGGTGTACATGCAGATTTGTTACATGGGAATATTGCATGATGCTGAACTTTGCTGTACAAATCTCATCGCCTCGGTAGTGAACATAGTACTTGATAGGCAGGTTTTAAATCCACTCTCCTGCTCTCTGGAAGGTCTCAGGGTCTATTGCTCTTATATTTATGTCCATGTGTGCTTAATGTTTAGCTCCCACTTTTAAGTGAGAACATGTGGGATTTGGTTTTCTGCTCCTGCATTAATTTGCTTAGGGTTATGGCCTCAAGCTCCACCCATATTGTTGCAAAGGACAGGATTTCATTCTTTTTTATGGCTGCTTAGTATTCCACAGTGTATATGTACCACATTTTCTTTATCCAATCTGCATTGATAAGCACCTAGGTTGATTCCATGTGTTTGCTATTGCCAGCACCTTTTTTTGAGCAATGTGTGTGGACAAATGTACTAGAGTCTTCTGATTAATCTCATTTCTTTTGGAGAACCAGGAGCACTCTAAAAGGCCAAGGTTCATAGCTTTAGAGAGTACTGTATTACAGCTTTCATGTTCAGGAGTCTGCTTACTCTCCACTCCCTGACCCTGGCCTCTCTCCGTACTCTCCCAGACACATTGTAAGTCTCAAACTCAGCCTAGTTTCACTCCCATGCTTTACACATGCAGTTTCTTCTATCTGAAATGCCTTTCCTTGTTGGCCTGACCACTTCGTGTGCATTTATCAAGACTCAAGTTGCTCCTGGATTTTGGAGAAGGGAAGAGCTGCAGCAGTATAATGGCTAAGTACATTGACTTAGGTATCAGACAGACCTCACTGACAGCCCTGCCTCTGTGACCTGAGGAAGGACCCTAACCTCAGAAAGCCTCCGTTTTCCCCTCTGTGACATGGGAATATGAGGAGACACCTTGACATAGAAAGGCTGTTGGGATTAAATGATTCATGGGAATCTTTACCATAATTAACAGCAGACAGCTAAGCACTTGGTGAATATTGGCTCTGATTGTTGGTAGGGGAAAATGACTTCCCTGCCACTGCCTTTCCCACTCTCAAGCTGAAGTAAGTGCACCCTCTCTATGACCCCATTGCAACTTGTTCTATGTCTAGGGAAGCACTTTCTACACTGACTGGTTAGTGTCAGTTTGTATTTCTCATTTTTTAGACTGAAACTCTTCAAGGACAGGAACTGTGAATCTAAATTCTTCATTTTAAATGTCCAGTATGATACCTGATGTACAGCAAACATTTAATAAATG
Source organism: Homo sapiens (assembly GCF_000001405.40). Lineage (NCBI taxonomy): Eukaryota > Metazoa > Chordata > Mammalia > Primates > Hominidae > Homo > Homo sapiens. The sequence continues at coordinate 24,982,103 of NC_000008.11, read as the reverse complement.
AAGGAATGGGTATAAAAGAATTGTGAAGGCCAGCTGCAGTGGCTCATGCTTGTAATCACTTTGGGAGGCTGAGGTTGGAGGATCACTTGAGCCCAGGAGTTCAACACTAGCCTGGGCAGCAAAGTGAGATCCCATCTCTACAAAAAATTAAAAAGTTAGCCTTGTGTGGTGACACATGCCTGTAGTCTTGGCTACTCAGGAGGCCAAGGCAGGAGGATCACTTGAGCCCAGGAGTTTGAGGTTGCAGTGAGCTATGGCTATGCCACTGGACTCCAGCCTGGGCAACAGAGTGAGACCTTGTCTCTAAAATTAAAAAAAAAAAAAAAAAAAAAAAGAAAGAAAGAAAGAAAGAAAGAAAAAGGAAAAAAAGAAAAGAACTAGGCCAGGTGTGGTGGCTCATGCCTGTAATCCCAGCACTTTGGGAGGCCGAGGTGGGCAGATCACCTGAGGTCAGGGGTTTGAGACCAGCCTGGCCAACATGATGAAACTTCATCTCTACTAAAAATACAAAAATTGGCTGGGCGTGAGGGCTCACACCTGTAATCCCAGCTACTTGGAAGGCTGAGGCAGAAGAATCGCTTGAACCCGGGAGTCAGAAGTTGCAGTAAGCTGAGATTGCGCCACTGCACTCCAACCTCTTAGGTGACAGAGTGAGATTCTGTTTAAGAAAAAAAAAAAAAAAAGAAAAGAAAAGAACTTTGGTATAAAAATTTATACTTTCCTTCATTGCCTTTTACTTAATTGAGTCTCACATGAGATAGCTACAGCAGAAAACATTTTATAGCTGAGGACAGAATGGAATAACCTTCTATGGTACATTAGTGACAGAGTTTAAGCTTAATTTCAGGTGCCCCGACTCTTTGTCCAAAACATGTATTTCCTAGTCCTTAAATGCAGGTAAGCAGATCGTCTATTTCACACATGCTGCAGTACCAGGCTCATAGTAAAAGCTCAAAACACGGCAGCCATAATTATGATGATGAAACTGTGCTCCCTCATTACAATACAGATGCCAAAATCTCAAGAATGCATCATGATCCTCAAAACAGCCAATCCAATTAAGCAAGACAAAGCCCATGAGAGGCTGTCCTGTCCCCTAAACCTACATGACAGGCCACTTTGCTGCAGAGAAATATAAGGACAGCGCAGATCAGGTTCCACACTCTTCCTTCCCAGCGACCTTCAGTGAGCTGCAGAGTTCACTAGGCAAGAGACACCCTCGATCTGCCTCTTGGCTGTTTTGCACCTCCCGGCCATTTAATTTATGCTAGTCACAGAGAGGTTCTCCAATGCATCTGAAGTTTAGCTCTTATTGCCACAGTGTAACTTGGGGGGAAGTGAAGGGGCGGGGAATCAATGTGTCAAGGATGCAGGAGAATGAGATATCATACATTAACCAATAAAGAGGATGAAACACTTAGTTTTCCTTTCTCACTGCCTCCAAGGTGTCCAAATGGACACATGTGCTGTAAGAGGCTCCAACAATTACAAGAACCTCTGCACTTAGAAAAAAAAAATAGTTTTGCTAATTAGATTAACATATATTCAGGCTGGGGGCTATGGTTCACACCTGTAATCCCAGCACTTTGGGAGGCCGAGGTGAGTGGATCACCTGAGATCAGGAGTTCGAGACCAGCCTGGCCAACATGGCAAAAGCCTATCTCTACTAAAAATACAAAAATTAGCTGGGCATGGTGACGGGCACCTGTAATCCCAGCTACTTGGGAAGCCGGGGCAGGAAAATCACTTGAACCTGGGAGACAGAGGTTGCAGTGAGCCGAGATAGCGCCATTGCACTCCAGCCTGGGTGACAGAGCGAGACTCTGTCAAAAAAAAAAAAAAAAAAAAATTCAGTTGCCAGTAAGAATCAGGCTTGGTTAGGGAGTTCAGAAGGAAAAAAGAACTGTGGGCCGGATGCAGTGGTTCACGCCTGTAATCCCAGCACTTTGGGAGGCCAGGGTCGGTGGATCACCTGAGGTCAGGAGTTTGAGACCAGCTTGACCAACATAGAGAAACCCCGTCTCTACTAAAAATACAAAATTAGCTGGGCATGGTGGTGCATGCCTGTAATTCAAGCTACTTGGTAGGCTGAGGCAGGAGAATCTCTTGAACCCGGGAGGCGGAGGTTGTGGTGAGCTGAGATCGCGCCACTGCACTCCAGCCTGGGCAAAAAAGCGAAGCTCTATCTCAAAAAAAAAAAAAAAAAAAAAAAAAAAAAGACAAAGATAAAAATAACTGTATAAGCTCCAAGCAACTAAAAGGAAAATCAGACCTATAAGGAAATTATCATAAGACACCATGGAATGCTATGGGAGATGAGTTACAGCAATTCAGAGGAGAGAAAGAGGCAGACATTTGAATCAGCCTTGAAAGGTGAGGAAATACAGTAAAGGAAAAGTGCACAGTGTCTGGGATAGCACTGAGCAGAAAAAGCCAGGAGCACCTTCCAGTTCAGTTCCGGCGAGACACAGTAGAGCTTGGGATGGCTCACAGGAGTTGAGAGCAGGCAATGAGAAGCTAAAGACTATTCTGAGCACGGTCCGATGGCATTGGCAGATCTGGGCTCCACGCAGACCTTTGACAGCAGTGGATGGTGTGAACTGAGGCTGGGGGGAGACTGAGGCAGAGAGACCTTTAGACGAACAATCTCCTTAAAGAGTTCATAAGCGGTTCGTCCTCAGTCATGAAACCAGGTTCCTCACCTCTCCCACTGGTTCTTCTGTTGGACCATCCTGAATTCTGTTGCTAATGTTAACATCAAAATCTAATTTAAGAAAATGATTAGAGAAGTGATGAAAAGCCATGTGATGGCTAAGTCACAGCTCCTCAGCCCCTGAGTAACTGAAGCAAGAGATACCAAGCCAGTGAAAAACAGCCTGGGGAAAAGAGCCATTTGTTTAAAATGCACCCTATTTCTCTCTCTCTATGTATGGGCTGAACAAAGCATATTTAGTGAAGATGGAAGAGGCCTTGTTAAATAACCACCATTCAACACTGTCCTGCACTATTTACTAAGGAGCTTCTAATTCTCATGCCTGTGAAGATGAGAAAGTCAGCTGAGGCAAGCCAACCTCCACAACCTGCTCAGATCAGAGCCAACGTTGGGATGGAAGCCTAGAATGAAAATTATTTAGTGGATGCTCTTAGTCTTGGTTCCAGGGATGGGCAGACAGAGCCTTCTAACCTGATGAAGTGATGCTTTCTTCACAGGAAACCAGCTAAGGCTGGCAAGCTGGAGTCTGAGGTCTACATGTGTGTTTTTTAAGCTAAGAATTGTCATGCCATCATCTTGCGTCTGCTCAGACTGGCGTAGGGTCACATGCTAGTCTAACTCTGACAGTTTATGTGTATTTATGGAGGAGGGAGAATGAGGCCTGGAGATTGGGTTACTGGTGGCTGAGCAGAGAAAGATTCTAGAAATCCAGGGTGTAAGAATAGTGAGAAGGCAGGTAGGGATCGCTGGGAACATGTTGGCACAGCTGAGGTCCTTCAGATGGCTTCAGAGTTATCATCCTACGCTTAACCCTCCACTGGCCCCCATGGAAAAGTTTCATGCACCAGATGAATAATGGTCCTAGGATGTGGATTACGAAGAGCACACTGCATAGGTGCCGCTAATGAATTTTATGGATTCAGGAGACATGAATTTATTTACTAACGCAGCCTGTTTCTTAAAATAATGTATAAATTAACTCCCAGATTAGAAGCAAATCTATACATTAAAAATTATTTAAAGAAATCATAATTCGGATACATTTAGTACCATCAGTAAAAGATAAAAATTAAATGTAAACTGCTGTATCTTCTACACAAATATAAAATTCCTCTAAAATTTGGTATAGTAACATTCACCCTGGAGAGCTTTCAGAAATAAACTGAATAATCATTTGCCTTTTATCATATAAACAAAGTGACACTAAAAAACCACACTTATCTTTTTGCCAAATACCTTTCCTATTTGCCAGTCAAAATACCTGGAATCCTACTACTAACAATTTAATCTTTTGAGATGACCCTCCAGGAATCTTTGTTTTGTTTTGTCTTTTTTTAGAGACAGTCTTGCTCTGTTGCCCAGGCTGGAGTGCAGTGGCGCGATCGTAGCTCACTGTAACCGCGAACTCCGGGGCTCAAGTGAAATCCCGGTTTTTTTGAAAGCAAAAACCAGGAAGAGGTCGATAAATTGCTAACATTTAGTCTTGAATTTATCTTGCAGTGTACTAATTTCACCAATAGATGGCGGACTTGTCGTTTTGATAACTTCGGAGTAAGTTGTCCTTCAGAAATCAATGTACCTTTTAAGGTATAGAACACTTCATTATAGAAAGATCCAACTACCTAGTTTTTATGTAGAACTAACTAGTTCTTAATAATAGCATATTATATAAACAAATAGAAAACTGTGTAAAAGTTAGTCCAACAGATTCAAGCCAAGGTGTTTCTGTCTAGTGCTTCCTAAAGCTTTCTTAGCTCTTAATTCCGAATCCTATACGTGAATTACTTGTATGATCTATTATGAATTTCACATAATCTGGGCCTCTGATTCCAAAATCTCACGTGTCTCACAGGTTTGCCCAGAAGCTAAGATCTTCTGACTTATCAGCATGGGGCTTGCAATTAGCTAATTGGTACTTAAGTTATTTGAATTAAATTGTTCTCAGTTCATTTAATGAGCCTGTCTTTTCAATTTTTCTCTGTTTCCTTTCAGCAACCAAGTTGAACTGAAAAAAAAGTCAACTTAAAATGGACCTGTCTTGGCCGGGACAGGAAAGAAAATAGAAAAGATCACAAAATGAAAATTCAGTCCACTGAAAAGAATCTAATTGCAGATAAACCTTTGGTAAAAATAACCCAAAAAAAGGGGGAGACACATGGCCAACAAGCATATGAAAGGAGGCTCAACATCACTAAGCATTAAAGAAATGCAAATTGAAACCACAGTGAGCTAGCACTCCACACCCCTTAAGAAGGTTATTATAAGAAAACAAAGAAAAGGAAAATAACAAATGTTGGTGAGGATGTGGGGAAATTGGAACCCTTGTGCACTGTTGGTGGAGATGCAAAATGGTGCAGCCTCTCTAGAAAACCGTTTGGAGGTTCCTCAAAAAATTACTAATAGAATTGCCATATAATCCAACAATTCCACTTCTAGGTATGTATCCAAAAGTATTGAAAGGAAGAGCTCCTTTTTTTTTTTTTTTTTTTTTTAAAAAAAGGTATTTCAATCAATTTTATTTTATTGTTTATACTTTTTTCACTTTTTTATTTTTTTAAATTATTATTCTCATTTTATTTATTTATTTCAATAGGTTTTTTTGGGAACAGGTGGTGTTTGGTTACAGAAATAAGCTCCTTAGTGGCAATTTCTGAGATTTTGGTGTACCCATCACCTGAGCAGTGTAACTGTATCTAAATGTGTATTATCCCTCATCCCCCTCCCACCCTTTCCCCCGAGGCCCCAAAGTCCATTGCATTTTTCGTCCTCATAGCTTAGCTTCCACTTATGAGTGAGAGCATACAATGTTTGGTTTTCCATTCCTGAATTAATTCACTTAGAATAATGACCTCCAGTTCCATCCAGGTTGAAAGCAGGGTTTCTTAAGAGATATTTGCACACTGATGTTCATTACAGCATTATTCACAATAGCCAAGAATTGGAAGCAACCTAAATGTCTGTCAATGGATGAGTGGATAAACAAAATGTGATATATAGTGGGATATTATTCAGCCCTTAAAAAGAAGAATTTTGTCACATGCTACAACAATCTTGAATTTACATGCTACAATGTCACATGCTACAATGGATGAACCTTGAGAATATTATGCTGAGTGAAATAAGCCAGTCACAAAATGAGAAATACTATATGCTTCCACTTCTATGAGGCATTTAAAGTTGTTGTATTAGTCCGTGCTAATGCTGTTATGAAGAAATACCCAAGACTGGGTAATTTATAAAGAAGAGAGGATTAACTGACTCACAGTTCCACATGGCTGGGGAGGCCGCAGGAAACTTATAATCATGGCAGAAGGTACCTCTTCACAGGGTAGCAGGAGAGAGAATGGTTACAAGCAGGGAAAAGCCCTTACAAAACCATCAGATCTTGTGAGAACTCACTCACTATCATGATAATGGCATGGGGGAACCTCCCCCATGATCTAATCACCTCCATGAGGAACCATGAGGTTCCTCCCCCAACATGTTTGGATTAGAATTCAGATTATAATTCAAAATGATATTTGGGTGGGGACACAGAGCCAGACCATATCCATTGTCAAACTCACAGAAATACGAAGTAGAATGGTGGCTGTGAGAAGATTGGGGAAGAGGAAATGGGAAGTTGTTTAATGAATATAGAGTTTCAGTTTTGGAAGATGAAAAAGTTTTAGAGATAGGTTGTACTACAGTGTGAATATACGAAACATTACTGAACTATACACTTTAAAATGGTTAATACAGTACATTTTATGTGTATTTTACCACAATTAAATTGTTTTAAATAAAAGACACAGATGAATAATGAAAAAGGAGGCATAACTACCAATAAAACAAAAACATGAAAATAATAAAGGAATATCACCAACACCAATGATTTTATGTAATAAAATTGAAAACTTACAATGTACGATTATCTGTCTGTAAAACTGTATATCCCAATATTTACTCAAGAAGAAATAGAGAACTTGAATAGTCCTGTAACTATAATGATATTTTTTCAGTAGTTTAGATTTATACAAAATAAAACACCATACCTGGATTATTTTATAGGCAAGTTTAACTAAACATTCGATAAATAGCCTATTATACAAATTTTTCCAAAAAATAAAACATGAGGAAAATCTAAACTCAGTTAATGAGGTTAGTAGAACTTTGATTCAAAGATCAGACAAAGACTGTAGGGGAAAGTAGAGATTAACCTCACTTTGTGAATATATATGTAACACATTTAAATAAATACAGACAAACTGAATCCAAGAATGAATGAATGTACATCTATATCTATGTCTGTCTATGATCTATCTATGTATTTAGTCGCAGGATGAAATGATTTAACACTAGAAAACCTATTAATAAAATTCATCTGTAATCCCAGCACTTTGGGAGGCCGAGGTGGGCAGATCACGACGTCAGGAGATCGAGACCATCCTGGCTAACATGGTGAAACCTCGTCTCTACTAAAAATACAAAAACAAAATTAGCCGGGCATGGTGGCAGGTGCCTGTAGTCCCAGCTATCGGGAGGCTGAGGTGGGAAAATGGCGTGAACCTGGGAGGTGGAGCTTGCAGTGAGCCGAGATTGTGCCACTGCACTCCAGCCTGGGTAACAGAGTGAGACTCCATCTCAAAAAAAATGATAATAATAATAATCACATTTACAGAATAAAGGAAATACACATGATTATCACATTAAATAAAAATTATTCCATAAAAATATTCATTCATGATAAAGCTTCTTATCCAACTAGAAATAGAAGAACATTTTCTTAACCTAATAGAGGATATTCTGCCAAATCTGTAGCAAACATATCTAATGTAGAAAAGTTAAAAACATTTTCTTTGAAGTCAGCAAAAAAATAAACATGCTATTGTTAATTTTGTTCAACAGAGTGTAGAACTGTAAATACGTTGAAAAAGAGATTTATAAGATTTCAGGGTTTTAAAGGAACAAATACAAGTACATTTATTTATGACTGACATGTCTATATTATATATATCCATATTATTTATAGATAAGAATTTCTAAATTATGCAAGAGATGATTGCCCTAGGCAATGAATCATACTAAATTCAGTCTGCTGGTTACTACTGGGAAAGATGGAAGGGGAAAGGGATTAGGGAAAGCTATGGAAAGGTCTTCGTACCTACGATTTTTTGTTTTAAGATCCAAAGTAAATCTGATTAAATGTCAATATTTGACAGCTAAGCAAGAGCTATATAATGTTTGTCCTAATACTTTTTAATATTTTTCTGCATGCTGTAATTAAAAAAAATTGCTAAAACCTGGTCATGCCTGCCTGGAAGTTTTTCAAAAAAATTTGTTATTATTTTTTTAAAAGGTACATTACCATTGTGTGATCCTGAATGGAAACAAAACTGTGAACAGCATGACTTTAAAATATAAACACAAACTATGACCCCTGAAATATATCTACATACATACATGTGTCAGGGGAGACTGCGTAAGTGGGTGTATTTTTTAAGCCGTTGATGCTTCCTGGTTTTGGTTATCAACTCATCTGACACAAGTCATTGGGCACTAAAATGCAAGTCGTTGATTTAAATGCTTTGTATACAATTTTGTTCCTATAATACATATGAGATGTAATAATAGAATAGTAAAGCTATCTAATTTGAGGTTTTGAAACCATCATATTCATCCTCATTGCTGAGACACCACTGAAATGATAATGAATAAATTTTAAAAATATGTAATCTTATGATGGCTTACAGGACAATACAAAGAACAAGAGAGTGCAACAATCTTTGAAAAAAGCCTGTGATAGAGAAAAGAAAGTTGGCCGGGTGCAGTAGCTCACGCCTGTAATCCCAGCACTTTGGGAGGCCAAGGTGTGCGGATCATGAGGTCAGGAGTTCAAGACCAGCCTTGCCAACATAGTGAAACCCCGTCTCTACTAAAAATACAAAAATTAGCCGGGCATGGTGGTGTGCACCTGTAGTCCCAGCTACTTGGGAGGCTGAGGCAGGAGAATTGCTTGAACCCAGGAAGCAGAGGTTGTGGTGAGCCAAGATTGCGCCTCTGCACTCCAGCCTGGGCAACAGAGTGAGAATCTATCTGAAAAAAAAAAAAAAAAAAAAAGCCAAGGAAATGGAAAATCTCACCCTGGAGAAAATAGATCATGCAATAGGCAGAAGCCACCTTCTTTCTTAACCTAATTACTATATTAAGAGAAATTTGAGACTATATTATCTGCAATGGATGAAATATTTATGTCTGTCTTGTACACTAAAATCCTAACCTCAAGGTGATGGTATTAGGAAGGGGGTTCTTTGGGAGGTGATGAGGCCATGAGGGTAGAGCCCACATGAATGGGATTAGTGTTCTTAAAAAAGAGTCCCCAGAGACCTCCCTGACTTCTTCCACCCCGTGAGGACACCACAAGAAGACAGAGATCTGTGAAGAGGGCCCTCACCAGACACTGAATTTGCTGGCAGTTTGATCTTGGACTTCCCAACCTCTAGAACTATGAGAAATAATTTCCTGTTGTTTATAAGCTACCCAGTCCGTGATATTTTGTTATAACAGCCCGAATGGACTAAGACATCGTCCCTATAAAACAAGAACCAGACCATGATAATAGAAAGAGAGCAAGAAAGAGTTCTTAGAAATTGTGTGTGTGTGTGTATATGTGTAAGATGTATTGTTTTATGAAATCTCTATACCCAGGGAAGTATCAGTGCAGTGGGAGGGCAAACAAAGGCATTTTTAGACATGAATAGATTCAGAAAGTTTAATTCCTAATTCTTACAAAATAACTTGAGGATATGTTTTAGAAAAATCAAGATTGCAACTACAGAAAGAGGAAAATATGTGACCTAAGAATAGGCAAAACAAGCAGTAAAAATAAAGGAAATCCTGGGACATTGGGGTGCAGCTGCCCTGGAGCACTGTCTTTATAGATTTGCTTATTCTGGACATTTCATATAATCAGTTCAGACCAGAAACATTTTTGTGTGAAATGTCTGTAGAATGTAATAAACCCCATTATTTTGAAAATTATCGGTGGCATATTTTTACCTTTTGATTTTTGAAACTGATCAAAAGTCACTGAGAACCCAAACTAGCAAATAAAGTCAAAGATAAAAGTGGGTAACACTGTAAAAAAGGCATGATGTGACTATAAAGTGAGGGTAACTTGTTTCCTTGTGTGGCATATAAACTGGCTAGAAAACTACAAAAAAGTTTCAAACAATGAGAGAAGAGCTAGAATATGTATGTAATCTTCCAAAGATTATGTTGTACCTATTCTACACCACTCTAATGTACAAGCTTATTACTCCTTTTTCAACTTCATTACACCATTCAACTATAAAGGCACATATTTAGAAAGAGAATATTCAATACATTCTAAACTTAAATTGGAAATTATGACTTTAGTCTTTTCAGCTGAGATGTACACAAAAGAAACTATCCTTGCAGCTAGAAAGATTGAGCATTAATTGCTTATTTCCCCTCGCACATTCCTAGATGCATAGAAACCAGGTAGTTCTCCTTCTATTATTGATAACCTGACAGGAACATCAATCTATTTGTGGAGGGCAACCAAAGGAAATTATGCAAAAGGAAATGATGTTGAGCTTCCACTAGCTACTTTCAGCTCTGGTGATAGAACAGATAACTTGTTTGGAGCATGAAATCCATGACTCTGGTCATAAAGCATTGACCAATTAAGTGGTCCACAGGGGCCTCTGGCCAGCCCTGCCCTGCCCTGCCTTGGACTGGGCTTCATGCAGAGTCATTTGGCTGTCCTGGTTGCCTTGCCGTGCCTAGGGAGGGATAAATAACATCATCCTTCACCTTGCTGTATCAGAGAGTCTGATCTCTTCTTTCTGTCTCCATTGAAGGAAGTAAAAGTAATGCAAGAACATTCATTTATCCTTTTTAACCAGTATTTATGAATTTTTATAGAGTTGTGTACTCATCAACATAATCTAATTCTAGGACATTTTCATCACCCCCAAAAAGAAACCTTACCCCTAAAAGAAACCTTACACCCAATAGCTACCACTTCCCATTCCTCCTCCCACCCTTCAGCCCTAGGCAACCACTAATCTACATTCTGTCTTTATAGATTTGCTTATTCTGGACATTTCATATAGACCATACAGTATGTGGCCTTTTGTGATAGCTTCTTTCACTTAGTGTAATGTTTTCGTTTATCCATGTTGTAACATGTATTAGTACTTCATTTTTTAAAAATATTGAATAGTTTCCCATTGTTTTACCACACTTTATTTTTCCATTACCAGCTCAGGGACATTTGACTTCTTTTTCCATTTTGGAGAGTAAGAATAATGCTGAACAATCAACGAAGAGACAACCTACAGAATGGGAGAAATTATTTGCCAACTGTAATATCTGATATGGTTAGGCTTTGTGCCCCCACCCAAATCTCATCTCGAATTATAAATACCCAGTGTTGGGGGAGGGGCCTGTTGGGAGGTGACTGGATGATGGGGGCAGATTTTCCCCTTGCTGTTCTCGTGATAGTGAGTGAGCTCTCAAGAGATCCGATGGTTTAAAAGTGTGTGGCACTTCCCCCTTCTCTCTTTCTCTGTCTCCCCCCTGCTTCACCATGGTAAGGTGTGCTTGCTTCCCCTTCACCGTCCGCCATGATTGTAAGTTTCCTGAGGCCTCCCAGTCATGCTTCCAGTTAAGCCTGTGGAACTGTGAATCAATTAAGCCACTTTTTTTCACACATGACCCAGTCTCGGGTAGTTTTCTATAGCAGTGTGAGAATGAACTAATACACTATCCATCTGACAAGGGATTAATAACCAGAATATATAAGAAACTCAAACAACTAAATGGCAATAAACCCCAAATAATCTGATTTAAAAATGGGCGAAAGACCCGAGTAGAAGTTTCCCAAAAGAAGACATACAAATAGTCAACAGGTATGTGAAAAAATGTTTGACATCACTAATCATCAGGGAAATGCAAATCAAAGTCACAATGAGATATCACCTCACCCCAGTTAGAATGTCTTTTATCAAAAAGACAGAAAATAACAGATGCTTGCAAGGATATGGAGAAACGGGGAACACTTGGATACTATTTGTGGCAATGGTAAGTAGTAGAGCCACTAAAGAGAGCAGTATGGAGGCTCATCAAAAAAACTGAAAATAGAGCTTCCATATGATCAAGCAGTTCCACTGCTGAGTATATATCCAAAAGAAAGGAAATCAGTATATCAAAGACATATGTGCACCCTCATGTTTTTTGCAGCGCTAGTCACAATAGCAAAGATATGGAATTAATCTAAGTCTCCATCAATGGATAAATGAACAAAGAAAATGTAATAATACACAATGGAATATTACTCAGCCATGTAAAGAATGAAACCCTGTCATTGGCAGCAACATGGGTGAAACTGGAGGTCATTATGTTAAGTGAAATAAGCCAGGCAGAGGAAGACAAATATCAAATATTCTCACTCATATGTGGGAGCTTAAACAGCAGACATAATGGAGGTAGAGAGTAGAATGGTGGCTATCAGAGGCTGGGAAGGGTAGAGGGAAGGAGGAGGTAAAGAGGACTTGATTAGTGGATACAAAAATACGTTAAATAGAAGGAATACGTTCTAGTGTTCAATAGCACAGTAGGGTGATTATAGTTAACAATAATTTATTGTATACTTCAAAATAACCAGAAGAAAAGAATTGCAATGTTTTCAACACACAGAAAAGATAAATGTTTGAGGTGATAGATATCCTAATTAATCTGATTTGATCATTACACATTGTATGCACATATCAAAATATGTGCACCATATATATGTACAACTATTATGTATCAATAAAAAAGAACAATGCTGCTATGAACATTGATACTCAAGTCTTTGTGTGTACATGTGTTTCGTTTCTTTTGGGTAGATACCTAGGAGTGGAATTGTTAGATCATATGGTAACTCTATGTTTAATATTTTGAGAAACTGTCAAACTGCTTTTCAAAGTGGCTGCACTATTTTACATTCCTGCCAGCAATGTCTGAAGGTTTCAATTTCTCCACATTCTTGTTAATACTTGCTATTGTCTGGTTTTTTAAGTTACATTCACTCCAGGGGTTGTGAAGTGGTGCCTCATTGTGGTTTTGATTTGCATTTTGCTAACTACTATGTTAAACATATTTTTATGAGCTTGTCATTTATATATGTCCTTTGTGGAAATGTCTATTCAAATCTTTTGCCCAAGTCTGCATTCTTCAAACATTTTTAGCTCATATATGCCCTAGAAGAATGTTGAAAATTCATTTGATTCTTTTCTTAAGTTTAGACAGTTGCAAAAGATGTAATTTCCATTTTATTTTATTATTTTATTTTATTTTGAGACAGAGTCTGGCTCTGTTGCCCAGGCTGGAGTGCAGCATTGCGATCATGGTTCACTGCAACCTCGACCTCCTGAGCTCTGGTGATCCTCCTGCCTCAGCCTCCTGAGTAGCTGGGATTACAGGTGTGTACCACCTCACCCAGCTAATTTTTGTATTTTTTGGTGGAGGTGGGGTTTCACCATGTTGTCCAGGCTGGTCTCAAGTTCCTGGACTCAAACAATCTACCCGCCTTGGACTCTCAAAGTGCTGGGATTGCAGGCATGAGCCACCATACCTGGCTCCAGTGTATTTAAAGTATAGGTATTCTAAAATAAAATTGTGAAATTAGGCTTGGTGTGGTGGCTCATGCCTGTAATCCCAACACTGGGAGGCTGAGGCAGTAGGATTGCTTGAGGCCAGCAGTTTGAGACCAGCCTGGGCAATATAGTGAGACCCCTGTCTCTACAAAAAATAAAAATCTTAGTCAAGCATGGTGGTGCATGCCTATAGTCCCAGCTACTTGGGAGGCTGAGGTGGGAGGATCCCTTAAGCCCAGGAGCTTGTGGTTACAGTGAACTCTGATCATGCCACTGCATTTCAGCCTTGGTGACAGAGTGAGAACCTGTCTCTAAAAATGTGAAATTACTCTTTTCAACATATCAATTGGAACCTAAATAAAATGCCAACATTTACCTATCATCATCCAATTGACATATACATGAATAAGCTCTTCTTTACCCTTCACCAATTTTATAGTTCCTTTTTCTCCTTGGACTCTTATTTCTATTACTCTTCCCTACATTGTTTTACCTTTAATATATTTTACGTTTGCAAATCTTTTTGCTCAAAACAGGACCTTATAAATTTTATTAAGCAATTATTAAAATAAAAATAAACTTTTCTTTTTTTCAGGATATGCCCACATACACATGTACTATAAAATTACTGAGAAACATAGTTTACCAAAATAAGTATATAAGTATACATGTATACAAATAAGTATAAGTATACAGGAATACAAGCTTTATGTTAAAAGTTTTATACTAAGTTATAGCAATGTCACTCAATATTTGAAATGTTTCCAAATTTTAAACCAAAAAGCACATGTTGACCTATTATAAAATGTATTTATTTATTTATTTTCATTTATTTTAGAGAGAGTGTTACTGTTACCCAGGTTGCAGTACAGTCGCACAATCATAGCTCACTGCAGCTTCAAACTCGTGGGCTCAATCCATTCTCTTCCCTCAGCCTCCTGAGTAACTGAGACTAGAGGCACACCACAACATTTGGCTATTAATTTTTTTTTTTCTGTAGAGATGGGGTTTTGCTATATTGCCTAGGCTGGTCACAAACTCCTGATCTCAAGTGATTCTACCTGCCAAAGCCTCCCAAAGTGCTGGGATTACTTTGTGTGAGCCACCATGCCCAGTCCTATAAAATACTTTCATGATCAGAGGATTAATTGATTAAATACTCCTTTGAGTTTGTTAAAAGCTGAGAATTGGGAAGCACTTAGCTTGCATAGGAATTTCTCTCTAGCTGATTAAAGTAAGTTACTCCATTTCTGGGAAATACACCAAAAGAGGCTTTACCAAGTCTTATCAAATGACCCTTAATTATACCTAGTTATTTTTTTCTCTTAAAGACACTTTATTTAACCCATTAGACTTAAAAGGATTGGAATAAGAATACTTTTAATTTCAATGCATCTTTATCAATGCAATATTACAAAATTATTTTCTTATGTGACTTAAATGCATTTTTGTCAAAATCTTACTGTTGAAGACTTACCTCATTTGCTTTAGGGTAGAGGTGGGAAGGAGAACATGTGCAAGTTTGAAAGCAGATTGATTTTACAAAAAACTACATAGGGCAATGGGAGATCTAGAAATAGATTCCCTTTGTACTATCTATGCCTGTGAACCCCTTAGAAGGACCTCCAGTCTCCCCAGGGGAACACATGGCCCAGTTTGAAGACAGTTGCTCTTGGTTAGTGGCAGAACTAGGTCTAGAATGGACACCTCAACGTCAAATCCAGTACCATTTATACCCTCCGTGCTATTCCCAAAACTATATAGACTTTCACAATTGTACACAGAGCAACATGACATCCATAACATTTAGTTGTCAGGAAAAGATGCTGCTGCATTTGGCTGGCTTCATTGACACTTTTTCTTTTTTGAAGTAAGAGCAGGCTCATCACTCATCCTCTAGGATGTGTCACCATAGTAACACCTAGAGATTGTTGACTTACCCTCTAAACCCTAGGCTCCACCGTCTGCTATTCCCTGGACTTTGCAGACCAATTTATAGTTACTTTCTTCAAAGGGAAATCAGCAACACACAAATTTTAGGAAGAGATAAAGAACCAAAGACTTAGACAGTAGGGACTGGGAGAGAGACTATTCAATTCCTCATGCTTGGGTTTGAGTCTTAGATGAGAAAGGTGAATGGATCTGAGTACATGCTCCTTTCCACACTTAATCTGAAAGCGAGAGTAAGAGAAGCATCTGCTTTTCTCCCCTTTCATTCATAATGAACCCATGAAAGGAAAAAAAAATTGGAAGAAGGAAAGTGAATATTGTTGTGTTACAAGAATGGAAACCAATTCAACTGATGAATATTCAGCTGTTTATTACTTAGCCTTATTCTGTAGGAAAGATGAGTTCAATGCAAATAAGCAAACATATGTTCCCCAAAACTTCAGTTAGTAGCTCTCTTTCTTCCCTCAAAAGTCTCATTCTGCTGGCTCTTGCTCATAATTTGTCTTTTTGACTCATCTCCAAAGTAAGATATTAGCAAGTCTCGGTTTGGGGACATATGCTGTGCTTTTAAGCTCTCATTCATGATCACTGCAAGCTGGGAATGCTCCTTGGCCATAGCTTGTTCAGTACTTTAAACCTTTTTAGTCCTTTTGAATCAGAGACGCTCAGCTTGACAGACAACCAGAGAGGCCATCTAGGGTCAAGGCCAGCTCAGAGGTGAAGTGCTTTTTTTTTTTTTTTTTTCTTCTAAAATGCTCTTGCCTCATGCTTGGAGCAATTCCTTCCACCTTTGGATAGCTCTGAATGTTACATGCAGCTGAGCCTTCTCTCCCTATAGCTCCCATCCATTTGTACACTGAAGAGTGTTAAAACAGAGCTATGGGCTTTACTTAAGTAACCTTTCTAAATTTCATTTTGGGAACTAATTTGGAAGGCAATTTTAATTTGGATAACTTCTAAAGTAAGTATTAATCAGTGTAATGGGCAAAAACTGTTTTGGCATGAGAAAGAAAAAAACACTTTGCAAATTGAAATATCTAAGGCCTATTCAAAAGCACATCTGTTATCCTAATGTGATTTGGTAGTGCAGTTTATTAGATTTGTAGGATGAAGTGATCCTGAAAGGTGCAGGGAATCTTTGTTAGTTTTTTTTTTTTTTTCTCTTCCAGATAATATAATAACAAAAGGAATTGCTGGTTAGCAATAAGACATTGAACTTGTATCTGGAGAGAGACGCTCTAATGCAATTTGGCTCTTATAAGTTATTTTAGTGATGGATGTCTATTTTTGCAGGCTGCTAATAAAGCAGGGTGTAGACTTACTTGGCTTGTGTCTTGCTGCTCTGCCCAAAAGACGATTATATGGATGAGTGATGTGATTTCAGCATTTTTGACTCTGATTATTGCAGTGGGTTTTTTTTGCATTAATATATAAATTTAAATTTCGTAGGAGAAATAAAAAAGAGTGAGAGATCTTATTTGCATACCATCTCTCAAGAATCTTGCACTTTGGTCCTAGCAGGAAGTGTGAGAATTCAGCTGGACCTTCTCCTCGCTGTGTGACTTTGAACAATAATCATAAACTCTCTGAATTTCACATTCCTCATCGTAAAGTGAAAATAATGCTTACCTTAGCAGGGTTCTGTGAGAGCTTAATGGCTGAGTTCCTTTGGCATACTGTTAGTTTAAAACCTTCATTATTACATCTTTGAAATGAACATGATTTTAATACCCAATTCATTGGGACTTTGTGATGATTAAATGAAATTATCCAAGTAAATGACTTTGCACGGTGCTTGACATAGACATAAAGATACTATTAATATTATTGCACATAATTATGCTTAATAAATGCAAATTCCCCTTTCCCTTATCCTCTTAACTTACAGGATTATGATTTCATTTTCCATCAGTCCTCCTTGGTTTGATTACCTGATGTGTGGGTTATTCTGCCATTTTGCTTCTCCTCTTTCTATTTCCTACTCCCTTTGGCCTTTTTCTGGCTGCCCAGCACCTTGCTGGAGTATGTAAGGGTTGAAAAGGAGCTTGAATGAGTGCCTGTCAATGTACAGATTATTTTTCCCTAGATACAGGGTCTTGCTCTGTTGCCCAGGATGGAGTGCGGTGGCACATTCAGAGCTCACTGCAGCATCAAACTCCTGAGCTCAAGCAATCCTCCTGCCTTCAGAGTAGATGGGACTAAGCCACGAGTGCCAACATGCCTGGCTTTTGTACAGAATTTCTTTGGCCAAGTGTCAGGTGGGGAAAGACACCCAAAATAAAGCTTTAATGTGCTCCCTTGATTTAAATACACCAAGGATTAATTGATTGACATATGAATTATAACTTAGTCAACCATAGGATGGAAGTAGAGGCCTTTGCTTTAGGCATGGCAAACTCGAAGTCTATGAGGAATATTCTGCTTCCAGCCCCATTTCTGTTCTGGCTTCTTTGACTGTCCACTTCATCCTGGAAGGGTTGAGCCTCCTTTTTCCCTTGTTGCCCTATACTCACTGCTCAAGGTCCCCAAGCTTTCCCCTCTTTTATTTTCTTTTTTCTCAAAACTGTTATCAGCCTCATAGTCAGTCTTAGATAGAAAGCTTAGGTATGTCAGCTTTAGCCCTTACCTCTTCCACTGATATTGGCATATTAACAGTGATTGCAGGTAAAGAGATGAAGCTCTGATTAGAGTAGTTACACCTCAAGTGTCTGATCAGAAAGTGGGCAGCAACGGGGACTTCCCTCTTTCTGGAATTGTACCATGAAAGGATCCGAAAAAGGACTGGCCTTGTACATGTACTTATAAAACTGAAAGATTTAGGGGGAAAATTCC
The DNA here is from genome assembly GCF_000001405.40 of Homo sapiens. Classification (NCBI taxonomy): domain Eukaryota; kingdom Metazoa; phylum Chordata; class Mammalia; order Primates; family Hominidae; genus Homo; species Homo sapiens. Next base: position 24,963,962 of record NC_000008.11, on the reverse strand, counting down.
CAGTGAATTTGATAACGTGAAAGCTGGATTACAGTCGTGGCTCCATTGCTTATAGGAGATATGGTTTGGGGTGCATCCCTTACTTCTCCAGCCCTCTCACCATCCTTATATATCCAGTGAGGATGGTGACATCTGCAAGATCTGCAGAAGCCTCAAAGGATTGCTACAGGGAACCAGTGATGTAACTCATGAATGCTTGGGAAACCTCATCTCCCCATTTAAATATCATGACATCATCTCTGTTATGCGAGGATGCCATAGGAATCAGATGGAAAAGAAATTTAAGTGTGAAAGTGAAAGCGAAAAACCAAGGCTCATTTCTGGACATCAATGCCTCTGCTTCCCTAGAAATTTCTGCTCTGTTCCGAAGTAGTGCCCAATGGCTGCAGTGCAGGGTATAGAAAGAAGATAATCCACTTTACAGAAGGATAACCAAAGCCGTCAAAGGTTAAGGCCTGACAAAGATAAAGAAGCAAGTGAAGGTCTTGACCGGAAGACATTTAAACACTTTCCAATCCCAAGAATCTGTGACACACAGTGTATAAAGCATATTTCTGATGTGTATTAAGTTAAAAAAATTGGCACATTCGTTCATTATAAAATTTTACCTAAAGTTGAAAGATTTAAAATGATTTCAGCAGGTTTGAAAAATGGACTGGAAGTATTCATATTAAAGATTAGATTTAAAGAAAATAAAGGAAAGTTATATTTTAGGTTTTTTAGAAAAGCCACAGTATAAATCATTTTCAATGTTTTATAAAAGTTGATGCAAATTCAATATAAGGCAGCAATGTAAGATTGCTAAACATTTTTAATACATGAAGATGAACTAATAGAAATATTAATACTGTAACTACTCATCTTTAGAGCAAAAATAAGAACATCCACTTCATAGAGCAGCTATGAGAATTAAATACGATACTTTCAAAGCATCTGGCATAGTAACCAGCCATAGACACAGAAATGTTGATTCAAGCCCACAGTCGCTGCTCCCTTTTCTAAAATTATAGCAGTTATTGTTTGTACTATTTTCTTCTTCCTTCTGACATCTCCTAGAATTCTTTTATCATTTAACTTTTGCATAGTTCTTTGAAATTCCATGAGTATAAATTTTTTTCTGCTTAGCTATTTTAACATGATTTGTTTTATATTTATATTTATAAATTTTTAAACTGTTATATTTATTTTGATAATTATATGTAATCTATAAATGTGTATATACACATTCGGTTTAGTTTTCTTCTTTTGATGTAAAATTTACATTTAATAAAATGCACAAATCCTGGTACATTCTATGCATCTTGACAAATGGTTACATCTGCACAATTCAAACTTCTCAAGACACATAAAAATACCATCACCCCGGAAAGTTCCCTTGTGCCTCCTCCCAGTCATTTCCTACTCCACACTCCCTGAGGAAACCACTGTTCTGATATTTTTTCCACCATACATTAGTTTGCCTGTCCTGGAATTTTATATAAACGTAATTATACAACATGTATACTTTAAGCCTTCTTTCATTCAGTATCAGTATATTGTTTTTGAAATGTATCCATGTTGTACGTAGTAGTAATTGGTTTCTTTTTATTGTATTCAGATATTTTTCAAGGCCTTCAAAGACTGGGACTGGGCTAAAACTCCCTGCATCTCCCATGGCACTTGTACAGAATCCTGTACCTTGTAAGTGTTCAGTTAACATTTGGCGACTCAATGGATGAATAAACATTTGAGTTATATAATTAATCAATAAGCCATTTAGACACAATCAAGTTTTGCTTTTCTTATCCGGCGAGTCTTTTACACGTTCAACTTACCATACACCGGCGTTACATATCCTGGCTTCAGAAGCCTGCCTGCTTTACTGTAGGAATCCAGGGATCCGCCCATATGCAATTCTGCAGCCTTTGCTGCATTCATGCAGCAGTGAAGTACTGGCGAGAAACTGAACTCCTGCCCTGGACAGCATCCAGCATGGCTGTGAAAGAGCCAGACTCGGGGCTTTGTCTCTTGCAGACAGAAATGCTTATCCTCTACCTTTGCAAACATTAAAGCTTACATTCCTCCCATTGATTTATTAAACCACTGTAAAGGTCAGCAAAGAAATTCAGGTGCCGCATGGAATATATATGTATTTTTTTGTGGCTGGTTGGTGCCCGAAGTGTAGAAGCAGCATGTATTTCCTTGCAGTCGGGAAAGCACAACTGAACAAACAGGGTTAGTACTGTCGGCTCTAACCAATATCCCTGTGACCTGCCTGAAATGGCTGTCCCCTGTGTAACCCTCTTACCTCTGAGTCTGGTGACTATGATTAAGGACAAGGCATAGCAGAGCAGGCCTCTGGGAAGAAAACACATTACCTTCGCTAGTTTTCTGGAGCGAGCATTTAGGAGTTTGAACCTATCACCATCATTTCTGCTTGGACAGCAGTGAGTTCCCATCATTTCTCATACTGCACGTGTTCTGAATATAAATGTGCTTTCCATCCTTAATCTATTCAAATGACATTCTCGTTCCTGCTGCAATCTAAATTTTATATAGCCACATAGCACACTTTATGATGCATCGCTTCAAAATATGGTGCTGTAAAATAGACATACTTGATAATAAAATGGGAAAAGTTTTCTTTCAAACAAACATATTTCCCAAGAGATGAAGGAGACTCACGTATGATTCCTGTCGTGAGCAAAATATACAAAGAAATAAACTGGCTACAAGAAACAGAGATGAAAGATCTTTGTGATTTCAACAAGCTATACATTTCTGTTGACTTTATTCATGCTGCTTTGGAGAAAGTTAAAGACTTGCAGAAAGCATTATAAACTCCAATAATGAGGTGTTCAGTGCCAGCATTTTTTTCTTTTATTCCTTAGAGCAACTTTTAAGGGCACGTTTCCAAAGAAAACCCATTTACAAGGGTGGAAAATGAAGATACTGTAATCAGAAAAAAAAAAAAAGTGGAAGTCGTGATGTGGCCATTTTAAAGAGTTAGGTCAGCTAATTTGCATTTTAGCTTATTAATTCCTGAAAGGGTGTTTTGTAAATTGATGTTTAGAGTTGCATGTAAAATGTTACAGTGCCAGTTATGTGTCATGTTCCACTGGCCACACCCATTTTATTTTACATTGGGATATTTGAGAAACCTACAACAATCATGTAGTTTTTTGCTGCCACTAGCTGCCCAAATGGAGCATGCTCGTTAATGGTTTCCTCATGGTGCAGAAGAATTCAAATTGGTGTCCCCAAAGCAGGATAGGTTTATTATATGCACGCTAAACTCTGCAGATGGCAGACTTCGCTTATCAAATTCCACAGAGACATAAGGAAGCAGTAAATGCCAATGGCTGCAGTTTGTGGAATGAGTAGAACCCTCAGTCTGGAAGCAGGTGGAGCTTAGGTTTGAAGGAGCTGTGTGAGTTGGCAAATTACTTACTTCTCTGGGCCTCAGCTGTTTGCTCTGAATAATAGTGACCATCTCCAGGTGATCTTGTCATTATTCAATACAAGATAGCAAATGCCTGTCATATAGCAGGTATCTTGCATGCATTTATTTACTGGGTTTCCTTGCATCCACGTACCGATGCCAGCTTTGGTGACACTGATGTATCTACCTGGTGGTGAGATGGATGGAGACTCATCTGCTGATCGGCTGTTCTTTTTCTTTTCTTTCTTCTTTTTTTTTTTTTGAGATGCAGTCTCACTCTGTCACCCAGGCTGGAGTGCAGTGGCGCGATCTCAGCTCACTGCAACCCCGCCTCCCAGATTCAAGCAGTTCTCCTGCCTCAGTCTCCTGAGTAGCTGGGATTGAAGGCATGTGCCACCACACCTGGCTAATTTTTTTGTATTTTTAGTAGAGACGGGTTTTCACCATATTGGCCAGGCTGGTCTCGAACTCCTGACCTTGTGATCTACCCGCCTCGACCTCCCCAAGTGCTGGGATTACAGGCATGAGCCACTGCGCCCGGCCGACTCATCCGCTGTTCTGTCCTAGGACTTCTGCCAGAGCTTATTGGTGGTAGGAGAACTTGACTTTTTTGACTCTTGGACTGAGGCTTTTCATGGGCCCTACCCTAAAGCTGACCTTTTCAAAAACACATGCCAATACAGAACTTCCTGCTTTCTCAGATGGCTTTAGAATAATAAAATGAAAAGTCATCAGTCGCCAGGTCCCATCTATCTGAAACTTTCAGGCTCTGCTGGCACTGGAGAAGTAGAATGTTTTCAGTGGTTCTAAGAGTTATGCCTTATGTTTTTTTTATTATTATTACTGTGAAGATATTTGCTTTTTAACTAAATGACCTGGGACAGTTCTTTGGAGGGTTACAGAAGTATTAGGGATAACCAGAGTGGTAGGAATTCTGTTAAAGGGGTCATCAACATACTTCCATATTTTTAATCTCCCAGGAGCATGTTTTGTTGATAGCCCTCAACCAAGTTCAGGTTTGCAGAGAATATGTTTAAAGGGGAATAAATGCATAAGGGTGTGACAAGACTCAAAAGCCTCCTTCTAAAGAGACTGCGACTCTACTACAAACAGCACTAATCAGAAACATTTATGGTGAGGGAAAGAAAAAGTCAATATATATATTCTACCTAAATAGGTTTTCTAAAGTTGTTCACTTTGCTTTGCCACACAAAGCAATGCCATGTGTGCTTTTAGAGCAAAATGCTGGAAAGAGGATTCAAAAAGGAGGATGACTGGACAGAATATTAAAGAAGAGGCAGGCACCTGGCAGAGGAAGGCTGAAGATAGAGTAACCAAAACTCAGACCCCGGCTGGATTCGGGAGTCCTGCAAAGCAAGGCTGTCGTGGAGTATGAGGTGGCCAGGCCAGGAGATATTTAAAAAGACCAGAGATCGATAAGCCTAAACGCTGTGGATCTGCCCCTTCCCCCACTCTGTGGGCCGGGTTCAGCACAGGAAAGGGTCCCATTCTCACCCTTTGCTCCTGTGTTCCTCTTTTTTCCAGCTACCCAGGGGACGGCAGGCAGCAGGTGCCCCAATGGTTTCTTCTCTCTGAAGCATCCCTCTGCAGCACCCGCCGCCCCTCTCCTTTCTGGGCAGCCTCCTCTGCAGTCAAAGGCTTCAGGGAGGAGCCGCGGAAAAAAAGAAAAAAAAAAAAAAAAAAAAAGAAAGAAAGAAAGAAAAAAAACGCTGATGGACTTAAGATCTGAGGGTGACCTGAAACTCCGGGGAAAGACAGCTGGCACAAAGGAAACGAATTCATAAATACCTGAGAGTGTGTTTTATGCAGACTCACACACACTGAGTGTGGAACAATGAGGTTTGCAGGGAGCAGGTTAACAAAATAATCCATTCTGCCATGCTTCATCTACATATGGGTAATTGGGAGGAGACAACTCTATGGCTTATCTGGGTCCTTGTTCCACCCTCCGCCTCCAGAGAAGCCTATTCCACCCTTGAATTTCATGAGTGAAAAGACCAAGGATAGCTAGGCTATGAAAAGTCAACAGAGTAAGTACCCTACCAAACCTGCCAGGGACAAACAATATTCAGGACAGCCTCATGACCTTAGGCTTGAAATCTAGAATATTTGGGCATGGATGGTCCTCTGAGATCACTTAGTCTTGATAGATTTAAACTACTAATTTCAATATTTGTGAATTTGCATTATTTGCGACAACAGACATTGTTTAGAAACCCGAGGAAAGTTATCTGCTGCAGTCTATCATGAGGACGGTGGGCTATCACAATCACAGGTATTTTTTTTGGGGGGGGGGATGAGAAAGGGCCTCTGAGGATAAGCCTCACCCCATCCTTTCCTCGGGAGAGGAGTGAAATGTCTCCAGAAGCAACTGCACCACTGCAAATACTTCACCCTCCAAGTATCACAGGGGAAGCCATTCCGGCTTCTCTATTTGAAAACAGTTACCATATTCCCCCTCAGTTTGCCTCTTAAAAAAAACATAAGTTGCACATCAAATGCTGCGATATACAAATAAAACAAAAACTAAATGCTTGCTCAGATAAATCTTAGGTGTTTCGTGTAAATCTCTGCAATCCCTCCATGAAACCTGGGGGACTCCTAACATCATGCGTGTGAAAATGCCCTGCAAACCGTAGGGTTGTATCCACGTGCGCTACCGCGTGCGCCAGTTTCAAGCATCTGGGTGCTTCCTGAAGGAAATCCATGCATTCCTGACTGCATCTGTTTTCGGGTTATTACATTGTATCGGGGGAAGAGTCACGCGGCTATGGCTATTTTCTATCCGTTCCTGAAGAAGCCTGGGTGCCGAGTTCTCCTCCCCAGAGACCACACCCAGCGCTCAGGGCTGGCCGCAGCGGCTTCCCTGAAAATCAGCCAACTGCAAGGCTTATCGAAATCATCAGGTCGTGTGCTACACATGTGTAAAAAGAGGAAAGCGGACTTTAAATGTGCTGCGGTTGGTGGTAGCAAGCAGGAATTTAGCTTGGTGAGGATCCAGGCAGCTTGAAGCTCCCGGCTGCGGAGCGCGCGGCTGCCTCAGCAAGTCAGTCTCTGTGTTTCCAACTCTTTCTCTGCCCTCCACCACCCACACACTGCAACACGTTAAAGCCATCTGCGGCTTCATTCTCAGTTAAGAAATGTGAAAATCTAGAAACACTAACAGGCGGATTAACTGCTGTAAAGGTTTAAAAATGCTAAACCAATACCTGCAGTAGTGCCGCAGTTTCACGAGTGTGTGTGTGTGTGTGTGTGTGTGTGCGCGCGCGCGCGCGCACTCGCGCGCACATTCCCTATGTGTTAAGCAGCTCATTAAAGAAAAAGAAAAATAATCAGGAGAAAGGAAGATGAATTGCAGAAAGTGCCAGAAAGCTAGAAAGAAATTAAAACTCTTCTCCATACATACTGCATACACATAACCTAGCCTATTTATTTGTATCTAAAATTCCCTAGCCGCACCATCACCGTAAACACCAAGGGAAAAAATTAAGGAGGTTCCTGGTGGGAAAAGGGCGAGTTGGGGGGACAGGGTGTCTGCGAGGTGACGGGATACAGAAAACTAGGGTGTCAAAAGGGAGCAAGAACCTGTTTTGGGGGCAACTTAAGGATCCAAGTGTCACGGGGTCTGGGCAATGCAGGACGGGAGGGGCTGCGTGAGTGAGTACAGAAGGGAAATGAGTGAGGGGGCATGGGATCTCAGAGAAAATCAGGGCCCTCTGAGCAAAGTGGAAAGGACGACCGCCGCAGCTCCTCGGGCCGTAGCTCGACCCCGCCTTCCCTTTTGCGCAGAATCCTCGCCTTGGCTGCAGCAGCGCGCTGCCCCCACTGGCCGGCGTGCCGTGATCGATCGCAGGCTGCGTCAGGAGCCTCCCGGCGTATAAATAGGGGTGGCAGAACGGCGCCGAGCCGCACACAGCCATCCATCCTCCCCCTTCCCTCTCTCCCCTGTCCTCTCTCTCCGGGCTCCCACCGCCGCCGCGGGCCGGGGAGCCACCGGCCGCCACCATGAGTTCCTTCAGCTACGAGCCGTACTACTCGACCTCCTACAAGCGGCGCTACGTGGAGACGCCCCGGGTGCACATCTCCAGCGTGCGCAGCGGCTACAGCACCGCACGCTCAGCTTACTCCAGCTACTCGGCGCCGGTGTCTTCCTCGCTGTCCGTGCGCCGCAGCTACTCCTCCAGCTCTGGATCGTTGATGCCCAGTCTGGAGAACCTCGACCTGAGCCAGGTAGCCGCCATCAGCAACGACCTCAAGTCCATCCGCACGCAGGAGAAGGCGCAGCTCCAGGACCTCAATGACCGCTTCGCCAGCTTCATCGAGCGCGTGCACGAGCTGGAGCAGCAGAACAAGGTCCTGGAAGCCGAGCTGCTGGTGCTGCGCCAGAAGCACTCCGAGCCATCCCGCTTCCGGGCGCTGTACGAGCAGGAGATCCGCGACCTGCGCCTGGCGGCGGAAGATGCCACCAACGAGAAGCAGGCGCTCCAGGGCGAGCGCGAAGGGCTGGAGGAGACCCTGCGCAACCTGCAGGCGCGCTATGAAGAGGAGGTGCTGAGCCGCGAGGACGCCGAGGGCCGGCTGATGGAAGCGCGCAAAGGCGCCGACGAGGCGGCGCTCGCTCGCGCCGAGCTCGAGAAGCGCATCGACAGCTTGATGGACGAAATCTCTTTTCTGAAGAAAGTGCACGAAGAGGAGATCGCCGAACTGCAGGCGCAGATCCAGTACGCGCAGATCTCCGTGGAGATGGACGTGACCAAGCCCGACCTTTCCGCCGCGCTCAAGGACATCCGCGCGCAGTACGAGAAGCTGGCCGCCAAGAACATGCAGAACGCTGAGGAATGGTTCAAGAGCCGCTTCACCGTGCTGACCGAGAGCGCCGCCAAGAACACCGACGCCGTGCGCGCCGCCAAGGACGAGGTGTCCGAGAGCCGTCGTCTGCTCAAGGCCAAGACCCTGGAAATCGAAGCATGCCGGGGCATGAATGAAGCGCTGGAGAAGCAGCTGCAGGAGCTGGAGGACAAGCAGAACGCCGACATCAGCGCTATGCAGGTGCGGCACGGCCAGAAACACAGGGGGGCGGGGGACTCGAGCAAGGGGGGGAGTTGGTGCGCCCAGAAAGTGGAGACCAGGGGTGGTGCGGCTGCACGCAGCTCTTAGGGATAGGGCTTGGCTCCTTGGCCACTGTGTGGGAGGGGTGGGGCACTTGAAGGGCGTGAGTGCGGGCGCCACTGTAGTCTGGGAGTGTGCTCCGTGCTGCTGCACCGGCGTTCCGCATTAAAGCTGCCCAGCCCTTGTTGGGTGGGGGAGGGGAAGACGTGGGAATTGGGCGTTGCCTCCGGCCTGCAGTGAGATCAGCTCTCTACTGACCTGCATTAACCACAAGTTACTTTGCAGCAACTATCGGATCATCTAGTTAATAAATAGTAGAGTGAACAACTCTCAATTAATTCTGAAGGATTACTGTGACCAGCATGCTTTATGACTAGTTTTACCAACCACTCCCTTCCTTTATTTAGTAGGTAGACAGGAAAATAGTCAACATTGTTTTAGGTAGTTAACTAGTGATGTTCATAGTAAACCATTTCCTTTTACCTTTTTTTTTTCTTTTTTTCTTTATGTGTAAAATCTTCTACAACATTTCTGTTTAAACATCTCCATCTTCTGGGGAGTAGAAAAAATACAATTTTAAAAAGATCTCCATTTTAAAACATCTCCATCTTCTGGGGAGTAGAAATTTTTTTCTTCTTCTGGGGAGTAGAAAAAATAATTTAGATACATAGGAAATATTTCATAGAAAATAATTTTTTTCTTTTTTTTGTTTACATCTGGCTATTTTCTTCTCATAAAGAAAGGCATTAGTTTCCTGGCATGTAACCCAGCTAAAGAAGAGTTAATCAGTGAATGAGAGACACAGTTTTTCTATCAACTTAGTCTGTTTGCATGCATTTTATGATGATCATTAAACAGTATTAAGTAAAGAAACAGAAGAACAGAATTTTCGTCCATCTTTTTTTTCATCTCAGGCTTCATGAACTTGGGTATTTTAGGCATGAAGGTTTTTCAAAAGATACAGGAAGTTATTCTAGGAGAGATTTTATCAAAGGTGTGCACCTTGATTTTAATCGAAACTAGGCCTTTGCAACTACACTACAGTAAAATAATAGAAGGGATTTATGCTCGGATTTTTTTTTTGTTTTATTTTTGTCTTCAAACAGGACACGATCAACAAATTAGAAAATGAATTGAGGACCACAAAGAGTGAAATGGCACGATACCTAAAAGAATACCAAGACCTCCTCAACGTGAAGATGGCTTTGGATATTGAGATTGCAGCTTACAGGTGAAAATAGAGGGGCAAAGACAGCAGCCATTAAACCTTAGGAAGAAAATCAGATCCCATTTAAAGTTATGTTGGATCAGAAACCTTCAATAATAGTCCTTTTGAAATAATGAAGTGTTAGTTTTTGGCTTCTTCCAAGAAGAGGGTATTTAGATATATAAGAATTTAACCCTGTAATTAGGAGTCCTGTTTTTATCTTGTCATTACACTTTAAATCTAATAGGATGATTTATTTATATTTTTTCTGGTCTCCATCAAAAGATCCCCAGGCATTAAGTATTGATAAATCCCAGCCCTGCTCCTGCTTGCCTTTGTGTTTAGGGTACTCAGAGCAAGTTGTGAAACACAGGTGTTTTTTAACCTCACCTTGCATCTGCATCCCCAGGAAACTCTTGGAAGGCGAGGAGACCCGACTCAGTTTCACCAGCGTGGGAAGCATAACCAGTGGCTACTCCCAGAGCTCCCAGGTCTTTGGCCGATCTGCCTACGGCGGTTTACAGACCAGCTCCTATCTGATGTCCACCCGCTCCTTCCCGTCCTACTACACCAGCCATGTCCAAGAGGAGCAGATCGAAGTGGAGGAAACCATTGAGGCTGCCAAGGCTGAGGAAGCCAAGGATGAGCCCCCCTCTGAAGGAGAAGCCGAGGAGGAGGAGAAGGACAAGGAAGAGGCCGAGGAAGAGGAGGCAGCTGAAGAGGAAGAAGGTATGATAAGAAAAAACCCCTGCAACTTCAAGTGTAAACTGGGTGTGGAGATTTGTTAGGAGGTGGATAAGACAAATGAAGCCTTGCTCATTTATTCATATATGACATTAGAATCATAAATAAATTTTCTGTTTGTTTAGCAAAACTTTCCTAAGGCATCTACTCTGAATGAGGTGATTGGTCAAAATTTTCATTTTTTAATATAATCATTTAACACAGCAGGTTGGTGTCCTAAAGAACAAAAATAGATACCAGACACATAATGAAAGAAATATTGAGGTTAAGTCTTGGAGAGGAGCAGAGCTTCCCATACCTAGAAGTGATCTCATTCGATTTAAATATGTGTTCAGTGGCAAATTATTCATGGCAAGCTTTGTCTGTTACATGTGCTTTTGGAGAGAGTGGAGCTGGGAGGTTTTGGTAGCATTCTGACAGTTGTGTTTGCAAATAAAACCTTTGCAGACATGTTTTGACTGGACTTACCCTGGATTTGCATTTTGTACATTTTCTTTTTATGTTAAAGCTGCCAAGGAAGAGTCTGAAGAAGCAAAAGAAGAAGAAGAAGGAGGTGAAGGTGAAGAAGGAGAGGAAACCAAAGAAGCTGAAGAGGAGGAGAAGAAAGTTGAAGGTGCTGGGGAGGAACAAGCAGCTAAGAAGAAAGATTGAACCCCCATTTCCTTAATTATTTCAGGAATAATTCTCCCGAAATCAGGTCAACCCCATCACCAACCAACCAACCAGTTGAGTTCCAGATTCTATGTGAATTAAAAAGTCAATATATGTATAATTCTGAGATGACTTAGGTTGGACATTCAATGTTGTGCTATGAATTTCCTCTTTATGCAGAGTATCTGTTTGCTTGCAGAGTGGCTTTCTGGCTTGCTGCCAGCCTGTGCATGGACCACGCTTATGAGTTCAGGATCTACGGCAATGTGAATCATTCAGATGTTTACAATAAAAAACACCACATGAGTAAATGAATTCACTAATGTTAATGTTAAACTTCATGGAAAAATAGTCCTTTGAACCTTCGGTGGTTAGCAATTAAAGACCCTGAGTTATGTGCAATAAATAGTAAATAAAGTTATACCGAATGATGTATTTTTTGCTGTGGTTGTTACTTAATTAAAATACCTTAAAGATGGCACCAATATAAAGTATATACCAGTGGACTATTGACCTCCAATTTTTTAAAAAGTTGAAATTTTAACAATTACCAATACTTTTTTTTCTTCCTTCAATTGGAAATTCTGAGGGATACAGTTATGTCATGATTACTTGTGAAATCTCTCCCCACAAAAATTTTACTGATAATAAACATGAGTAAATGAGAAAGTCTATAAATAACAATAGACTTTGCCTCATAACACGTGTTGTGTTAGGTTTTGGGATGGCTTTCTAGGGAGCAATTCTGAAATTACTTGACAGATACACTCTTTATGGTAAACAGGTCATTTCAGAGTCTAGAGTGCTAACCATTACACTATGGAACCATGATAAATAGGTCATTTCAAACTGATATGTCACAATGCAATATGGATAGAATATGAATCCCATACATTCATCCCTATAACTGCATTTTAAAATATAGTCTAAATATCATGGGAGGAGGTTAAAACCTGAGAACATGGTACAATAAGAAGGAATAATTTTTTATCTATATATAATTTCAGGAGAAGGGATTAAAACTACCAAAGGTTATTTGCCACTCCACTGCAAACATGTTGCCTGCAATCCTGAGCTCATGATTTAGTGTGTTGTTAAGCGTAATTCTGTTGCCTCAAGTAAATACCACTTAATGCTACACATTTTTAAACCTTTAAAAGCTACAGACACAAGTAATGAAATTATGAGTCACTTAAGGGGGGAGGTAATATGCTTGTATGTTACATTGACATTGCTCTGCATGTCTCTACTGGGAGATATTTGGATTTCAATGATAGCTTGACTGGTTGGACATTGCATCAAATACACGCCCCATGTATCCTTTCTGTCGTAAAGTTAAGAACGCTCTTGCATTTGATGTGGAATAAATATAGATGATATTACTATCTGCTATTCTGCCTTTGTTCTGAAACAATTGCTTTGTCAGCTAATTTCATTCAATATTTGTTTTTTAGACGATCTCTATAAGTTATTAATTTAACCTGAAACCAAAGTGGTCTCCATTTAAAGTTACTTAATCCCTTTGTACCACCTATTTCTAGTTAAATATATGTTGCTATGCAAATAGGTAAAGTGCTTCCTTGCCATGATGGTAATGGATTGGAACTATGAAGGCTCTCAGTGTATTGGCTTCTGTAAAGATGAGGCGTCTCCTCAGAAACAAAACTTTTCACATTTCTGCTTACTAGACCTGGGTTGATGTACATGGTAAGTCTCAAACAGATGCAAGCTATGTGCAAAAAGTAACTTTAGCCAAATGGAAATAGCTGGATGCTTTGAGAATTACTTGGTTGAAGTAAGAAAACTGTACCATCCTCTATCCTGTGTGCCATAATAAAATAGTAAAAAACCTAAATTGAGCTTAAAGTCTTTTTTAACATTTCCCCAAATTTGGTACTGTGGTCAGTGCCCCTTTTAACCTGCAGTTCTCTTTCAGTATTCCCTCTCCTAATGAATGATCCCCTCTCTATAATCATCTGATTCCATTAAATGGACTCCTTAAATGACATCCTACCTCCCATTACCTCTCCTCTGCCCCTCTACACTAACCTATCACAGAGTTATAGTGAGAACACCTCCATGTCTTAGATCCTTCCACATCTTTCAATGTCTTAAATCCTTCCACATCTTTCAATTTATACTGCCACCACTCTAACCCTTCTCCCAGGGCCTACTCTTGGTCTCCTTCAATTAGCACCCTACAGCAGGCTAATCTTTTAAAAAGAAAATTTTGATCTTGGCATCTCCCTGAATAGAACCCTCTAATAGTTTCCCACTTTTAATATGAAAACCAAAATCTCAAATGTGATCTTCAAGGCCTGCCTAGTGCTGACTCCTGCCTAGTTCTCTAACCTCATCCCATTGTACAGCCCTTTCCCTCCACTTCCAGCACTCCAGTCACCCTGGTATTCTGTTCTCCCATCTGTCACAGGATTTTTGGTGATTCCTTTTTCTGGAGCACTCATCTTTTCTCTCCTTCCCTCAGCCTTGCCCAGCCGGTTCCTACTGACCCTTCAGATTTAGGCTTAAATGTCATTCTCTAAAGGAAGCCTCCCTTGACCTCTTCTAGTGGGTCAAATTCTTTGAAATATGTACATAAGACTTTGTAGGCTTTTTGATTCTTGCCATTAGCATCTATTTGTGTGATCAGTTGATGAATGTCTGCCTCCCCCATTACAGTGGGATCTTTACAAGTATTAGAATCAGATCTCTGTTGCTCATTAATTTAGCCCCAGTATCCAGCATAGTTCCTGCCATAGTAGAAGCACAGTGGATATTTATTTAATGAGTGACTTTCCCCATCGATTAAAATGCCTTCAAGATGACTGGCAAGTCAAGAGTGTTCAATAATAAGTCCCAGTCTAGTCCATACCTTCTTGTAGAAAGAGCAAAGAACCAAGAATCAAGAGTCCATCCTGGGTCCTAGCTTTGCACTATTATGGAACATTGGCCATTCCTGCCCAACCTCAATTTGCTTATCTACACAAGGGTTCAGTGGTGGACATTTCAGATCCATTCTAGATTCATAATTCAAAATCTCCTGAAATACCCTTACTGCTTTATTTTAGAAGTCCAGGCTAAATGGCTGAATGGAAAACACACATATGATACTCATGTCCTCACTAAAAATCCACCCCCTAAAGGGAATTGCTAAACTTAGTGTGAAGTTTCATTGCTAGCAATTTAACTGCTCAAATTGGTAAGCAATTAAATTCGTCACTTTTTTACCCATATGGAGATTCCAGTGCTGTTGGAGGGGGTTACTATGTCCCATGATGCTGTTCTAAGTACATTTTCTGCATTAACTCATTTCCTTACATGCAACAACATTCTGAGTCCACTATGATTATCATTCCCTATGTTATTATTATTTTAAAAGTTATTTGTATTTTTTAAAAATAGTGACAGGGCCTCACTACATTGCCCAGGTTGGTCTTGAACTCCTGGGTTCAGGTGATCTGCCTACCTTGGCCTCCTGAACTGCTGGGATTACGGGTGTGAGCCACTGCGAGCAGCCTATAATCCCCATTTTACAGATAAGAAACTAAGGTTAAGTGAGTCGACGAAGGTCATGTAGCTGGTTGGTGGCAGGGCTGAGACTCAGACTCACCCACCTCACTGCATCTCCTTTGTGGTCCAGCTTATAAGGTACACTTGTGGCATCAGAGTATGTTTCCACAGGCATGTTTTGTGACAGTGGTTGGGGAGTTCACACAATAGTCAGAATCCTTACAAGGCAGTCGTGTACCGTTCAAGAGCCACATATACACTCACAGTGTTCCACTGCAGTTAGGATCAAGGTTTTCTTTCACCCCTTTGATGACTTATGTCCATATCTTAGTTCCTCTGCTAATAGAAGCTTTCAGAAGGCAGGAGTCAAGTCTTATAAGCAGAGATGAGTTTGACATTTACCTTCAAGGATCACCAGCATTCAAGATGCTGGTTCTCATGATGTTATTCTTCTATCTGGATACTATTTTCTAGTTCTGTTGACATTTTAGTAGTCCTCAAGTTTTTCTTCTCCTTCTTTTCCTCCCTTCACTGTTTGCCCTTCTTTTTTTTTTTTTTTTTTTGTCTTCTTCTTCCTTTTCCTCTTCCTTCTTCTTGCAAGTCTTCTTACTGCAAGCAATTTCAAATCATTTTGGGAGGGGAGAGGAATAAAGATTGACTGAATAAATAAATAAATGTCCTTGTTTCCCTTCACAACACCCGACAAAGCATGTTGGGTTGAGTGGGCATATGTTTCTGGAATGGCAAAGCTTTAATACTTGTGAGAAGTTTCCATAAACATGAACAGCATAGAGAATTTCTTCTTTCTCTTTTGGGGACAGAGTGAGATGTCAGAACTTGTTCAGCCGTGATTCATTTGCAAGGGGCTCCCGGTGGAGAATTCAGAATATTTATTTCTTAGGAAAATGTCCAGCAGAGTGAAGTGCAGTGAGTTATACAAGCTAGGCAGTGAGGACCATTTCTAGTTTAAGGTCTTCTAGAAAATTCCCAGTGAAGAGTCTTAAATAAGAACTAGAGTGTCAAAAGATAAGGCAACGTGAGAAGAAAAAAAAAACCCTTAGCAGCCCCAGAAAGTAACTATAGTTTTTTAAACCAATCTTTTAATTCTACTTCAACATAGGTAATTATTTGCGTATGAGGATTTAAAAAATAATATAACAATGGTATTAAAAACAAATTTGAAAAGAAAACACATTTCCTCCATTTAAACCCAGTTATTTTCATTTATATGTTCTGTTTTAGTTCTTGCTCCTATTTATGTATATTTTGACGCTGATCATCCATTCATTCCACAAAATTAATCATTCGCTAAATGCCAGATGCTGTTCAAGGTACAAGGAATAAAGCAGAAAATATTCCTGCTTTTGGGGACTTAATAATGGTGTGTATTTGCGTGTGCATGTGTGTGTGTGTGTAAACAGACCGTGAACAAGTAAACAGGTAACAAGTAGATAATCTTTGATCAGAGCCAGGCATGTAAGGGTATAGGGTATGAGTGCTCCAGGTGGCAGGAACTGTAAGTACAGCAACCTTGGCTTCTTTGAACCCAGAAACTTGCATTAAACTCATTGCTCAGTCGTATGAATGAAACACAAATGAGATTATTAATGAGAGTAGAAGATAGGGCTGAGAAAGGCAGGCAAAGGCCTGGTTATGCATGGGCTTGTAGGCCAAAGAATTTAGATTTTATTCCTTGTGCAATTAGAAACTTTTGAAGAGGTTACTCAGGGGAGGGGTGATATTATCTTTTACGCTTTATAAAGACCACTCTGACTCTTGTGTGGAGAATAGACTCTAGAAAAACAAGAATCAAAGTAAGAGACTAAGAGACTTTTAGTCCAGATAAGAATAGGCAGTGGCATTAGACATGGCACTACATGGTATGATTCAAGAAATTCTTAAGGTATTTCTCACTGACAGAATAAATGAATGAAGAAGGAAAGTTGTAAACAGTATCTTTTGATAACATAATATTTCAACATGTTAATATGTAGTATGTATTAGTTATTTGTTGCTGCATAACAAATCATTCCAAAGCTAAGTGGCTTTGAACACCTCAATTACTCATTCTTTCTTAGTTTCTGCAGGTCAGTAATTTTGGAGTGGCCCCGTTGGGATTTTCTGGCTCTTGGCTGCTGATGGACTTGCAGTCAGAAGATGACTGACTGAGGGTACTATTAACTGAAGGCCTTGATTAGGGATGTAGGATGCCTTTCACAGAGACTTATCAACTTGGCTGTCAATTTCTTCTCCATGTGGGCCTCTCCAAGGAGCTGCTTGAGTATCCTTACAATATGGTAGCTGGACCTCCCCAGAGCAAGGCTTCCAAGAAACCAAGGCAGAAGTTGCAATGTCTCCTATGACCAAGGCTTGAAAGTCACACACCATCACTAACACTGTGTACTGTTGGTCACAGAGACTAGTCTGCCTGATTCAGTGTGGGAGAGATCTACACAAGGGCATATATCAAGGGCAAATAGCAAGAAGGGGAGATCATTAGAGGCTACCACAGATAGCTAGGCATGTGGATATTTCTTTTATGAAAAACAGGCATGCATTTCACAGATTCTGAAATAATTCCAGTTTTAAATATTCTTCTGCTCTAATTTCACCAGTATACTCATTCTTATCTGTTATGTGTGTCCCAATTTAAGTTTAAAAACATGTTCATAAAAATTCTAGATAGCATGGCAATAAATATTCAATGTATGTCTTCATGTTTACCCTTCTAGTGAAGTGTTTCTTTAATAATTCCCTCAGTGGGTTTGTGTATTCACGAGATATCATGTACATTCTAATAGCACCTGATGTGTAATCCCATATTTCTATTCTATAAAAGGTGATAGCTATATTTTAAGAGCTTTACTTCCTGCATTCATTCATTTTAAATGAAATGTATATTACTCTAGCTAATTGGAATAAGTATGGTGGCAGCTAATATGTGACAAGGTAAATTGTGACAGAAAAATAAAACTGTTTATTGTTTTGTTGGGAGATCAAATGCATCCCAGTTGACATCTTAAATTTATTTTTAGGGCCTGGCATGATGGCTCATGCCTGTAACTCCAGCACTTTGGGAGACTGAGGTAAGAAGGTTGCTTGAAGCCAAAAATTTGAGACCAGCCTGGGCAACATAGTGAGACCCTGTCTACAAAAAATATTTTTTTTAAAAAAACAATTAGTTGGGCATGGTGGCACATGTCTGTAGTCTTAGCTACTCAGGAAGCTTAAACAACTAATTTTTAAAAATACTTTACTTTTGCACATGATTTCAAATGGGAGATTTTTAATAAACAATAATTTATGTTAATTACAAGTAGTCTTAATATAAAATGATAAAACAAAAAACATGAGATTCTGCAGATGAGGTTCAGGCTTCTTATAGCTATTAAAGACACTTTCATTTGTGTAATGGTGGTCACTAATCCTTTTACTCTTAGGTAAATGTCTTTTCAATTTATAACCATCCCACATCCTTATATGTTCATGTGGAATATAGGCTGTTTCCTGACATGATCATTAGAAAAAAGACAAATAGCAACTAGCGGGATGCTTTGATGTAGCAAAATTAATGCTCCCTTTTGCTGTGTATCTACCCCACCAGCAAAGACAGAAACCCTATATTTAAAACTCTATCTATGTTTTACCTAATCAGCTCTAGCTGTGAGGCAGGAATGATCTGCTTGTTCTGATTTGTTAGTTTGTTTTGAATCATTTATTCACTGGAAAACTCAATCTTTTTAACACACACACACACACACAGAGACAGAGAGAGGCTAGCTTTCTTTCTTTCTCCTCCTCCCCATCCTAGATGCACACAAAGGAGAATATGTGTGAGCGAGAATCTCACCTGGAAGCCGCAAATCATTCAGAGTTTAAGGCAGAAAAATTGGTGTCAGACATGTGAAACTAAGGATTTTTTTTTTTTTTTTTTTTTTTTTTGAGACAGGGTCTGGCTCTGTCACCCAGGCTGGAGTGCAGTGGCGTGATCGTGGTTCACTGCAGCCTCAACCTCCTGACATCAAGCAATCCTTTGACCTCAGCCCACACCACCATGCCTGGCTAATTTTTGTATTTTTGTAGGGACAGGGGCCTCCGTATATTACCCAAGCTGGTCTGGAACGCCTGGGCTCATGTGATCCTCCTCCCTTGGCCTCCTATAGTGCTGGGATTATAGGTGTGAGCCACCTCTACTGCCCCAAGGGTGAAAGTAAAATGCAGCACCTTCCCCAATGGGTTTGTCAATTGGCCCCTATGGTCAGCAGGATCCCAGTGTGAACCCAGGACTCTGGTTATGGGACACTTAACCAGAGAGTGGCTTCCCCTTGAGTGTGTCTGTGGAAGTGACTTCTGAGTGTGAACCAAATCCCCAAAGGGCCACTGTGACTTAATAGGAGCACCTGGGACACAGCTTGTTCTCGATTTCCCCTCTGAACACTGACACCTGCCCTCAGGTCCTCCTACTCCCACCTGAGCAGTGAAAACTGGAAAAGACAAGTGTGACTTCTGAGAAGTCAGCTGAAGCCTGCAGATAGGAGTGAGTGGAAGTTGTTTTCAGCATTTACAGCACGGGTGCAATTTTCCTGGGGTGGCACACAGCCCTGAAACAAGCGGTCCCTCCTCAGCCAAAGCAAGCAACCTGATGTGTTGGGGTGTGTGCACCGGTGAGTGTGTGTTGTTTAGACACCATGCCCTTAGCTTGTTTTTGTATAAGAGGGGCCAGACAGTCATCTTATTGTTCAGGGAGTAGAAGCCCAGGTGC
Organism: Homo sapiens; assembly: GCF_000001405.40. Lineage (NCBI taxonomy): Eukaryota > Metazoa > Chordata > Mammalia > Primates > Hominidae > Homo > Homo sapiens. The sequence goes on along the minus strand of NC_000008.11, from coordinate 24,944,537 downwards.
TTTTAGAGCCCAGCGGCTCTCTCCAGCCGGCTTAGGAAACAACACTGTGCTCAAGTTTATGCATAATTTAAGCAAAATGAGTAGAAAAATACTTCCTTTCAGGCCGGGCGCGGCGGCTCAAGCCTGTAATCCCAGAACTTTGGGAGTCTGATGGGGCGGATCACCTGAGGTCAGGAGTTGGAGACCAGTCTGGCCAACATAGCGAAACCCCGTCTCTACTAAAAATACAAAAAAAAGCCAGGCATGGTGGCGGTACTCGGGAGGCTGAGGCAGGAGAATCGCTTGAACCTGGGAGGCGGAGCTTGCAGTGAGCCGAGATCGCACCATTGCACTCCACCCTGGGTGACAGAGTGAGACTCCATCTCAACAACAACACCCAAAAAACTTTCTTTCACCCAGTGGCAGCAGGTTTCCCGAGGTGATGAAAGCCTGTCTGTGGCTTTCCTGCCTTCCCAGGGCAGACCTGTAAGGGCAGGCTACCCTCCTCTGCCTACTGCTCCCCACCTCCCCCAAATCGGTGTGGAGAACTAGGAAGGGTCGTAGGACCTCAGCCCCTATTTCTTTCTTTTTCCTTTCCTTTTTTCTTTTCTTTTCTTCTTTTCCTTTCCTTTCCTTTTTTCCTTTTCTTTTCTTCTCTTTTTTCTTTTCGAGACGGAGTCTTGCTTTGTTGCCCAGGCTGGAGTCCAATGGCTCCATCTCAGCTCCCCGCAACCTCTGCCTCCCGGGTTCAAGCGATTCTCCTGCCTCAGCCTCCCAAGTAGCTGGGATTACAGGCGCCCGCCACCTTAGTAGAGCCGGGGTTTCACCATGTTGGTCAGGCTGGTTTCGAACTCCTGACCTCAGGTAATCCACTCGCCTCGGCCTCCCAAAGTGCTGGGATTACAGGCGTAAGCCACTGCGTCCGGCCCAGCCCCTATTTCTATCTTCCCTGAGCCTCGTGACTACCAGCTCTGGGGGTCTCTCTGGAGGGGCTGGGTTGTGCTCCTGGACAGGGCGGAGCGCATCCGAGCGTATTTAGGTTTACACTGAACATACGGATCATTCGAATATATATTTTTTAAAGTAACCTAAACACGCCTCCCTAAACCCGTGAGAATCTAATGAGCTGAGATAAAAGGCTTTGAAAAATCAAAATGGCCAGATACCACTTTTTCTGGTTTCACTGTCGCGATCACCGCTGTTGCCCGGAGCCGCCCCCTTGGGTTCCTGCACCTGCAGCTCTGCCCGGGCGCCACCCACGCTCGCATCGCCGCTGGTCACACCTGCTCTCTTTGTTTCTTTCCGCCGGCAGACTGGATGCACATGTGGTCGGGGGAGGAGGAGCTCTGGGCTGGGGAGGGACGACCAGGGCTGAGACAGGAGCTTAAGAAGCTTCTCCGCCGGGTGCGGTGCCTCACGCCTGTAATCCCAGCACTTTGGGAGGCCGAGGCGGGCGGATCATGAGGTCAGGAGATCGAGACCATCCTGGCTAACACAGTGAAACCCCGTCTCTACTAAAAATACAAAAAATTAGCCGGGCATGGTGGCGGGCGCCTGTAGTCCCAGCTACTAGGGAGGCTGAGGCGGGAGAATGGCGTGAACCTGGGAGGCGGAGCTTGCAGTGAGCCGAGATTGCGTTACTGCACTCCAGCCTGGGCGACAGAGCGAGACTCTGTCTTTAAAAAAAAAAAAAAAAAAAAAAAAGCCGCTCCAGTCTCCTTAGTGGGTGGGCACGACCCCAGGATGCCCCCCGGGGGCAAAACCTGTGCGGGGTGCAGCCTCCACAGCCCCTGCAGTAAGAGATCCCGCCCCTCCCCCTAAGGTGCAAAATGCTGCAGCTTCCAATTCCTTAACTATTGAGACCCCCATCCCGCAAACGAACAAGTTCCAAGACTTTTGAAATACTTTAGAGCTGGTAGAGCCACGCGGCTTTGCAGAAAGCTCCGCCATTGGAGATGGACAGGGGCGGGGGAGGGAGGAGGCGCCGGGAATCAGGGTTTTGCTGGATCTTTCTCCAGGTGGCCGCGCCCGGAGGAGGAGGCGGCAGCGAGATCTGCGGCCAGAAACCCAGTGGCCAGAGGACTGAGTGGGCAGCGCGGGGGTCGGGAGGTGGGCATCGTGGTGTGGGGGTGTCCTCTTAGGGAACTTCTGCCGCCTGCCCTACTCGGGGAGCCTAGAGGTGTCTCCTCCAGAGCCGGCCCGTTCTGGGACCCCAGACTCCAACATGGGGCTGGGAAGGGGGCATCCGCAGTCATTCTGGACGGTGCCCCTCCTCATCGAGGCCTGGCCCCGAGAGCCACGCCCCAGCCGCTCTGGAGTCTGAGTTTAACGTGAAGAAGCTGGACTCCGAGGGTGCGGCGAGGCTGCGGTGGGGATGGGGAAGACAGGGGAAGGAGAAGGGGAGGGAGGTGGGCAGAAAGGAGGGAGGAGGAGGAGGGAGGAGGGGTAAGGAGGAAGAAGGAGGGGGTAGGAGGTTGGGGAGGAAGGAGGAGGGGCTAGGAGGCTGGGGAGGAAGGAAGAGGGGGAGGGCGGCCCAGCACCAGGCCACCGGGAGGCGGGGCGGGGCCTCCTACGGATTCCTGGGTGGAGTGTGGACAAGCGGCCTTTGCATCCTTCGCCGCTGGTTGGAAATGCAGTTTTGGACCCCCTCCTCCCCCGCCAGGGCTCCCACCCAACCGGAATCTGCATTTTAACCGGACACCCAGGCGATTCCTGTGCACATTAAGTGTGAGACGACCTGGTAAACATAACGCTTATCTGCAGCTCACTCTTACACTGGGGAGTGGAGAAGGGAGGCAGAGGAGGCAGCAGGTTGCTTTTTGTAACAGAAGAGAGGCGAGAAGAGGAGCAGCTTCTCCCTTTCCCTTATAAGCTAAGGGCAGGGCTGGCGCGGTGGTTAACACGTGTAATCCCAGAGCGTTGGGAGGCGAAGGAGGGAAGGTCGCTTAAGCCCAGGAGCTCCAGAGCACCCTGAGCAACATAGCAGACCCGGTCTCTACAAAAAAAATAAAAATTAGCCGGGTGTAGTGGCGCCTGTAGTCCCTGCTACTTGGGAGGCCGAGGCAGAAGGATTCATAGAACCCAGGAGGTTGAGGCTGCAGAGAGTTATAACAGAGCCATTGTACTCTAGCCTGGATAACAGAGCAAGATCCTATATTATTAATAATAATAAGTAATAAGTAATAAGCAAGGGGAAGGCCTGGCCAAGGGAAAAGCTCATTCCTGTCCGTCTTCTAAACATCCCCTCACTATCCTGGGTAGAGTTTGATAAAGGAACTTTTGTAGACCCTTGAGGGTCAGCACTTGGCTTCCATTTGGAGGCCTGCTGAGGTCAGGCCATTGGGCACAAGATGTTCCAGGACCCTCAGCCGCTTGACCTGCTGAGGCTGTCCAAGCCCCGTGTGGGAGAAGTGTAAACTCATGGGGGCGAGGGGTGGGGTAGGACAGAACCCAAGTGAAAATGTACATTCACGGGCAGGGCAATGTTTTCCTCACCCGCCGGGTGCAAATCCTATCTGGCTTCATGTTGCCGTCTGTAAAGCTCCTTGCCAGTTACTTTCGTAAGACAGGCCTCACTCATCTCCTCAAGCAACTTTCACCTGTATAATATTAGCTCTGCCTTCCCCCCAGGTTGGGGTGGCGATGGTTGGAAAACAAGCACCAGATATTTCTCTGGACCCTGTATCTATCCCAGGGAGAGCGTTAGCCTGGCCCCAGGACCAAGCAGACCTGGTGCTTTGAAGGCACAAGCCTAGGAAGGAGAAGACAAGATGCGAAGGAGAGCTCAGGGCCTGAGAGCTCACGAGGTGGTCAGTTTTTGTCAGCTTTAACATGAACGCTTTCTCTGGAGCTGAATGCCAGGTTTGGAGGCTTACTGTAGGCTATATCTGCCAGTAATGCCAGTAAACGTATAACATCCTTGCTGTAGACTTAAAAATTACAACGTCCATAAATTTGCAAAGTAGAGTTTTATTTCTTAAAAAAAGTTGCAACTTGCAGGCTGGGAAGTGGAGCCTCCTGTGCAGACTAAAAGCAGGCACTCTGCCAGAGCAAGGGTGGGACAGGAGTGTTATGCTAAATGGGTTGAATGTAATATAATATTCATCAGGTTACAGGAGGAGCTATGAATATTCATGAATAGAGGATCGCGAACATATGTTGTAAGCAAACATGCATGTTATGCATGTCCCATGTTCACTGTGAAGTGGAGACATTTAAATGCATTAAAATTAGGCTCTATAAGTGAAAAGGTAAAGCAAAGGACACAGAGTGTCTTGTGCACAGCATCTGTAAACCAGTCCATGGAAAGGAGAATTTTATCTGAAAGGAATGCATGGTGAAACCAGTTACCTGCTGTGTCAAAACCACAAGAAGGGAGGGGAGTTGGGCTGTGGTATCTATCTGGCAATTGGCTGACATCAAGGATGGAGCAAAGCTTCCATTCTTTGTTTCTCCAGGACCAGTTTCTGTTTAATTGTTAAGAAATAATCTGGTAAAGATTAATAAGAAAGACGGCATAATGAGGCATGACCAACCTCCCGTCTCTTCATGGCTGGGAAACTTAAAGGTTTTCTGGGATCTCCTTGGCCAAGAGGGTTCCTTTTAATCTGCTGAAGGTGGGGGGAGTTGGATTTTATTTTTATTTTACAATTCATTCATTCATTCATTCATTCATTCATGACATACTTTCTGAGTACCTATTATGGGCCAGATACCATCTTTAGGCCCTTGGGATGCAGCATTTACAATACTAATTTTCTGTTTTCACAGTGGCAGATGATTTTTTAAAAAATATATGCTGGCAACATAATGATACCCCATCTCTAAAAAAATTCAAAAAATGGGCCAGGTGTAATATTGCATGCCTGTGTGATCCCAGCTACTCAAGAGGCTGAGTTGGGAGGATCACTGGAGCTGGGGAGGTCGAGGCTGCAGTGAGCTATGATTGCACCACTGCACTCCAGTCTAGGTAACAGAGTGAGACCCTGTCTCAAGTACACACACACACACACAAACACACACACACACACACACGCATATGCTATGTTAGGTGATATGGGCTATGGGTTATAATGAAAAATGAAGTTTGGTAAATGGGATTGAGTTGGCAGGAAGGTTCAATTATGCCTTGGTTGGTCAGGGAAGCTTTCTGTGTTGACATTTGGACAGAGACCTGGAACAAGGGAGGAGGAAAGCTGTGCAGACAATGGGTTAAGTCCAGCCCGGGGACTCTGAAGTGGGAGCATGCTTAATGTGCCGGAATAAGAATGAAGAGACTGGTGTGGCCAGAACAAAATAGACATGGTGAGAAGTGAGGGGAGATGAGGTCAGGGAGGAAATGAGTAGATCAGATGGGGCCTTACAGGCTTGGCGAAGGCTTTGGATTTTACTATATGGGAGATTGAACACCATGGGAAGCCCTGGGAGGGTTTCTAGCCATGCTGTGGCAAGAAGTGACTTATATTTTTAAAAGATCACTCTGGCTGCTGTGTTGAGGATAAGTTGCGGAGGCTGGAAGGCCAATTACAAGGCTACTGACTTAAATGGAAGTGAGAAATAATGGTGATTTATTATTGGGTGATTGTGGTGGGTAAGGCGGGTTATTGTAGGACTCTGCATGTATTTGAAGGCAAAGCCACTGGAATTTCCTGGAAGATTGGAAATGGGAGAATGAGCAGAGTCAAGGATGACTACAAAGTTTTTGATCTGAGAGAATGAGAGAATGATGTTTCCATGTAACACAATGGGAAAACAGAGGATGTAACAGGTTGTGGGAGTTGCAGAGTTGGGGGGCGGCGGACATCAAAGGTCAGATTTTGTCTATGTTACATTTGAGGCAGATGTGTGGCAGGAGATATAAATCTCAATAGTGTTTTAAAGTTCTCTCCCTCAACACTCTAAGCCCTTATAAGAAAGTTCTCCATGAATGCATAGTGCCATAGAATTAGAGAATTCAAAAATTATAGAAGCTACTTAAGAAATATTTTTTTGTTTTACATATGAGGACATTGAGAATCAGGGCAGGGGGGACGGTAAAGTGGTTTACCAAATATGATGTAATTGGTAATAACAGAGTTGGGATTAGATTCCAAAACTCAGTGCGTTTCCCCTGCACTAGGCAGCACTGCCTCCCAAGAAATGATATTATTATTCCTGCTCTTTCTTTGGTGGCCAAGATCAAGTAGACTGTGTAGTGAAAGATAGTCTTGTTCAGTTACAATGACATTGGTATAACAATGGGTGGTCTGTACCATTTAACATGGAACTTTCCCTCCCTCCCTTCTGCCCTCCTTCCCTATCTCTCTCTCTCTTTCCCTTCCCTCTATCTCTTTCTCTCTCTTTTCCTTTCCCTCCCTCCCTCCATTTCTTTCTTTCTTTCTTTTTCTTTCTTTCTTTCTTTCTTTCTTTCTTTCTTTCTTTCTTTCTTTCTTTCCTTCTCTTTCTTTCTTTTTGTCCTTCCTTCCTTCCTTTGTCCCTTCCTCCTTCCTTTCCTCTCTCTCTCTCTTTCTTTCCTTCTTTCTTTTTCTTCCTTTCTTTCTATCCTATCTTTCTGTGTTTCTTTATTTCTTTCTTGAATTTTAGGCTTTATTACTGATAATTTGGTAGCCACTCCATGAAATAGTTCCATCAAGGGTCACTTATTGACTTGGAAGTAAATGTACAAATCAGAAAAATTCTGAGTATTGTTGTATTAGTCCATTCTCATGCTGCTAATAAAGACATACCGGACACAGGGTAATTTATAAAGGAAATAGGTTTAATTGACTCAGTTCCTCAGGGCTGGGGAGGCCTCAATAAACTTGCAATCGTGGTGCAAGGGGAAGCAAACATGTTCTTCTTCACATGGTGGCAGCAAGGGGAAGTGCTGAGAAAAAGGGGGAAAAGCCCGTTTTAAAACCATCAGATCTCGTGAGAACTCACTCACTATCATGAGAACAGCAGCATGGGGATAACTGCCCCCATGATTCAATTACTTCTCAGTGGGTCCCACCCATGACATGTGGGGATTATGGGAACTACAGTTCAAGATGAGATTTGGGTGGGAACACAGCCAAACTGTATCAGCTGTGAGCCTCGTCTTTTTTTTTTTTTTTTTTTTTGCTCTTCAGATCAACAATGAATTGTTCATGTAAAAGAAGTGCTCAGGCTGGGTACAGTGGCTCACACCTGTAATCCCAGCACTTTGTGGGGGCTGAAGCAGGTTGACCACTTGAGGTCAGGAATTTGAGACCAGCCTAACCAACATAGTGAAATCCTGTCTCTACTGAAAATGCAAAATTAGCCAGGCATGGTGGTGCACGCCTGTAATCCCAGGTACTTGGGAGGCTGAGGCAGGAGGGTCGCTTAGCCTGGGAGGCAGAGGTTGCAGTGAGCCGAGATTGCACCATTGCACTCCAGCCTGGGCAACAAGAGTGAAACTCCATCTCAACAACAACAACAACAAAATACTCAGTTCAAGAAATCACTTGAAATTTTCTTCTTTTTAATGGATGCTTGCTTTGGAAATAGTCAAGCTGCGTTTAACTATTTGATTTTCAATTCAATCAACTGGTTAAATACATTGGACTTCACACATTGGGATTCATTTTGTGCTGTTTCCTGTAGAAGAATCCTGACATTCTAGGATGGAGAGTGAGGAGGATGAGTTGAGTCCATGCACTGGGTGATCTTGGAAAGGATGGAGCTGTCACTCCAGTGACACCAAGCTTGGAGCTCTGCCTGTTGTAAGAATTCCCTTCTCTCAAGACACACATGTGGGGCATGTCATTGAACAAGGCTAAAGCATCATGAAATACAGCCAACCATTTCTTCCTTGAGCAATCAAATTGCTAGTCATAATTCCTAAGGAATAAAAGCAGATTTTTCGGACTAGGAATAATCTGATTGTGAAGCATCAAAATAAGATAATTACTTTGAAAGACTCGAAAATCACATGGGCCAGCAGCCCAATACATCATCTCCAAGGTCACATTACACTGTTAAAGCAAACACATTCATTTTACACCTATGCAGTCAAGCTTGTTTTCTCCTCTGTCCCAACCTACTATCCATATGGGTCCCAATTCCCCATCTGTCAATTCCTTTTGTTCTTCACAGTTGAGATTTTAATTTCAGGGATAATAAAAATTATCACCATCATCAGGTTTGGGTTTGATGGTGTGTTTTGCTTTTAGAAGCACTGTCATCCTTTCCCACAATGCAGAGAATTGGGAGGACATGTATTCCACACATTTTACAGGTGGAATAAGAAGCACAGGGCCGATGGCAACTGGTCTCTCTTGAGATACCGTCTCCACTTTAATGTCTCATGGGCAGTCAACTTCTCATGGCAAAGCCACTGTCTGGGTTTCCCTTCCTCTTCCTTAACCCTGTCCACTTCTAAAGATGTCTCACTCATTTTCACATCAGTAGATGGAAACTCCATCCTTTTTCTTCTCCAGCACACACATTCTGGTTCACCTTTGTTTGGTTTCTCTTTTCTCTTACTCTCTACACATCACCAGTAAATCTCATGGCCCTCACTTTCAAAATGTGCTCAAAACGCTGCCTAGTAGTTCTCTTAATCGCCAATTGGTCCTAGACACCAAAATCTCTTACCTAGATTATTGCCATAGCTTCATAACTAACCCTATCATCCTCAACTCTTCCTGTCCCCCAGTAGACACTCAACAGAGTAACTAGAGTGCTTCTTCCCAAATTTATCAGTGTCACTTTTTTGCTAAGAACCCTCCAAAGCCTTGTATGTACTGTGGCCTACAAGGTTCTCCATGACTGAGCCCCTCTTATCACTGGCCTGGCTTCCCTCTTGTTCATTTCCTTCCTACGAACCTGGCCTAGATGTTATTCTATAACTTGCCAATAGAATTTTTGCCTTAGGGCTTTTGTACTTACTCTTTCTGACTGGAATAGATTCTCTCATATATATCCATGTATCTTTCATAGACATCTGCATATATATGGTTCATAAATAATCTATATGTTTATTAGAGCTTAACTCTCCTTTATGAAAGACCAACCCTTTTCTCCCCGTTCAACCCTTCCTAATCTTTTTATCTTTTTTTATCCAAAACAATTATCACCCTCTGAATCCTTTATATTTTTCTTTTGCTTTTTTCCTACGTTCTTGTACAGGAATATAAATTCCGCAAAGGCAGGGACTTAATTTGTTCACTGCTATATTGTCAGAGCCTTGAGCTATGCCTCTCTCATGCAATTTTTGTGCTTATTAATACTTGTTAAATGAATAAATTGATGAATTCAGAGCCATCCAAAGACAGAATGGACCTCCCTGGATGATAGTAGACACTGGGGGGTTTCCAGTATTGGTACTATGTTATAAAATGAACCTAATGATCTGAAGGGTTGGACTAAGCTCGATGTCCTTTAAGGACAGCAGCATAGTTGGGGGTTGAGATCATGTGTCAGAGATAAGTGATTTGAGTTTTTTCTTTGATACTCCTGTGACATTGGATAATTTATTTAACTCTCCTAATCTCAGTTTCTTTGTTGGAAGGGATTTTATGCTTTCTATTTCATAGTGTGGTTATGATGATAAAATTAAACAACATGATACAAACCAGAGAACACATGTAAGATGTTTAGCCTGGTTCCTGAGACTTACTTAATAAATAATGTGGCAAACATTAACTATTTACTTATTCCTATTTCACTCCTATAGCTGGTATGTCTCCTGCATACTCTGGATGCTCAATAAACTGTTGATTATGCATTGGTAGTGTGGTTTTCAAGAAAGGGCCAAGCACAATCATGTCTCTTCCAGCCTCTGGATTCTGAGGATCTGGGAAAGGATGGGCCCAAGGCTACCCAGGATGTGAATGGACTTTTTGGCTCTTTGTTGGGTTATGTTTTTCCTGCCAAATAAATTGTTAGTTCTTTTCCTTTAGGCTTCCTTCTTTAATTCTGGTAAGATTCCTGACTCTCCTGATCCTCACTTGGTCTCTAAATTTGCTCTTTATCTTGAATTTTTTTCTCAAACCTATCTGTATTAGGCCATTCTTGTTGTGCTATAAAGAAATACTTGAAACTGGTCAACTTATAAGAAAATAAGTTTATTTGGCTCATGGTTCTGCAGGCTGTAGAGGAAGCATAGTGTCAGCACTGCTTCTGGTGAGGCCTAAGGAAGCTTTCAATCATGGTGGAAGATGAAGGGGGAGCAGGTGTTTCACATGGCTGTAGTGGGAGCAAAAGACAGAAGGTGGTGTGGGGGGAGATGCCACATGTTTTAACAACTGTATCTCATGAGAACTCACTCGCTATCATGAGAACAGCACCAAGCCATGAGAGATCCTGCCCCCATGACTCAAACACCTCCCACCAGGCCTCACCTCTGACATTGGGAATTGCATTTCAACATGAGATTTGGGGGGATGAATATCCCAACTATATCATTATCTTGCTTACATCTTGACCTTTGCCTCTGATATTTATTTTGTCTAATGCAAATTTGTGAACCCCTAAAAAATTCCACCACAGATTGCTCATGCTGACTCAGATTTAATTGGGATGAGTCAAATACCAGCTCCCTCATTCCTATAGCTGGTATTTCTCCTGCAGAAACTGGATGCTCAATAAATATCTGTTAATTATGCACTGGTAGCATGGTCTTCAAATGAGTTACTAAATGAAATTATCAGAAATGATCACAGCCATATCAAATTTGGGCATATGGAAATATCAGAAAGACATATGCTGAAATATAACAGTTATCTAAGGTGGCAGGAATATGGGCAAACACAAAGCTATTATTCTACAGCAAATATTTGTTACACTTAGAAATTAAAAAGTAAAATATATTTTCTTAAAAAAAATGCCCCAGTAATGCATATGGTAGGTCCTACTGGTGACTTTCTTCTGATAGAAGTTAATCACTTCTCTCAGCTTCTGCGTCTGCAGATTGAAAACAGAGAGCACAATATCTGTCTGACATACTCTAAGATTTGAACAGGATGATGTATGTATCAGTCTGTTTTCATGCGGCTGATAAAGACATACCTGAGACTAGGCAATTTACAAAAGAAAGAGGTTTAATGGACTTACAGTTCCACATGGCTGGGGAGGCCTCACAATCATGGCAGAAAGCAAGGAGGAGCAAGTCACATCTTACATGGATGGCAGCAGGCAAAGAGAGAGCTTGTGCAGGGAAACTCCCATTTTTAAAACCATCAGATCTTGTGAGATTCATTCACTATCATGAGAACAGTGCAGGAAAGATCCACCCCCATATTTCAATTGCCTCCCACTGGGATCCCCCCACAACATGTGGGAATTGTGGCAGTTACAATTCAAGATGAGATTTGGGTGGGTACACAGCCAAACCATATCAATGTATCTGAAGCTACTTTCTAAACTGGAGAAAAATATATGAGTTTTAGGTGTTTTAGTTATTGGCATTGCTGTGGAGATGGATGTTATATTGCCATACGGATATACAACTGCCATACTTTCTGATCTTCTGTCTTTTTTTTGGACACAGTCAGCTCTCATTGGGCAAACATGTTTGATGTGCTCATGTTCAACTCTTCAGGAGAGAGGCCTGGAATAAAAAGCTATTACTAATTCCGACAAGATTCTGTCTTTCCTGGCACATTTGTCCTGAAACAATTCCTTATTGAGACTTTCCTTGAGTGGCTAAAAACTGGATTTTGAATCAGTTTCCTGAGGACTTCCTGTTTGTGGTCACTCAGCTGTGTCCTAATTGATTACTCACTGCATTTGCATCTGATGCCCATCACTGTTCTTGTTCTACAAGCTGGATAGATGCTCTTGCCTTGATTAAAGCAGAGAATAGCCCTAGCCTCCTCCTGGAGATCGCTACTTTTGGCCTCTTTTTGTCTGCAATGTGCAATTTTTCTAGAAACTGAGAAGCAGAGTGCTTGAGATCCATTCACATTTGCCATCTTCCCCACACTGTCTCTTCCTCGTAGGGAAGGATATGGCCTTGGTAGAATAGTATGACCTTCCTTTTGGCAGAGCAGTTCATGTGGAGGGATCATAAGCTGAGGGTCTTCTAGTGTCCATTATTTGTCTTTCGTTATTAAGGGACATCTGCTAAGACCTTCAGTCCTGAGCAAGGTGAGCCATTCCATAAAGAAGATATCTACACAGAGTGCCTATGCATTCCCTGGGTCTAAGGATGCAGCTGGGGAAAATGTCTAAATGGATTAAAAATCCATTAATTATCAATCCATTGATTAACCATCTTGATTATCATACACAGGCACACAGGTACAGAATCTTGGAACTTTTGCACAAGAAGGGACTTGTGGGTGAGAGGAAAAAATGAGCCTCTGATGGAAGGAGGTAACGAGGGAAAAAGAAGTAGAGAGCAGAAAGGAAGCATGAGTGGACACTCAGAAGTTGTTTTAACCTTCCCAGAAGCTTCCCTTTATAAACAGCTAGACAGCTTGGTTCAAACCAATATTTGGATTTTTCCTGAAACTAGCTAAAATAAAAGTTCCCTAACTAATAATAAGCAGCATTTATTTAGTGCCTACCATCTACTAGAGAACTGACACTGCCCTAAGAGCTTCCAAATAATTTTATTCCTAATGCTGATAAAAGAAAAACTTTACCTCAATTAAACTTAAAGGAGTTTATTGAGCAATGAACGATTCATGAATTGGGCAGCCTCTTAAGCCAAAGTAGGCTCAGAGACTCCAGTGCACCCAGGTGGTAGAAGAAGATTTATGGACAGAAAAAGGAAAGTGATGTACAGAAAATGGAAGTGAGGTGCAGAAACAGCCGGACTGGTTACAGCTCAACATTTGCCTTATTTGAATATGGTTTGAACAGTGGGTTACATTTCATTGGCCCAACTTGGTGATTGGCAAAAGTGTAGGCTACAGTCTGCTTATACCTCCACTTGTTATAGTTCATGATGTACAGAACTCTAACAAGTGCAGGTATAAACAGACTGTAGACCTTTAGGCCTGTGAACACTGAATATCTGAAACAGGTCTCGGTTAATTTAGAAAGTTCATTTTGCCAAGGTTGAGGATGCATACCTGTGACACAGCCTCAAGAGGTCCTGACAACATGTTCCTAAGGTGGTCAGAGCACAGGTTGGTTTTATACAGTTTAGGGAGACATCAGACATCAATCAACATATGTAAGAGGAACACTGGTTTGGTCTGGAAAGGCAGAACAACTCAAAGCAGGGAGGGGGCTTACAGGTCACAGGTAGAAAAGAGACAAATGGTTGCATTCTTTTGAGTTTCTTTTTCTTCTTCTTCTTTTTTTTTTCTTTGAGATGGAGTCTCACTCTGTTGCCCAGACTGGAGTGCAGTGGTGTGATCTTGCCTCACTGCAACCTCTGCCTCCCAGGTTCAAGTGATTCTCATGCCTCAGCCTCCCAAGTAGTTGGGATTACAGGCACGTGCCACCACATCTGGCTAATTTTGGTATTTTTAGTAGAGATGGGGTTTCACCACACTGGCCAGGCTTGTCTCAGACTCCTGACCTCAAGTGATCCACCAGCCTCGGCCTCCCAAAGTGCTGGGATTACAGATGTGAGCCACCATGCCCAGCCTCTTTTGAGTTTCTGATTAGCCTCTCCAAAGGAGGCAATCAAATATGCTTTTATCTCAGTGAGCAGAATAGAATGGGAGGCAGATTTGCCCTAAGCAGTCCCCAGCTTGCCTTTTCCCTTTAGCTTAGTGATTTTTGGGGCTCCAAGATTTATTTTCTTGTCACAGGCCAAACTTAAAATATTCCAAGAGGCAGCTTTAGGCTAAACTTGATTTAACAGTGATCAAATTATCTTTTATTGGCCCCATGTTTCAGATGAGAAAAGGGATGTGAAGAAAAGTAGGATGAGTCGCCTAAAGTCACATGGTGAGTGTGCCAGTCATCTTTCAATGCTTGTTCTCAGCTCAATTTCTCACACTGACCCTGCTCTACTCTTTATCACAGGAGTTGCATAGTTCAGGCTCCCTTCTTGATTAGATTGCATATGCTACTGGGTCATGGGAGGAACCAGAGAAAGGGTAGAAAAGGGAGGAGGGACAAATCAGAGAATACCTGCCACCATCACCTCCCCACCTTTCTTTCAGGCCCCACGTCCAGCAGAGGTAGTGTCTCCTTTTCCTGCTTGAGTTCTTGAGTATGACTTCCCTTGGACACCTCTCCCCTCCATGGTCTCAGTTCTCACCAGGCTGCCCCTGCTGCCATAATTCTAGCTCCCTCTGGATGATCCTGGGTTCTGGTCTCTGGTAGCAACATCTACTTCTTGTGTGCTGCAACCCCAGAGGTGATAATGGCTTTTTTCCATTGCTAATTTCTGAGTTGCCCCATTATCCCCTGTGATGAACTGAACTGTTCCCTCTCCCCCACCCCAAATTCATATGTTGAAGCCCTAAGCTCCCAATGTTACTGTATTTCGATATAGGGCCTTTAAGGAAGTAAATAAGGCTAAATGAGCTTTAAGGGTAGGACCCTGATCTGATTGGATTAGTGTCTTTATAAAAAGAGACACTGGAGAGCTCACTCTTGCTCTGTCATGTGAGGACATGATGAGAAGGTGGCCCTCTGCAAGCCAGGGAGAGAGCCCTCACCAGAAACTGACTGTGCTATCACCCAGAGCTTTCTGTCATTTAAGTCACCAAGTCTATATTTTGTTATGGCAGCCCACACTGACTAGAGTTGAATTTGCTTCTTACCTTTCCCTTAACTTGTGGTATATTTCCTTGTATTACATTCCATTCTCTCTGGAGCTCTTAGAATGTTCTTTCACCTCCTCCTCCTCCTCCTCTTTGTCCTCCTCCTCTTCCTCCTCCTCCTCCTCTTCCTCCTTCTCCTCCCCTTGACTGGCCCCTAACATGCTAAGTCCACTAGGAAGTTTAAAACTGGAAGTTGAACCAAGATCTAATTGGACATCAAAATCTGTGTTCTTAAAAGCTACACTGTACTTTCTAGATTGTTTTGGTTGTCTGAAGAGATTTGAGGAACAGCCAAGTAAATAATATGAAAGAGGCTCTGTTTGATTAATGACACTAAGAGGGATGGAAATGGAAAAAAGTTTCAAGTTTTCAGTGGTTCTAAATGTGACATTTTAGACCCATCCTTTGTAATGACAGGCTGGAGGTTGGGGGTCTCTGTGGAGAGACAGCATTCCAGTTAGTGGCCCTGCTGTCATGGACAGCAAGAGGGGTAGGGATATTGTACTGATGGAATGTGGACATTGGTGTTCCTTGACAGTATCTTGAATGGTATCATGATATGGCATGCCAAGCCCTGAAATATATATTAGCTTGGCAGTGAATATTTATGTTTTTCTTTTCTGATAACACATGGAGTTATAGGCTGTTAATGTGGGCAAGGTACATGTCTTTAATGTTGTTAACTATTCTCATTCTTTGACAAATCTTTCATTTCTCCCAAGCAATATCTTGTTCACATCTGTTGCCAGAAAAAGGGATTCCAATCCAGACCCCAAGAGAGAGTTCTTGGCTCTCATGCAGAAAGGAATTAAGGGCAAGTCCTTGAGTACAGTGAGAAGACAGAGTTTATTGAAGCTGCTCAGTAACAGAGTAGGCCATCCTCAGAAAGCAAGAGGAGGAATATGCCATCTTTGTTTTAAACTCTCCTTATGTAGGGGTCTTATCTATGTAAAAGTAAGCTATGTCTATGTTTAGGTGGACTGAGAGCATGACAACATTTATTACTTTGTTGACTTAAAGAAAGTTTTACTTGGCATTTTAGTGAGTAAGTACATCAAAGCATGACTATAGCTATCATAAAAGCACACACTGTTATGTGATAGTGTATCACATAACTTTATCTTTAAAGTTATGGGATCTTTAGTGTATCACTTTTCTGGCCAGAAACCTCTGTGGCTGGAGGCACCTTTGCCTGAGTTCTTATCTTGTGTACAGGAAGAATGAGGTATGCTTACAAGTAGAGGGTGAGCAAGACAAAGAGAAGCTTTATTGAGTGTTAGAACAGCTCGGAGGAGACACACAGGGGGCAGCTCCTGTCTGTAGGCTGGTCATCTGATTCAGTGTTCAGCTCTCAGCAGAGGGGAGGCCCTGGAGTGGGTGGTTCCTCTCTGCAGGCAGGTGGTCCTGTTTGGTCTGCAGCTCTCAGCAGAGAGGAGGTCCTGGGGAGGTTAACTCCTCTTTGCAGCTGGTTGTCCTGTCCTTTGCTCTGTTCTGGCTGAGCCTGCGGCTTTTACAGGCCTCAGAGAGGGGAAGTGCATGCTAATTGGTCCATGGGCAGCCACGAGTGGGCCTAGGATAAAGCACCATGAGTTCCCCCTCCTTTCTACAGGACTGGCAGCCCAGCCTCCAGGCTTCAGGCGTGCCCTAGCCTGAAGGTGAGGCTTCATTGGGGATCTACCCACTTCCACCCAGGAGCCTGTCTGCCTCCCACAACCATCTATTGCACCAAGGGACACCTGCAGGGCAGCACCTAGCTGCCCTCAGCTCCCCTCAGCTTCCCCTCTCATGCTCCTCAGCTGATCAGCACCCAAAGTCTGGAGGGGGCCAAGATGGCAGGAGGCTGGCATGTCAACACTTCCCCAAGCATGTGCATACACAGCCAGGTTGTGACAGCACCTGGGTTTGGCCCCAACTCTGGTCCGAGATTGAAGCGCGTGCCAGGGAGAGGCCAGGCAGCAGGAACAGTCACTTCCAAGCCTGCAAGTGCAAGAGTGCAGGGAGGCCTGGGTCTGCAGCCTTGGTTTGGGTGGCTGCACCTACGCAGGGTGGGGGGTGGGGTTTCTGTGTGCTCCTGGCTCCCAAGAGAATAGGGGTGCCTGGGCTGCAGCTGTGACTGGGGCGGCTGCAGTTGCACCTGGAAAGCTCCCCCTCACCAGGCACGTGACCTGGCCTGGCCCTATCTCAGCGGCCCCAGGGCAGAAGCTGCTGGGGGGAGGGTGCTGTCTGCCTCCTCCTGCGCCCTCCCTGTAGTGGCCAGTGTGATGGCAGATGGCTCACTGCTGCCATCAGTATTGGTACATCTGGACATTCTGCTGTCACAGAAGTTTGTCCTTGCTGTCATGACTAAGCTGCTTCCTTAGCCATAAACATCTTATGACCATGGGTTGTGACTGGTGAGGAATGTGCCTTGCTAGTTTTAAGATGGAGTTGATTTTCAAATGATGGCACCCTGGCTCTCATGTGCTCCTTTTCCCCTAACACTTCTGTCCACCAAAGTTGAGGAGGAAGCATATACTTTGGGTGACTTCATTCACTTTTCCTTCCTTGGCCTTACTTTTTCATATGTCTCGATGGTGATTTTGAAATTCATGTGTTTTCTTGAGCAAATCCTGTAAGCAAATTCCTGACAAAGAATTGGCAAAGCAGTTTGCTAATTGCCAATGAGAAAGTGTTACTTTAGAATCATTTATGGCATATTTAATGGGTGGCTGATGAAGAATGGAGATCGGCATTAGCTCTGCAAATGTCATGGACACACGATTTCCTTCTAATGGTAATATTCATTCGAATATGCCAAGGGAATGAACTCAGTGGGTGGACATGGTCAACTGCTTTCCCAGGAACATGGTGATTATTAAGCTTCATAATCAACAATGCCCAGCAAAGGAAATTTAATCTCAAACTATGATAGTAACAGATGACAGTGCGTAGGATGTGAAAGTGCCATACAAATTTGTCCAAATTTCTAACATGTGACATTCAAGGCATTCTTTATTAGAACTGTCCAAACCTGTCTAATTGCTGATGCATAGAAATAATTTCTCTTGATGCTTAATCACTTTAATCCAGCCTAAATACTTCCTTCGTTGCTATCGCTGAAGAACAAAGTGTCAATCAAAGGCGATAGGCAGATACATGTTGCTGCTCCCCATGAAACTGGTTATGTGTTATGGGTGAATAACTACTAGAAGAAAAACTTATTTGTTAGGGCATTGTCTACTTAAGAATCTGAGAAATGGAAAAATAGAGACATGAAATAGCTCATGCGCCAATCAGAATTTTAATTTATTTTATTTTGTAAAGAAGATACCACAAAATAGTGTTATATATCCAGGCACAGATTAGTGAAACCTAGACTGTAACCTAGGGTAACTCATTGTTGAGTTTAAAATTCCTGCCATCTATATAGCAATGAGTTTTAAAGTAACACTTCCCCAGATCAGTTAATTTTGACATAAATGAAAAACTGGAGAATGGGGACTACTTGAGACTGGCTCGGCTCAACAGGTAGAAGGTTCATTCCAAGGGTGAACAAGTGTAGTTACATATGTTTGCTGTTTTGTCTATTAAAGTATAAAGTAGAAAAGTCATGGGTTTGATATAAAAAAAGCCTGGGTTTATTATGCCCAAACTTCTGCAAAAAAATGGTGTTAAAAATAATACCTGCATGTATGTTTGTTATGAGAAATCATGGATTAATTACAGGTGATGTGCTTAGAAGAGTACCTGGTAGGTAGTAAACTCAACAATGGTCACTACTGCTATGAGCTGCTTGGATTTGGACATGGCCATCTGTTTTAGTCCATTTGCGTTACTCTAAAGGAATATCCGAGGCTGGGTAATTTATGAAGAAAAATGGTTTAATTGGCTAACAGTTCTGCAGGCTGTATAAGCAGCATTTGTGCTGGCATCTGCTTCTGCTGAGGTTTCAGGAAGCTTACAATCATGGCAGAAGGCAACGGGGAGCCAATATATTACGTGAGAGTTCTCGAGCAAGAGAGTGAGGTGGGAGATGCCACACATTTTTAAACAACCAGATCTCATGAGAACTCACTCACTGTGGCAAGGACAGCACCAAGTTATTCATGAAGGTTCCGCCCCCATGACCCAAACACCTCCTATCATGAGATTTGGAAGGGACAAATATCCACACTATGCTACCTTCATCTCTCTGAAAGTCCATTCTGGGGAAAAGGGAAGTAGGATTTATATGACTCCCTGGAATTTGCATCAGTGGGTGAACGTTACAGGGGATCAGAGATTAGAACAATGTAAAGAAGTTGGACTGCAAACAGTCCAAGTTATCTGTTGGGATGGCTTGCAGCAAAGTAACTTCCCTGTCACTGTAGATATTCAATTATAGGTTAGGCAGCTGCTTTTTAGGCATAAGAAATGTGGGTTAAATATTATCAGCTAATTCAACCTTTAGGGTTTTATGATTCTGAGTAGCATATATATAGTAAGTAAAGTTTAGTGCGAAGGTATCTACTCTTCTACTTCTTGAAGCTTTGCTACAGGTTTAATTTTTGTGTGTATCTCTTATTGACATGGTAATTAATATACATGGCTATTTTAGTTATTACTTGTATTTATTTGTTTATTTTTATTTATTTATTTATTTTGAGATGGAGTCTCACTCTGTTGCCCAGGCTGGAGTGCAGTGGTGCGATCTCAGCTCACTGCAAGCTCTGCCTCCCAGGTTCATGCCATTCTCCTGCCTCAGCCTCCCAAGTAGCTGGGACTACAGGTGCCCACCACCATGCCTGGCTACTTTTTTGTATTTTTTAGTAGAATCGGGGTTTCACCGTGTTAGCCAGGATGGTCTCGATCTCCTGACCTCATGATCCGCCTGCCTCGGCTTCCCAAAGTGCTGGGATTACAGGTGTGAGCCACCACGCCTGGCCAGTTATTACTTTTAAAACGAATATTAATGACGGCAATGAAAATTTACCACTAATTAAGTGCCTACTATTTGTCAGACATTGTTATTCTGTGTCTTATATTTGTAATTTTATTTGGGGCCACTGAGAAGTCCAGTTCAGAAGTAACTAGGCAGCCATAGTTAGAAAGAAATCTGGGGAAGAGGGAGGTCAGTTTTCTATTTCTCTTGCTGATATTCATACATTATATACTTACATAGATAAAAGTAAATTTTTTTTTTTTTTTTGAGACAGGGTCTTGCTCTGTCACCCAGGCTGGAGCACAGTGGCACAATCATGCTTCACTGCAGCCTCGACCTCCCAGGCTCAAGCAGTTCTCCCACCTCAGTCTCCTGAGTAGCTGGAATACAGGTACACGGCACCATGTCTGGCTAATTTATTTTTCTTTTTATTTTTTGTAAAGAGCAGGTCTCCCAGTGTTGTCCAGGCTGGTCTCCAACTGCTGGGCTCATGCGATCTCCTCCCACCTCACACTCCCAATGTGCTGAGCCACTGTTTCCCGCCCAAAAGTTAATAACTTTTAACTTTTTGTTCTTCCAAATGTTAGCACACAGTATTTTAAGTGCAAATTCTCCTTAAGCTGAATTACTGTTTTTGGATAAGAGTAAGTTTTTGACATATGAATCGAGGAAGATATAAACGCATCATCACAGAATTCAACATACACTTGAATTTTCCAAGTTAAAATGGGAGGTGTGGAGGTGTTGTCACTTGTATAGAGGGCCCAACCTTCTAGATCCCAGGGCAAAGAAGGCTCTTTGTGCTATACTCCGTGGTTTCAACTAATCTGTGATTTTCCAGAAGAGATGATGAGCAATTACAATTAAGCATATTCCAAAGCACTAATGCAAACCAGTAATTTTACCCTCCTCACCGAAATTTATTTGAAATTTGAGAACCAATAGGAAAAGGAGCCCTTTTCAGTCCTTATCTCTTTTTGTTGTCAGGGTTTACTCTCTTAGGAATGTGAGAACACCAAAAGTAGAACCTATGATACTTGAAGTTGGCCCCTGACTTGTGATCTTGTGATCTCAATGCAGAATCAAAAATTCCCGGTGTTTGCCTTCTGGACACAATGTTGTCACTCGAATTCTGGGGCCCTTGATTTTCTGTTCTCCTCCCACTACCCACCTCACCCACCCACATACAAAACAAGACTATAGCATGGGCCTATGTAAGTGGTCCTTCCTACTTAGCCCTTTAGAATGATTATGCTTTTCATAAGCTTAAAAAAAAGCCTTTTTATGTAGTCGGCTGTTAATTTTTTTTCAACTCTGTTCTCTTCTAAGATAAGAACGCTAATTAGAGTTAGGGAATGATTTAAGGAGCATTACCTAAAATGAATACCTTATTGAAGATATGATGTGGTAACTTTTCAAAATACCTCAAATAAGTCAAAGAGAATCCTGAAAGCCCTGCATTATGGTGTTGAACACAGTTAGCATGGATCTGGGAATTTCATGTCTTCAGAGGCCTAGCACAAAAATATTTCTCTCTCTTACTCTTAATATGGTTTTAAATAATTTCCATCAATAAACTTTTTTTTTTTTTTGACGCGGAGTCTTACTCTGTCGCCCAGGCTGGAGTGGAGTGGCACGATCTCAGCTCACTGCAACCTCTGCCTCCCAGGTTCAAGCAATTCTCCAGCCGCAGCCTCCCACGTAGCTGGAATTACAGGTGCCTGCCTCTATGCCGGGCTAATTTTTGTATTTTTAGTAGAGACGGGGTTTCACCATAATGGCCAGGCTGGTCTCAAACTCCTGACTTCAGGTGATCCGCCCACCTCAGCCTCCCAAAGTGCTGGGATTACAAGTGTGAGCCACCACGCCTGGTCAAGAAACTTTTAAGCCCCATGATTATGTAGATGGATTCTTGGGTGTCTAAGCAGCCTATATAGATTAATGCAATGAAAAATGCAGCGATTTTCCACCCAAATTCTCTATATGGGTAATGAAATTATGTGTACACTGATGAAGAAATATATGTGCACATGAGTATATTTATATTCATATTGTGTACTTATTTTGGTAAACTCATCATTGCAATCTGTATTGAAATTATATATAAGAAAATTAAGGTACCAGTTAATTTCTACTCTTTAAATTAAAAATTCTGTACCTATAGCTGTGATCCAATTTAAAATTCATTATCTTTAACAAATGGTTTTGATTGGCTACCAAATGCCTGTTACAGTGTGGAACATTTTCATAGGTAACACCCCATCACCTCGGCAGCCCTGTTTTACAGATAGGGAGGTGAAGGCTTAGAGGGTAAATATAATGGACCCAAGACACACAATTTTGCTGTCTACAGCCCGGGACTTGAACTCTCGTCTGTTATTTTTGCCAAGCTCTAAGGGTTGAGGAGCCCTAAAAATAGACAAATTTTAGGCAGATCTAATAGAATAATTCACTTAAAAATAGCTCCTGGTTCCCTTTGGGCAAATTATATAAAACACTAGGAAAAAAATAACTTGTTCTAAACTGGAACAACCAACCTATTTGTTGTGGAAATGAATATCCTAATGTTTTAATACTGTTTCTGTCTGCACTGACTGGCAATAGAAGGAAATGCACTAGAAATAACTCTGTCTATTGAACATGAAAGTTACTATGAGAAAATTGTTTGGCACTTGCAAGCTGTTGAGATAGAAAGAATCACCACTTATTTTGCATTTGAGTATTTATTCTTTTCCTCAAGATGCAAACACAGTGCCATAGAGAAGTGATATTGTATCTTTTTTTAAATGTAAAGAGATATGCAAGTATATTAAATGAATGATTTATAGTATTCCTCTGTTTTCTTTTTTTTCAATTTTAAAAGAAAGAAATGACCCTAGCTTAACATCCTTATAAATGGAGGTGGCCACAGTGGATAGATTTGAGGATTACTACAGGACTGAGGTTAAGAGTGTATGCTTTGGGCTGGGCATGGTGGTTCACATCTATAATCCCAGCACTTTGGGAGGCTGAAATGGGCAGATTGCCTGAGTCCAGGGGTTTGAGACCAGCCTGGGCAACATCACGAAACTTATCTCTACAAAAAAACCCCACAAAAATAGTTAGCTGGGCAGGGTGGCATGTGCCTGTAGTCTCAGCTACTCAGGAGGCTGAGGTGGGAGGATCACCTGAGCCCAGATGCTCCAGGCTGCAGTGAACCATGATCATGCCACTGAACTCCAGTCTGGGTGACAGAGTGAGAGCCTGTCAAAAAAAAATAAAATAAAATAAAAAATAAAATAAATAAATAAAAAAGAGTACATACTCTGGACCTTTCCTATGAGTTAAATCCCAGTTCTGTCATCTACTAGTGTGTGACCCAGAGGAAGTTTTTCTTAAAAAAAATCTGTTCTTATATGTTTTAAGATTGAGAATAAATGAACTTTGATAATCCTCACAATATTTAAAGTAAAATAGTGTCTCCAAGACAGTCTACTGGCAAGGTAGAAATTCTGTTTTTCAATGGCTTGATGTCATTGTGCCCAGAGACCAATTGTCGTCAGAGGAAAGGTACTCTTATATCCTAAACACGTGGAGATTTGTGCTTAGTTTAAATGTAGTTTCTCCCTGTCACTGAACATATTTGGACACATGAATTTCAAATTGCTTTCTCTTTCAATAATAGTGTGATGGCTGGCAGTGACAACAAAGTAAGTAATTTTATAAGAGAAGACCATTGTATCTCCAAGCTCTAGTCCTCAATAAACATTTATTGAATTAATTAATCAACCAGGCAATTGATTGACTTAGAAATACTTGCATGGGTTATTAAAGGTATGTTGTTCTATTTATTTATTTATTTTAGAGATGGGTTCCCACTACTTTGCCAGGGCTGGACTCGAACTCCTGGGCTTGAGTGATCCTCATGTCTCAGCCTCTGGAACAGCTGTGACTATTGGCCTGTGCCACTGCAGCCAGAGGTGTTCTGTCATTTTTAAAGAATAGAAAATAGTGATTTTTTTTTATGGAATATGTGGCAATATTATTGAATGTCTTACCTTCTTAGGAAAGAAAATGAAGTGGTTGAAAACAAAGTTAGAGCTGAAGAGTTAAGTTTCTGGTGCCTGCGTTGGAGAGTTTTGCTGATTGATCCTGTCATTTTTAAACAATATATGCTACCAAAAAAGAAAGTCTTCTAAGCCCCAGGGTCCAGTGCTGGTAAGTGAGATGATTTTAGGTGCAAATGAGTATTTTTATAGTAATGATTGTATATTTAATGGGCATTTAAAAAATTCACATAGATCGTATCACATAACTCCAGCCTCCATTCCTACTTCTGATAACAGCTCCCAGACTTTTCTGTGAAGAGCTGCAGTGCTGTCATTGGAGTCAGTTTGGGTGAGACTATCAATCAAGGTGCTCCTCTTTGCTAGCAAAGGTGTGTGGCAAATAGATGATGCTCTGTTCCTGGAATTCCAATGAAGTGTCACAGAGTTTTCAGTTTAATCCGCCCTGTGACTGCGTGATGATTCCTGCGACCTCTGACCCTGGGGCTGTCCGAGCTCCTCTCTCCCAACCCCTGACTCCTCTGCTGATGTTTTCACTCTAGGAGTTACCCTGTGTCCTTCCAATATGCTCTTTTTTATTTTTTAATTCTGTATCACTAGATCAGTTTTTTTTTTTTTTTGCTGATTATATTTAAATAATCCTGTGTCACTTTGCGTGTCATGGATATTTTTGCTTCAGAAAAATTAACATCTTAACTTAAAACATAAATTGTTTTAAAGAAAGAAATCTGAATACATAATTGTACAGATAATACTCAGATGTAGCCAAAATTGTGAGGATTGGCAAATGGCTAATGATTGGGAAACAATAAAAACTGCCGTTAACAATTAGCTTCCTGGGTATGTTTAGGCATTAAAATTGGAGTTATCTTGAAAAAGTCATTGAAAATATATCAAGGATTGTATTATTGAGCTGATCCTATTAATGAAAAAACATGGACTTGGACAGGATAATGTGCTAATTAATATATTAATGGTCTTCAAGGCCTAAAACAAGTTTTGAAAAGGGGATGATAGTATTTCCTTGGTCAAGATCATGTCTTTTTATTTAAAAACACTTATTGCCTATGTCACAGAATCTCATTTTTCTTTTCTCAGGTAGGGTATTTTATTTATTTTTTATATCATTTTCCACAATTAGTAAAATACTAAAGGTGTAAATCTCTGTCAGTCAAATCAAGCATTAGTGATGCAGACAATGTGTATGTGTGTGTTTGTGCACAGGAGGCATGCCTCTGAGGCTGGATAGTTCCGGGTAGGAGTGTTAGTGATGTCAGCCCTGTCCCCACTGGACACATCGTCATAAATGCCATGAGCTCCTCTGTCTCTGTCCCAACTCCAAGGCACAAGTTATGAACCCCTCCTTTATTGGTCCTCTTACCTAGAGGTTCTGAGTTCTGTTTTGGGATAGAAACAAACACTGAAGATTTCTATCCCACCAGATTCCTATTTGTATCTGATGCTTTTATTTTTATTTCAAAAATATGATTTTAAAATTTTGGGATGAAGACCGGGCTCGGTGAAGATGTTGACACCTGAAAATATCTTCAGCAATTACGTTTTCCAAGTAATTGCTGTCAGGGAAATAGCAATAAGATGTGCAGTTTACTTATGATTCCCCCCAATAATCTATTTCAGGGCAAGAAAGCTTCAGGTAGTGGAGATTTCACTTTGAAATGGCATAACAGGCTGGGCGTGGTGGCTCATGCCTGTAATCCCAGCACTTTGGGTGGCTGAGGTGGGAGGACTGCTTGAGGCCACATAGCAAGACCCCATCTCTAAATAAAAATAAATAAATAAAAATTAGAAAAAGAGAAATGACATAAGACTCAGCAATTGACTATGTTTCCAATATGACCTTTATTGAGCAAGTACTGCTGTGACGTTTAACATCGATCAACATAAGATTGCAAACTGTGCATGTCAACGAGGTTCTCCCATGAACAAAAGTCCATTTTAAATGCACCAGTGAGGTAAACATAATTATTCATATATAGCTTTCTTAAGGCTGAGTTCTGTGTTTCGTTTATTGTTTTTGGCTCAGTTGGTACTTTGCATAATACATCTCAAGACATCCCCCCTTAAGTGACCCCCTTCCAACAGCTTAGGAAATCGGCAAATTTCCCAGGTACATACAATATCATGCATTTGAATCCCCCAAAGACTGAGGAGGGAGCACCCTGAGCTTGCATGCAGTCCCCTCATATTGCACAAAGTAAAATACAATGTCTGGAGCCCCCATGGGAGAACCCGTTCTGTTTTGAAGCTGCCAATCACATGCATTTTGAAATTGTCATATGGCTTAACCTTTTGCAATGGACTCAAATCTTAGTCACTCTGGGTGACTTCCTTTACTATGGCGTGTGAAGTGACTTTTTCTACCTTTTTAGTAGACACTAGTTTCTCCTCAAAGGTCTCTTCATGCTCTTCAACCTTTTGAGTGACGGTTACAGATTTAGTGATGTATTTGGTAGCACCATCTCCCCCCTCACTGGTGATTTTTTCTACCGTTTTGGTCACCACCACTTTCTCCTCACTTTTATCACCCCCCTTCTTTTCATCTGCTGGGCTCAAGTCTAGGCCATTGGTGACAACGCCTTTCTCCTCTTCCCTCCCACTGCCTTTTTCCTTGGTCTCCTGCTCTACCTCCTCTTTTCCTTCTACCTCCCCATTGACAGCTATGTCTTCCTTCCTGGATCCCTTGGCACCTTTATCACTCCCTTCCTCCTCACTTCCTCCCTCTCCTCCCGCTTTCTCCTTCTCTTTCTCCTGCTGCAGTGGCTTCCCCTCTTCTTTGGTCTCTTTCTCCAAGTGCACCTTTACCGATTTGGTGATGGTGACCACCTCTGCCACAGCTTCCTCCTTTACAGGGGACTCAGCTTTCTTCTTCTCTGGCACATCCTTTGGTTTCTCTTCCTTTTTCTCTACCTTCTCTTCCTTGGGAGCTTCCTTGACTTCCTTTTCTTCTTCCTCTTTCTGTTCACCTTTCCCCACTTCTGCTTTTGACTTTGCCTCTTCCACTGGTGATTTTGGCACAGGAGATTTGGCTTTCTCTTCCACTGGTGATTTTGACACAGGAGACTTGCCTTTCTCTTCCACTGGTGATTTCGGCACAGGAGACTTGCCTTTCTCTTCCACTGGTGACTTGGGCACAGGAGACTTGCCTTTCTCTTCCACTGGTGACTTGGGCACAGGAGACTTGCCTTTCTCTTCCACTGGTGATTTTGGCACAGGAGACTTGGCTTTTTCTGGCTTTTCCACCTTGGCATCTGCCACCAGCTCCTCCTTGGTAGCCACTTCCTCACTCTTTTCCTCCACTTTCTTTTCCTCTTTAGCTTCGGCTTCCTCTCCTTCAGCTTCAGCTTCTGTTTCTCCTTCTTCCTGCTCACCTTCCTCTTTTTCACTAGAGCCTTCCTTCTCGGATCCTCCCTCTTCGGCTTGGTCTGACTTAGCTCCCTCATCTTCTTCCTCCTCTTCTTCCTGGCCTTCTTCTTCCTCCTTTTCCCCTTCCTCTTCTTTAACTTCAGGTGCAGTTGCTTTCACTGGAGACTTTTTGGCAGCTACTTCTTCTTCTTCAGCTTCGGGTTCCTCTTCCTTTTCTTCTGCTGCTTCTTTCTTCTCTTCCTTCATGGAAACGGCCAATTCCTCTGTAATGGCTGTCAGGGCCTCTTCCATTTCTGACTTCTCATCCTCCACTTTGGTTTCCTCTATGATCTCCTCGACAAATTTGTGTTGGACCTTAAGCTTGGGAGCTTCCACCTTGGGTTTCTGAATCTTACTGGATATTGTGATTGGGGGTCGGTGTGTATACAGTGGCCCAGTGATGCTTCCTGCAAATGTGCTAAATCTAGTCTCTTCACCCTCCAGGAGTTTTCTAAGGAGAAAATCCAAGAACATAAGACATAGTAAAAATTTCACTAGGCCTTCTGAGCTTCATTACATTCTGGGTATTGTGGTAGCTACCTTTGAATAAATAGAATTACATAAGTAGAATATTCTATGAATTCACTATAATACCTGCTATCACTTACTGGCATATTACATTATACTCAGTGACAGAGAAAGATTCTCCTGGACTGCCAGACAGTTGCCCCCTACAATGACTAACCTTGCCCAATAGTCCACTAACCACACCCAGCTACTAAGTCTTGGCCCTGCAGTAGAGATCCATTAGGTACAACATGAATATGCTGAAAAACTTGTTAGTGGCCAAATAGCAAAAAACAAAAACAAAAACAAAAAAACAAAAAGCCATAAACAAAACGCCCCCAAACTCCAAAGCCAAACAGCCTTTCTGAGAGTAGTCACTTTCTTAAACGTTTAGATTTTCAGGTGTATCGAGTTATAAATTTGTTGATAATTTTTATCATAAAGTGTCTATTTAATGTAGTTATTCAGCTTTCCTGAAAAGAGAGATAGCTCTGTAAATGCAATTTATTCTCGTTATATTATAACTACCTTATTGGTAGCAGAAAAATTTTAATCAACGATTTTGTCCTTTGCGCTTAGTCAACAGCAAGGTCACTTCAGTTAATAGACCTATAACCTATCTCACTATCTATAAAACGATCATATATATTTGTGTCTATATATCTAGATTTATATGCATATGCACATATGTGTATCTATAGATCTAGATTAATATCATACATGATATATTGATATAATTTATACTACAGTCTAGCATAAAATATAATACATATAAATTATCTACATATATAAAAGAACTATATCTATATTCTATCATTCTATATCTATTCTCAGCCAGATGATGGCAATAGTAAGCTATATAACAGAGAAACAGAGAAATAGAACGTCCTGGTGTTTGTCCTTGACATTATACATTTGAAAAGCTGAAACCACTAGATGAAATATTAGAAACCAAAACTCTGTTCATGCTTCCAGCATTTGAAAACATTTTTCCATAAAAAGTTTAAGCATGTGCATTGAGATTAATCTGCACCTCCTTTGTGTAATTCAAAAACCTTTTGTTTCTACTAGTATTCATTCTTTTAAAGCTGCATAAAAAGAGATAAAACTACACTTGCAATTCTTTAGAATAATTTCTTTTTAAGTAAGCAAGATAACCAGGTGCTGAGTTGATGCCTGCACCCTGCCTGCTTTAACTTAAGTGGTGGAAGCTCTGCCGGAACAGCCTCTGCACTGCGGTTAGTGTTCCGGCCACGCACGTAGTAAGCATCGTACCTGTACGCAGCGATTTCTATATCCAGAGCCATCTTGACGTTGAGGAGGTCCTGGTATTCGCGCAAATGACGAGCCATTTCCCACTTTGTGCCCCGAAGCTCATTTTCCAGCTGCTGGATGGTGTCCTGAAACAGACACAGAGAATCTCCCCAGACTCATCCTTGCAAACAGCAACTTCCTTCGCAAACCACTTGCTACCCCTTCCCCCTGGCCTCCTCCCGTCTCCCTCCACTTCTGCAAACCTCGCTGACACCTGACTCCCAGCCCCCCGTCCCACCCCCTTTTTCTTTTAAATCTAAGCGATTCTCAAATGAACATACAAGATCAGTAAGACAATAGGACACTTCCTGGGCACATCACGCACGGAGACCAGTGGACTTAGAACACGTCTCAACAGGACACAAACATGCATGGGGAAACTCCATGGCTGACCTGGCCATTCCCATCTGAGCCCTTTGGGCTGAAGCCAATTTTGAGAGCTCTTCCGATCACTGCCGGAAAAGTAGAGAATACACGCGTTTCTGCATAAGCTATCCTAAAGTTGCTGATTTATCCACTACCGAATTCATCCCTCCTGCTTTAAACGTGCAAGCGTGCAAAATTAGAACTGGAAAAGATGCACGTTTCTGAAAAAGGTCAAGACCCTTAGCAGCTGGGGCAGGTGGGTGGGGGCGGAGTGTGGAGGATGAGATGGGCGAGGACGCTGATCCGCAAATACCCTAGGTCTGCGGCGCGCGTGCTCTAGCGAGCGGCCACCAGGGAGCGCGGCGGAGAGGGCGCCTGGGCACGAGCCCAAGTGTCGGGGGCGCGCGGCGCTGGCGCTGGCGCAGGCTGGCCGCGCAGCCGCGGTTCCTACCTGGTAGCTGCTGAGGTCGTGGTTGTGGCGCTCCTCGATGTCGCTGAGCTGCCGCTCCAGGGACTCCTTGGTGCCGCGCACCGACTCTAGCTCGATGCTCTTGGACTGCAGCTGGCGCCGGTACTCGGCGATCTCTTCCTTGGCGGAGCGGATGGCCTCCTTGTTCTGCTCGGCCGCCTCGGTGAGCTTGGCGTAGCGGCATTTGAACCACTCTTCGGCCTGGTGCATATTCTGGTCTGAGTGGCTTTCGAGCTGGGAGCGGATTTCCTTCAGCGCCGTCGAGATGTCTGTCTTCAGGTAGTCTTTGCGCTCCACCGTGATGTGCGATGCCTGGATCTGGGCCAGAAGGTCGGCCACCTCCTCCTCGTGGTTGCTCCGCAGGAAGGCCACCTCATCCTGCAGCGACTGCACCTTCTTGTCCAGCTCCACCTTGACCAGCGACGCCTCCTCGATGTCTTTGCGCAGCGCGCGGATGGCCGCCTCAGTGTCGTCGCGCAACCGCGCCTCCTCCTCAAAGCGCTCCTTGAGCCGGTGGATGTCTTCCTCCAGGTGGTCCGAGTCCAGCTGCACCTGAGCCTTCTCGTGGTTCACCATCTCCAGGGTGGCGCGCAGCTCGCGGATCTCCTGGTCGTACGCGTCGCCCAGCTGGGCGTGCGAGGCCTGCTTCTGCCGCAGCGCCTGGATCTCCGCCTCAATCTCCTTATTCTGCTGCTCCAGGTAGTGCACCTTCTCTATGTAGCCGGCAAAGCGGTCGTTCAGCCCCTGCAGCTGCTCCTTCTCGTTGGAGCGGGACAGCTTGTAGTCGCCGCCGGGTCCGGAGCCGCCGTTGAGCAGGGACGAGGACTGGCTGAAGTCAAGGCTGCTCTCGGCGGAGCTGAGCATGGCCGAGCTGTAAGCGAGGCGCGGGGCGAGCATGCTGCGCTTATAGGAGGAGGACACGGTGCTGGGCGAGCCGCGGGACCACGACTGCGAGCGGAAGCCACTGGACGGGGAGCCGCTGACGCGGCTGAAGCTCGAGCGGGTCTCGGTTACCCGCCGGTAGGCGGACGGGTTGCCCAGCGAGTCCAACGTGTAGCTCATCTTGGAGGCCTTGGGGCGTGTGGCTGTCACAGCGTTCTGCCGGCCTCGCCGCAGCCCATTTATAGCCGCGGCGCTGGTCCCGGGCCAGGGCCCCGCCCCGTGGAGGCGGCGGCCGAGGAGGCGGGGACTGCGGGCACCGGTCGGGGAGGAGGGGAGGGGGGCGGCTGAACGGTGATTCAGCGCCCGCTCCACGTGGGCCCAGGCCGCATGGGAACCTGGACTTTTCTGCCCTGGGCCCAGCCCCTCCCCCAGGTCCCCTTTCAGTCCCAGGCTACTTGTAGCCGGGCATTCGCCTTCTTTCCATTTCTCACCTCCCGATTGCGTTTCGCACCCTTGGTGCGAATATCGCCAGCGCCCTTTCTTTGTCACTGTCCCGCCGTTCAGGCAGCGCTTCCCCGACCCCGTGGTCCCCTTGTTCTTTAGCCTTCTACCCTCTTATCCTCAAGGCTTTCTCTTATTTTGCCCTTTCCCTGATACTTTTTTCTTTACCCATCTTCTGTGCTTAATTTCATCCCCTTCTTTTTTGGCCCCTCTTCTCCTTCCTACTCTGGCCTTTAGTCCAGTTCACCCTGCCCTTCTCTCAGCCCCTTCCTCGGAGATCCTTTTCTTCCAATCTTTCCTTCTCCCCGTCTCCTCCCTCCTTCCCCTTGCATTCCCTCTTTTCCCCTCCCCCACCCTCATCTTTTCTTGCCTCCCTCCCCTTCCCCCACCCCTTGTCTTAAAGCAGCTGGAGATGAGCGCCGAGGAGCTGGGTCTAGAAGACAAAACAAAACAAAAAAAAAGACTTTGCGGAACGGTCTGCCTGAAGGCTTCGGGAAGGGGACAAAGAGAACAGGCCGGGGTAGTTATTTGTATAAAAAGTGGGATATGGCGTTTTTAACGTTTGGGGGACGTCCGCAGCTTCCGCAGGGGCAGAAGGTAAGGCGCTTGTGCTCGCTATGGCGCCGGCAGCACCAAGGACAGCGCCCAGGTCGGCGAGTGGGAGGTGCAGCCACCCGGGGGGCTTGTCACCCAGCCTGGCCTGTCAGGTTGGCAGGGGGCAGGGGGTTCCCTTCCCCCTCTTCTCTCCGAGTAAATACAATTTAAACCTGCCTGTAGTGACTATCTTTGCAGGAGCGAAGCTGGAATCACAGGCTAAGACTTCCCTGCAATGCAGGGTTGGCACAATGGACAGATCGCAGATTTTGAAAACAACCAAAATTCATTAAAGTCAGTTAACAGAAATATATACTTGTAGCCCAGTTTGAGTTTTCTAACATATGGTGGTATAGGAAATGAAGAGATACAGGGCCTGAAATGTGAAGGTCAAATACTCCTTGGAAAGGAGAATTTGAAATCTGTTGGGATGAAAAGTCCAGGGAAATATAGTTTTTCTTAAGTTTGGACACAGACAATTGCCTTGTCATCTTTCGGTTCAGTATTCCCTATGTGTAACTGCAATGATTGAAAAGGCATCTGAATTAACTTTAAATTGATTTAAAAGTTGCGGAACAGAGTCACCACAACCTTGAATAAAATCAGATGTTTTCCCTTCATTTAAAATGTAATATATTTTTCGCTTTAGATTTTAATGATTGATTTGGAATAGATTTTCTATATCATTAAACATGTTTATGCAAACAAGAACTCTACACAGACTTCTTGCTGTCTGGTGTACTCCTGTTAAAATGTCCCTTTATTTTGGGTAGTGCTTTGGGGGTAATTCAGGTTAAAAAAGTTCAGAATACTACAAGATAAAGTGAAGAAGAGATTGCAGAACTAACAACAGCGCTGGGGCCACAGGTACAAGTGACTGAATGTGCAACGCTTGCTATGGGTGAGAAGAAACTACTGCTTATAAAAAGTAGGGACTCCAGACCGAAATAGCTTCTTTTCACAGCATGTTTCCTTAAGTCCCTGTTTTATTAAAAGACAGGATCATATTCATCAGTAAGTAATCAGGAAAGGGGTGGGTTTCTAGAGGTTTTATTTTTTATTTTTATCAGCTCCCTTGGCCCATCTGTATTAAAATAGAAATAATGTTTTAAACAGGAGGTGCTAATTTTGGGAGTTACTTTGGTTTATTAATATGAAACTGCAGTATCGCAGGCCATGTAGGAGAAGGATGTTCTAGTTTGCTGAGAGACCTTAGGCAAGCAGAGCCCATCCATGTCTTGAGTTGTTGAGAGAGACAGATGATGGAATGAGGGGACTGACTTGTGAATACTGTAAAAACAGGATTTTCTGGTTTTATGTAGATAAATAAAGGCAAGGAGAAAGAAAATTCCCTGCCTTCTGTAAAGTATTGCGGATGTCAGGCTGGACTCAGCAGGATACCATCTAGATAAGGCCAAATGCTAATTATGCAGTAATTTTGCCTTTGTTGCTTATTACTTTCTGCTTTTATTGAAATATATAAAAATCCTTGGCAATTTCATGGTGCACATTCACTGCAAACTCTGCAATGAGAGTACATGGTTAACCGGCAGCCTTCTGCTGTTAATTTTCTTTAGGGCTTTGGAAACGAGATGACTCTGCAGAGAGACATTTACAAGGAAACACATGTCTAACTTCACAATTACCCAGTTTTGCCTTGTATCTGAAGTAGCTGAGAAATTGTTCAGCTTCCAGCTGGTTACAGAAGGAGGAAAGTGTTGCGTACAAACAAAATAAGTCAGTTACTCAGGCTACATCTAGTGCCTATAACTTAAAATTGTAACTTCAATGTCACATGATATATTGTTCAATCTGGGCACTACAGGATAATGCAAAGAATTAAAACAGTTGTTTTATTAAGAAAAAACAGTTCCCATGGCTTAAAAAATGATGGATCCAGTTTCACATTTAGCAAAATGTTTTCTTTTATATTAAACTCTTCCACTTTAACTACTCTTCCTAAAGGTGATTTGAAGGTTATACCCATCAGTAAATTTAGTATGAAAACTTTTTTTAAAAAGCTATAAAAGATGTTTTTC
The DNA here is from genome assembly GCF_000001405.40 of Homo sapiens. Taxonomy (NCBI): domain Eukaryota; kingdom Metazoa; phylum Chordata; class Mammalia; order Primates; family Hominidae; genus Homo; species Homo sapiens. The sequence continues at coordinate 24,910,839 of NC_000008.11, read as the reverse complement.
CCTTTTTGTCTCATAGTTTTGAAGAATATTTACCATCTTAATAGTTTTCACAGAAAGAAATGCTTTTGCATTTTTTTAAACCCTAAGAACACTAAGGCTATGAAATCTTCTCAAAATATTAAAAAGAGAGAAAACAATCATGGCAACTCACCCGGATTAACCACACTGCATTCATGGAATTAAGTTTGACTACGATACTTTTGTAATTTATTCTAAATAGAAAAGTTTCTCATATGATTTAGATGTAAGACATTTTAAATGAAATTATCTCTGAATTGTTGTTTCATAAGCTACAGTCTGTTTTGAATCACTTTATAGAGAAATACAAGGCATGCTCCAATCTATATGTTCCTTCAGTAGGGAAAGTGAAAATGTTAACTTTGCAGCTAAGAGATGATAGCCACTGTCAGGTTTTGTAGGGTGTCATCTAATACTGGGAAAATATCATTTGCAAAGGTGGTATATTTACTGGGTCATAAAATAAAGATAAAAAATAAGGAGTTAGGCATTTTCTCCCATCTTTCCCTATTTCCTTACATTTCTTCTTTTAAATAGCATTTTTGGATATAAAAAAATGCAAGGAGGATGGGATGTAGGAACTGGATAGCAAGAAAGATACTCCAGATGGACAACGTCACTTTCAAATTGGTAGGCTGAATCCATCCAAGATGAGATGATCTGTACTTTCTTTCAACCTATTGTGTCTTGAACTTAATCCGTTTGCCTGGGATCTGGTTCTAGAACTCATAATAATTATTTATAACCTGTCCTCTGCTAATTGTTTAAGGGGTTGTTGATGTAGGAAGCTAGGGACTTAGTCTGCCGAAGCAGGAACACAAGAAAAAGGAAGCTATATTACATATTTCTACTTGATCCTCAGGATGTCAAACTTTAAAAGCAGTGTTGACTTTTGATTTTGTTGTTGTCAAGAGTTGAAAGCAAAATAAAAATATTCTCAGGGGAGAAAGACTGTTTCTTGTCAGGGAAATTGGGATGTATATGTATGTCCCTATTGTCTTTGATCAAAACAAATCCATCTAGACCACAGTGTTCCTTTTCTGTCATTAGGCCACTGAAATGGTGTTTGTTTCCCTTGCCAAATATTTTATTCTTTGAATATTGCCTTCTATTTGTCAGTTACTGTTATGATGAAGTTAATTGAAGTATTTACAAAACTTAAAACATTTAATCTTTATTATATTCCAAATGTTAAATTAATCAGTTTTAAAATTCTATATCTGGAAATTTCATGTGTGTGGTGGGGGAAAATTTAGCTTTTGGCTTTAACATAGCTTGCTGATTTTTTTGCTGTGTAATGCTTTCACCTCTCCACTGTGAATCCTTTCTGTGAAAGCCAGGGGAGAAAGATTTAGAATTTTAAAAAAGTACTTAATAGAGCCTTGGTAAAAGTGACTCTAAAAATAAAGTTCAGTAGATGCATAATAAAAGAGTACTCCTGTATTAATTTTCAGCATGTTTTTAACTGAACCCATTAGCTTTACCTATAAAGCAGCAACAGATGTTGATGATATGCACTTGAATTTTGAAAACCCTGCCTTGCACGTAACTGCACCAGTGCAGCTATGAAATATTTATGACATATTTTATCCCAAGCTTACCAAGGCCTGACTTAGCAAGAGACATAATTCTTTTATTAGAAACTCTTAATTAAAATGAGCTTCGTAAAACTAGAGCAGATCAATGATCTTTGGACCAAATTTCTGAAAAGAGCTAAACCTGGGAACAGAAAGTCACAAAGAAGCCCCACCTAATAATTCAGTCTCATTGTCCCAGGACTGGGTGATTTTTTTTCAATCTCTGCAAATTTGAAAATCAATATTCTTTCATAATCCTTTGAAAATGGGCTCACTGTCATAGCTCTGTCTTGTCACTTAGCTTATTAAGAAGAGCATCTATTTTAGAATACTTAACTCACTTTTTTGGTTAAAATTTATATATATATGGAGTGTAGAAATTTGCAAAATGGAGAGAGACAATAATTTAAGTATTTTCTTCTAGTCTTTTTCTCTGTAACTTAAATATAAATAGGATCTTTCTGTTTATATAATCCCATGCCCTGTTTTGTAAAGTAAATATATCTGAATAAGTAGTGTGCTATCTTTAGAGGAAAGAACATGGTCCTGTTTGCCATGAGAGCTGGACTGTAGCTCGGTATTTAACTTGAATTTTTCTCTTAAAAAAGATTTGGAAAGACTCTTTAGATCAAGAATGATAAAATAATAATAGCAATAATTAATAACAATAGTAGATCGAGAAAGCCTAATCAGGACTGATATTAATTTCTGTCTCTTTTCTGCCTGCCTGTCTCTCTCTTTGGTTATTGAGAGGAATGTCATCATGAAGCTGAGGGCGGTGGTGTGACAGCTGGAGGTGGTAACTTGTAATAACTTGTAATGTGGTCTAGTCAGGCCTAAATACTGTGTTCTTTTACACTTAGTAGTACCCTAAATCCCAAGCCATCATCATCACCACCACCATCAGACTTTTACATTTGGACAATGCTTTATATCAAAGAAGCAAAGCAAAACAAAACAATGTATTCTCATCTGAGCTGTGCACAAATTATTATTTCCATTTTAGAGTTGATTAAATTGCTGATTTGTCCAAGGTCACACATCTGGAAAGCAGTGGAGCCTAGGCCAGAACTCATATCTTCTGACACCCATGCCAACATTAGAACAAGTTTCTTTAGTAGAATATAAAATCCAGTCTCAATGAGCATGAAAAATAAAAGTAGGTGGATCATAGTCATATCAATAAAAATAACTGGTATTTATTAACTACTCACTAGATGCTTGGCACTGTGCCAAAACTTTACAGAGTTCTCTCATTTAATCATCTTCACAACCCTTTGAGATGACACTTTTGTGGAAAGTGCAATTGAGCACAGAGGCACAGGGAGGTTAAGTACCACACACAGCTTGGAGGTGGTGGAATGAAGACAGGAATTTAGGAGACTCTGACTCTGGAGGACAGTCCTCAGCATGATCATCAGTAGGCCATACCCACGTTAAAAATCTCATTTAAAAGCTAATTGTTGAACTGCTAGGTCATATTAAAAAGATTAAAGGGCCAGCTGGGTGCTGTGGCTCATGCCTGTAATCCCAGCACTTTGGGAGGCCGAGGCGGGTGGATCACGAGGTCAGGAGTTCGAGATCAGCCTGGCCAACATAGTAAAACCCCGTCTCTACTAAAAATACAAAGATTAGCTGGGCATGGTGGTGCGCGCCTGTAGTCCCAGCTAGTTGGGAAGCAGAGGCAGGAGAATCGCTTGAACCTGGGAGATGGAAGCTGTGGTGAGCCAAGATCGCGCCACTGCACTCCAGCCTGGGCAACAGAGCAAGACTCTGTCTCTCAAAAAAAAAAAAAAAGATTCAAGGGCCACTATACATTCTTTTGCTGCATTTTTACTATTTATATAAAAATAAAACATTTTTGTATTTTTTCAGCTAAACATTATTTCATCGTTTCTGACTTTATTAAAGACATTAAGAATAAAAACATTGAATTACTTGTCTTTGTTATATCATATTCTAAATTAATTTTCTATGTAATTTGAAGTACATAAAATTCATTCGGCTAGTCCATGCTCTATGGATGATATCTCTAATCATGTAGCTATTATTTTTTCTGGTATATATTTATCATTCACATTTATATTCACTTTTGGTTTGGTTTTTGGGAGATTTTTAATTTGTACTATACATTAATTTATCATGATATCATTTATTTACATTTATGTATATATTTATACACAGTTGAAAAGACAATCTTTTAATCATGTATTCACAATTTTTCGTAGATGTCAGACTCTTTAAACTAAATCTACTTTGAGAGATCCAATAACAAGCTTTTGAATCTTGGCAGAAGAAAAAGCTTGGCCCACAATCTTCAGCAGCGAAGGTTTACAATAGGATTGTTGGCAAGGAAGCAGCTTTTAAAATCTATTAAAATAGTGAGGAGCCAGACGTGAATAATTTTAAGTGAATCTCTTGATCATCTATTTTATATACTAAAATCAGGGTTATGTGACTGTACTTACATAGGTTGCCTAGAGACCAGTCAGCCTTCATCCATTTTTGTTATTTATGGGACAAAGTGCTCTGACTCAACCTTATTTTCATTTGTATAAATCTGCGTTGGTTTCTACTTTATCAGATAGGGTCAAAGAAGAGAACCGTTTCTCATTTTTCCAGAGCAAAAGTTGGCCTTGAAAAGAAACATCTATGCTATACTAGTCATGGCAGCAAGCAGCTTCTGTCTGGATCTAGATTACCTAAAATTATTAAGGAATGAATGCCTAGTGATAAAAATCCTTCCTCAGCCAACGTGACTCATTTCATACAATTTGTTGTGTTTTCTCTTGCCTCTTGGTAATATCTGTGGCCCCTTCTCTCATGCTCTATATACCTTGGAAACCTGCACTTTTGGAAACTCTAAAGGGTGAGACACTTGTGTACTTTCTTGCACAAGGTACACTCATGTTACCACCAAGCCATTTGAAGTTTAGTGAAGACCCTATATCATATTAGCGAAACTCTTCTCCTTCTGGCTAGCCAGTCTCTTGCATGCTTCCACGACCGGGTCTTAGGAAACCTCTAGTTACCCTTCCCTGTTTTTGACCCATGCATTCCTCCTCTCAGTCCCTGAACTTGATTGCCTGTGGTCTAGTTGGGTACTACCACCTGCTGGTCATTTAGATAATGTCTCAACACTGACCACAAAATTCTAACTGCAGTCTTACCTATATTTGTACATCCCACAGTGTTTTACTGATAGTGAGTGCCCAATAAATATTTGTTGTGCAAATGAGTAAATGAAGTTCTATCTTTTTCCCCCTAAAACTTTCATTCAACAAACAATGTCTTCAGTATCAGGCACTGTGCTGGCCACTGGGGAAACATGAAAGGCAGGATCTTAGCTTGGATGGACACAGTCTACTGGAGGATTCAGGCAAGTAAAGACCTAGTTACCTCGAGGGAACTGTCCCTAACATAGCTAGAGGTAAACAACACGTGTCATGAGAGCACAGAGGATGGGCGAGTAAACCAATTGGTAAGAGAGGAGGACCCTCTGTGAGAGCTTTCTGGAGCAGACAGCATCTAAGGTAAGTTTTGGGGCATAAGCAGGAATTGTATAGGGAAGAAGAGGAGGGGAGGGCAGGCACAGTGTCATCAAAAACCTGCAAGTGACTGAAATAGCAGGGAGCATACCAGAATAGAGGGACGGGGTTATGTAGTACAGGCTGGAACGCATGAGACACAGAGTCCAGGCTGGAAAGAAGCGGGGGACGTGTAGCTCAGGAGAGAAAGGAAGCATTTAGCCAAGGTTGACAAGACAGAGAACATGGAGACCAGGCTGGAGAGGGAAGAAGAGGAGAGGCCATAGGGGGCTTCCTGTGTCATGACCAGACCTTTGCATTCATCTCATAGCTGATTAGAGGCAGTTGAGTATTTAAGAGGGATAGTGATCTGGTCAGACTGGTTTGTTAGAAAAATCACTTTGGCAGAGGCGAGTGGAATACTTTGGTGGGTGAAAGGGATCAGAAGGTGGAAAATAAACTTGGAGACTATGGCAGGAATCCAGATGAGATTAGAGGAAGATGCAAATTAAGAAAGGTGGATGAGAAGAGGCAGGTACTACTAGAGTGGAATGGAAGGGCTTGGGGGCAGAGGGAGACGGCGATGCCATCCCCTGCATTTATTTCCTGTTTCTGCTGTAACAAGCTGCCACAAACCTGCTAGCTTAACAGAACACACATTAATTCTCTTACAGTTCTGGAGGTGAGACGTCTAAAATTGGTCTCAGTGGGCTGAAACCAAGGAGCGGGCAGGCTGCGTTCCTTCCGGGGGCTCTGGGAGGGAATCCCCCGCCTTATCTTCTCTGGTTTCTAGGGGCCACGTGCATTCTTTAGCTCATGGCCCGTTCCTCTGTTTTCCAAACCAGCAACGCAGCATCTTCTTGCCTCACTGACCTCTGCTCCATCTCACATGCCCGTCTCTCACTCTGACCCCCCTGCCTTCTCTAAGACCCTTGTGATGACACTGGCCCCCTGATAATCTATATTAATTTGCTAGGGCTGCCATAACAGACTCAGTGGCTTAAACAACAGAAGTTTATTTATTTATTTATTTATTTATTTATTTATTTATTTTTTACAGTTCTGGAGGCTGGAAATCTGAGATCAAGGTGTCAGCAGGATTGATTTCTTCTGAGGCCTCCTTAGGTTGTGTAGGTGCCGTCCTCTCCCTGTGTCTTCACATGGTCTTCCTGCAATGTGCCTGCATCATAATTTTCTCTTCTTATAAGGAACCTAGTCATTGGATTAGGGCATATCCTAAGGACCTCATTTTAGTTTAACCACCTCCTTAAAGGCCCTATACATATTCAGAGGTACTGGGGGTTAGGGCTTCAGCATATGAATTTGGGTGTGGACACAATTTGGCCCATAACAGGATTCTTATCTTAATCACATCTGAGAAGTCTCCTTTGCCATGCAAAGTGACATATTCATGTAGTGTGGGGAATGGATGTGAACACCTTTAGAGAGGGGCCATTTTTCAGCCTAATACATCCCCCAAAATATAAAGTACAGGAGAAAAACCAAGTCTAGGGGTTGAGGCTGGATGCTGGAATTTATGTATGCCAAACCTGTGATGCCTATGAAGCAACCAAGGAAAGAATCTTCCAGGTGATTGAATTTCCTTGACTATAGAGAAAGGCACTACTCTCCACTCTGTGTACTGCATACAGTGTAGGGCCTAGTTATATATTAGGCTGGTGCAAAAGTAATTGCAGTTCTCATTGAAAGTAATGGCAGGCTGGGTGCAGTGGCTCACGCCTGTAATCCCAGCACTTTGGGAGGCCGAGGCGGGCAGATTACGAGGTCAGGAGATCGAGACCATCCTGGCTAACACAGTGAAACCCTGTCTCTACTAAAAATACAAAAATTAGCTGGTCATGGTGGCACGTGCCTGTAATCTCAGCCACTCGGGAGGCTGAGGCAGGAGAATCACTTGAACCAGAAAGTTGGAGGTTGCAGTGAGCCGAGATCGCACTACTGTACTCCAGCCTGGTGACAGAGTGAGACTCCATCTAAAAAAAAAAAAAAAAAGAAAAGTAATGGCAAAAACCACAATTATTTTTGCACCATCCTAATACAGTACTTTTCAATGATTTTCTTACCCCAGTTGGTCTTAGATTCCTAGCTAGATTGCAAGCCCGTTGGTGCTGTTGTCTTGTTACTCTGTTGTGTCTAAACCACTCCAAACTTCATTTTCTTAATTTGTGAAACAGCAATAATAATAGTACCTATTTCATAATGTGGTTTTGGGGGTTAAATAGTGTGTATAAACTGCTAGTGCCTTTGACAGTGCCAGATAAACAGTAGTTATTATTATTATAATTATGATGCTCATAAACCTCCCCTATAGTGGTTGGCATCGCTCTGGGCGTGTGGTAGGTTTTCATGTGCTAACGAGACGTATATCACATAACCTTTTCATGAAGAGTTTAAAGACTTGTCAGAGAGATAAGAATTTACCTAGGGTAAAAGAGAAGGAAATTGATGTGCTTTAGCTCACCAGGTTTGGCAACAAAAATGTTAGAATGAAGATAATTAGAGACCTATTCAGCCACAGTGTTATTGGGTGCTTGATTTTAGGCACACAGTTCAATATCAAGATAAGAGGAAAAAAATTATTTTTGCATAAGACCGAGTATGTGCATGTATCTAACAGGACACCCCTTCTTTCCCCTGCACTCAATTTTTTGCATATGGACATACATAATGAGATAGAAAGTTGCCAGGTTGCAGATTCTTTCTTTTGTAGGAGCTACGTGTTGCCTTAAAGTGAACAGATCATGTTACCCTGAATCTGCATTTAGCCTTGAATATAGATGAACTCTTTTGTCTCAGTGACACAAGTGACAGATCTGGCAAAGCACAAAGCTGAAGTTGCAAAAAGATATAGACAACAGATTATACCGTAACAAGCATTTGGTATAATCTATGAATTTTTTGATAACCTAAATCCTAATTTTCTTGCTAATATAACACTTAGATTCTTATCCATTTTGAATGCTTAGGTTTATGCCTTTCATGTTTTTTATTTATAGGCAGATCCTATCAATAGATGAGAATCAGAGAGAAACAATAAATACATTTTAGCAAAAATAGTGTGGAGGGAAAATAGTTATTTTTCACAACATGTTTCATGTGAAAATATCTGACAGACAGCTTATTTTTTTTTTGGCAAATTGCTAAGGATCCAGAAGGATTAGAAAGTCCTCTTCCTCATGTCATTTGTCTAAAATACTAATTGTCAGAACACTCCAAAACCTCCTGTGCTTGCCAGAGTTTTTTTTATTTTATTTTTATAATCAGAAAAAAATACAGTAATGTGCAAATCTGGATGCAAATTACCTCCTGTTTAATTACATTATAGGTGTAAATTACCCCCAATGCCAAACATTTCTGCCCTGGGTTCCAGAACTGTGTGTTGCAATTACATCTTTCGTGCTCCTTTAAATTTTGCAGTGGTAACAAATGTGTAATACCAATAATTATGAAAACCACTTGCTATGTGCAGCTAATTTAAAATCTAGGTTCAGGATTCTATATTTGAAATGTGAAATTCAACCCTGTCAAATTTCCATCAACACTTAAATCTAAATGGTTCTTCTGTTCACAATGTCAGAAATAAGAAGTGACAAAGTTACCAAAGGCAAAGACTAAGACTCTGGGAATCAGTGAACAGGACAGCATCAGAAGGTTCCGTGACCTTGAACTTCCCTTGGCCTTAGTTTGCTCATCTGCCTAATGGGAGATGATATCTATTCTACTTAAATGAAACTGCTTTTTCAAAGACTAAGTGAGATCTTGCATTAGTTGGGTAAAAAGGCTAAGCTGATTAACGAGAGACCCAATATTACAGTGGCTAAAAGAACAAAGAAGCTTATTCTTCTTTTGTGTACTGATCCTGGTGGGGAGGTGGCCTGTTTTGTACTGTGTGGTCATCTTGGGGTTCTAGTTGGAAATGCGTCCACTATATCTGGGTTCAGAAAATGAGATTTTAATGAATTGATTGGGCCAGAGGGCATGCTTAGAATTCCGATATTATGGCACTCTGTTCTTCTTGAATGTTTCATCCATTACTCACCCCCTATCCAGATTCTACCCACTAGACCACAGCTCCATTTCTGCTTTCTCAGGAAGACTTCATTGCCTCCTCTCTCCTCTTAAGTTCTCCCAGCATGTAGTTGGCATCATGTGATTTGGTAATTATCCCAGCTCGTATTGTTTTATATTGCATATGCAAAGAAATCTTGTTCCTGCAATTAAACTTTAGGCTCTTTAAAGGCAAGGACCTCTTCTTACTGCTGCTTTATCCTTTTCCACTTTCCTCTTCTCACTGGGTATAAAAATAACATGCAATGTACACGTCTTATAAATAGACATATCGAATTAAACAAAATCAAAGAGCACATTAGAGCTGTGATTTCCTAGACTCAGAGGAAACAGAGGGTTTTGACCCTTTTCCTTGTTTTTTATTAATAACATGGTTAGGTTTGCTTAAGTTTAGATTTTGGATTCCTGATGTCCTGATCAGACTTCTCTATGATATCACTTGGGAACTCTTTCCTAAGTCCCGAAGTGTAGGTCAGGTAGTCTAAAAACAAGCTGGCAAGAGCCTGGAATTGTGGCCCTCCAGGTATGTGGCTTGCACTAGAATTAATTGTTGACAATGGCACTTCTGGATTCTCTCCATATTTCTGCTTGTCCCCTGTATTATGAAGGCTGTATACAGCCACATCACCTTTATAAAATACATTTTAACTAGAAACAATCACGGGGATAATTATGCATTTCTGCATTTCATTTACATAGTCAATGGCCAATTAATGTTTGGTGACCAGATGGTAAACTGGAAAGTAATTGATCTTTTCCAATCAATATGTGGAAAACAGTTGACTTTGACCTTTTGGATTTGCTTATCTTGAGGTGTTGTATATACCACAAGCTGGGCATTACAGGCACCCATCAATTACATCGATTGCCCTTTTGATTTTCCCTTGCTGCTGAGCTGGAGTTGAAATCATGCATTGTATCTACTCTAAGCTGGTTTGCACAGAGGAAGAGAAAAAAGGAGGAAGTACTTTGGTGAGTGTTGATGTTTGCTAGGGACCATTGTGGACAGCTTGAACCTCAGTTTTCAGAGGAAGACTAAGAGGGGACGCCTTAAAAACTAGTGGTTTCTCTCAAGGAATCTGCCTCATTCCTGAGTGTCAAGGACAGTCGTAATGGGTTCCAATCACGCATTGCCTCTGAAATCAAAGTGCAGCATTTGATATCTTGACTGATTTCTTCTTGGCCTGTAACTCTGCTATTTTAGACAAATCTGCGTGGGCTCTTGATAGACAGGTAGTAAAAATAGCAACTGTGTCACATGTAACTTTTTCTAATTAAGCATTTACATCACATTTTGTATTTCTAAAGTGATTTGGAAGCACTCAGATTCTTTGCCAGTGACGATGCTTTTGTGAGCCATATTGGTGAAAGCATTTTAAAGCTACCTTAATGTAAAAGAGATTTGAGTGAGCAGCATTGGAACCCACTCTTGGGTCCTAGTTTTTTTTTGTTTTGTTTTTGATTTTGAGACAGAGTCTCGCTCTGTCACCCAAGCTGGAGTGCAGTGGCACAATCTCGGCTCACTGCAAGCTCTGCCTCTCGGGCTCAAGCTATTCTCCTGCCTCGGCCTCCTGAGTAGCTGGGATTACAGGCATGTGCCACTACGCCCGGCTATTTTTTTTTTTTTTTTGTATTTTTAGTGGAAACGGGTTTTCACCATGTTGGCCAGACTGGTCTTGAACTCCTGACCTCGTGATCCACCCACTTTGGCCTCCCAATGTGCCAGGATTACAGGCGTGAGCCATCGCTCCTGTCCGGGTCCTACTTTTTCTTAGCTCCTGATTTGCTCTGCTTCAATTGATAAAGGAAAATGTGGAGTCTGAGGATGCAGAAAAGGCCTTTGAAAGATTAATTGACTCTAGGCGTAATGGTAACAAAACGGTTCTAGGTAGATGAAAATTATCTTGCTCTAAAAAACTATTTTAAGAGGAGAAGTCTACATTTGAATTAAAAAGAAGCATTTTCTTAAGTGGGTGAATAAAAGGCTGCTAAAAATACAGGAGTATCTCTTGGGGTAATGCTAACTAAATACCTCATTAAAAATCACAATGTAGAAAATTTACCCCCAGAAACGTTGATACCTTTCTCCTTGGAACCTAATGAAAGATCCTGAAACATTATTATTTATCCCATTCTTTTCCATCTAGTTTATAAGAAGATAATTATTTCCTTTCATGTACTATTCCTCTGGTTTCACTTTTGGTCATTGTTCATCATATTTTGGGATAACTTGTAGTTCTTACAATTTAAAAATTACCTCATTTTTTTTCTAGTGCCTAAAGCCTTTCTTTGCCTTGTACCAATTAGGTCACTAAAATAAAAATTGTTCCAAAACATGGTTATTTGTAATTTGAGCCACCTCACTGCTCAAATCACTCCGTGATTTTTGTCAATTTCATCTTAATAAACTGCCTCACATAATTGTTTTTTAATTCACTCGCTCATTTATTCATTCAGTCAAACAGTCAGTTACCATTCCTTGGAGTCCTATAATGATTAATATGTTGGGCTGGGAGCTGTGGGTTTTTCCCATAGGCCCCAGGGTGAAGGGCTGGAAGTTAAAAAGTTTAAATCTGAATATTGTCAGATAAGTTTCTGATTGTCAATGAAGGGTTGTTTCTTTTTCAGAATGTAAAAGTGACTAAGTATAGAGTCCTTCTACAGTTCAAAGCAAATGCTATCCCATTTTCTCTTACAGTATGCTAGACAGTGTGGTCATCATTGGAAAATTAGAAACAAATGTTACTTAACCTCTGTTCTGAAGAAGCCACAGTGGAGACGACATTGTGATATCATTAGGTGGAGAACTCCAGCTAGGAGCAATATATAGAAAGGTCAATCATGTTTGAGACACTTTATGTAGATTTGCTTTAATCCTCCAGTTGACACTGTAAGGCCAGTATTGTTGTTCCCATTTTAGAGATAAGAAAATAGGCTCCAAGAAATGTGTCACAGCTAGTAAACCAAAGAGCTGGAACTGGAACACATTTTTCTCACATATATGATTTTTCTTGTGGATTCGTCAGTTCACGCCAATCTGGGGAATACTCTGGAGTTAGCATGACAAAAATAAAACACAGTCTGTATTTTTCTGGTTCCTTCCTATAAGCCCGGAGCCTAGCCCCACCCCTGCTCAAGTCTTCTATCTGGATCAAGTGACATGATCAGATGGGTGAGTGTGTGTATTTGGGGGCTGGTGTGGATATAAGGGTGGGCTGGGAAGAGGTGCGTGGGCATTTTCTCTAGTTTGTGAGTGCTACCTTCACTCATTCATCTATTGGAGCACGTCCATTCCTCCCTCACTGAAGCCATTTTTCCTTTGCACTTCTGCAGTCTCTGTGCGGAGGCTGGTGGGTGGAATTATCCTATGCCTGCTGGGTCGATATGCTCAAGTGTAATTTGGCCACAAACCCACATGGTCAGTTTTGTTCTGAAAATCTGCTGATTTTCATATGTTGCTTCTCTCATCCTAGGATTATGCCATTTTCCGGAGGGTCACTGGGCTGGGAGATCATCTGAGAATTCCCACAGCATGATGAGCTTAAAAACCACTGAAGTTGCATAAGCCCCCAAAGCTACAAGATTTATGTACTCTGACTTCTCCTTTTTAGGTGATCAAGGGGTTAGGAGGTTGAGTGAGAGGAATGAGTCTACCAACGTGGGTAAAATACAGACCAGTACCTGGGTAGATCTGGATATACAGGGGGCACATAGCTTGGTGTATGTTCTGGAATTCAGTTTACTAGTTTGAAGCCTACTTTCATTTTGTAAGATGGTAAATTACAGACATTAAGTTGTAAGAGCTTTTACGTCTTTATGGATAAATGGACCCTGAGTACTAAATTTTGACCTTGAACTGCTTAAGACTTCTCCAGGATGATCTGCTGATCAGTAGCACTCAAATATCTGAAACCAAACTCTTGGTCTTCTCTCACCACTCTTCCTTTCTCTATTCATGTCACCATCATTTTCCCATCATTCTTGTCTGAAATCTGGGTATCCTATTTGATGCTTCCCTTCCTAGTTTTCCTACCATCAAATCTGTGGTCTAGTCCTGTCGTTACATAGATAACATTTCTTCCTAGACTTCACTCAAGATGTATCTGTCAGATAACAAAAATGTCCTCAGCATCAAGGCAGATTTGGGACCGGCACACTGTGTGTCAAGACAGTCCACCGACAGTATCTATGTCAACAGGGACAGAGAATGACCTGCCCACTCCTAGTCTCTTTATGCAAAAGACAGCCTGAATAATCAACTTCTTGATGTTCTTCTACGTTTTCTGAATTTTTTTTTTTTTTTAGGGGAAAACCCTCTTCTTGATATTAGCAGGGCTTGTCCATTTATGCCTCTGATCCACATAGAATGCTTTGTCTGGCCAAATCATAGGCTCTTGGCAGCATTAAGAAAATAGATTCAAGATCATCTGGTCTCAGTTTGTACGTGAAAAAATGGAAACGTTAAATGACTTGTTCAGGTGTATTTACCTAGAAAACAGTTGATTTTGGAATCCAAATGCCTGTCTCCTAATTCCAGAGATGGGACTTTGTTTATTTGACACCCACTTTTGTTTATCTTCTAAGTTGCAGTGTGAGGAGTGCAGTGCAGTATGTGATGGAAGAGAACCAGCATGTATGTGGTGGGGTGAAAGACAGACAGAGGTGTATGAATTCACATTCTTCTGCTATGCACAGTCAGCTATGGGCACCTGTAAGTACAGTCTCCAAGGCCACTTTGCTCATATGTAAAAAAAAAGAAAAGAGAAAGGAAAGCACCAGGCTTTCTTTCTCAGTTTTCTTTTTGCTATAAATATCAGAGCCATAGAAACCCTTTATTTATCAAATATTTATTGAATCAGCTCTGTGACAGGCACCGTGAGAGGAGCCGGAGATGCAGACTTGAGTAAAGACGTCTCAACCCCCAGGAGTTCAAAGCCTAGTTCACCTTCTCCTCACACTCATTGAAGACAGACAAATCTTAATTTGTAAAAAGCCTGATTTATTGAACAGAATAATGACAATTGAGAGGTGGAAGGGGTCTTAATATATATTATTTAGTCTGAACTTATAATTTCACAGGTAAGGAAACGGGCCATAGCAAAGTTCTGATCTTCCAAAAGGCCAGAACTTGCTTCTTAGCATTTGAGTTAAACCTAGAATTCAGACTTCCTGGCTCCTAGGCACGATTTTTACAATTATACTCTATTTACCTCAAAGTGGGCTGAGAAAATGGCTGAATAGCTGTTTTCAGAAACGGAAAAATCAAGTGAGAAACTGAAAACAAAAACCCATGACTGGCCCCTGTAGGCAGAGTTGAGTGGGGTCTGGACACAGTTTGTAGTTTGTTTTTAAGTTTATCAGGAATTTCTAATGTGCAGCCTATGTTGAATAATGATGATAGTAGAAGCTATACAGGATATAAAGTGAATAAGACATCTCTTGATCTCCAGAGACTCCTTTTATTTTATTTTTTAAAGGACAGGGTCTTGCTCTGTCACCCGGGCTGGAGTGCAGTGGCATAATCATGGCTCACTGCAGCCTCAAACTCCAGGACTCAAGAGATCCTTCCACCTCAGCCTCCCAAGTAGCTGGGACTACAGGTGCATGCCACCACACTTGGCTAATTTTTAAATTTTTTGTAGAGACTAGGTCTTGCTATGCTTCCCAGGCTGGTCTCAAACTCCTGGCTTCAAGTAATCTTCCTGCCTTGTTCCCCCAAAGTGTTGGGGTTACAGGTGTGAGCCACCACGCCCGGCCTAGTTGCTCCCTTCTAATGGGAGGAGAGAGATGCCCTTTATGTCTACCATGGCTCTGATAAAAATGTATCAATGTAAAGTAAAATCATTTGCATTTTAATCTTGCCAATTAATTCTGTAGAGTTGTAGCTTTTTACTTTATCAGTGATTGTTTCTTGAAATTGAGTTGGATCTTATTTATATGCCTATATTATGTCTCAATTTTAATAGTAGACTTAATTAGATTTCAAGGATAGAGTTTATTCCACTTTCCGAATGAACTTACTCTCTGATTTAATTATAACATTGGAAAGTTGGGTGGCTCTGGTGAAATGTAGTCTTCCAACTGAAAAAAAAAAAGAAAAGAAAATGAGTATCTTTAAACTATGAGGAGATCAAAGCCTAAACATAATTGATAACAAACATCTTTCAACCTTATCTTCTCTGTTCTACCCGAACTATCTCAGTGTGTTTGGGCTGCTGTTGCAAAATACCATGGACTTGGTGGCTTATAAACAACAGAAATGTATTTCTCACAGTTCTGGAGGCTGGGAAGTTCAAGATCGAGATACCTGGTGAGGACCTGCTTCCTGGTCCATAGACAGCTATCTTCTTGCTGTCTCTTCACATGGCAAAAGGGAAGAGAGATCTGCTCTGGGGTCTGATTTATTTATGTATTTATGTATTTATTGATTTATTTATTTAGAGATGGAGTCTCGCTCTGTCGTCCATGCTGGAGTGCAGTGGCGTGGTCTCAGCTCACTGCAAGCTCCACCTCCCGGGTTCACACCATTCTGCTGCCTCAGCCTCCTGAGTAGCTGGGACTACAGGCGCCCGCCACTATGCCCGGCTAATTTTTTTTGTATTTTTAGTAGAGATGGGGTTTCATTGTGTTAGCCAGGATGGTCTCGATCTCCTGAACTCATGATCCGCCCACCTCGGTCTCCCAAAGTGCTGGGATTACAGGCTCTGGGGTCTGTTTTATAAGGACACTAATCTCATTCATGAAGACTCCACACTTATGAGCTACTCACATCCCAAGGCCTCACCACCTAATGTCATCATACTGGGGGTTAGGATTTCAACATATAAATTTTAGAGGGCACAAACGTTCAGTGAATAGCATCAACCTAGACAACTCTTTAATTATTCATTGGTTTTCTTCCTTGTGGTTAGAGCACAAGTAGGGGTCTTAGGGGTTGAGATGAGGGGCACTTGCTTCATCATGGGACTCTGTCAAATATGTAAAGGAGCAAATTTCCCCTTGTTATCAGTAGCTCCTTAGCTCCCTTGGTTCACACTAAGCTTTCTCTTGACTGCCCATATTTCAGACAGTAACCAGCTACCTTCTGACTTCTCATTCTACATCCATAGTTTACAGAATTTTACTGATATATCACTAAAGAAAACTTTTAGGGTAGGACCCCAAAAGTTACCTATGTGAAGCTGCAAATTAGAAATAAAAACCTGTATGACATAGGTAAACCTTTGCAGTGCTGGTTTCATTAATGCTTACATTAACTGCATGTCTCAAAGTTAAATCTAATCGACTTGTTTAAGACAAAGCCAGCCTGTGGGCTCCGTGGTAAGTCTGTCCTATTCCAAATTTCTTTTTTTTTGAGACGGAGTCTCTCTCTGTCACCCAGGCTGGAGTGCAGTGGTGCAATCTTGGCTCACTGCAACCTCGGCCTCTTGGGTTCAAGTGACTCTCCTGCCTCAGCTTCCTGAATAGCTGGGGTTACAGGTGTGCACCACCAAGCCCAGCTAATTTTTGTGTTTGTAGTAGAGACGGGGTTTCACTCTATTGGTCAGGCTGATCTTGAACTTTTGACCTTGTGATCCGCCTGCCTCAGCCCCCAAAGTGCTGGGATTACAGGCGTAAGCCACCACGCCCGGCTTCCAAATTTCTTAAGCTGGCTACTGTGTACATGGTTTGCTTTCCCAAAATGACATTGTTTGTGAGTTCAAGGACAGATCCTTACTTGAAAACAGCTCTCCGACTGGCTCGTTGGTGGTGTCTGAAACTGTACAGTGAAAGGAACTTTAAAAGCCTGCTATTAGCATAAAGTACTTAATTGAACTTTGACATCTTAGCAGTAGCAAATATTATTATAGAAAAACAAGAGGGATTTGTGATGATATGGATAAAACAGTGATAAGAGACAGGTACTCTGTCTACTTGGTGAGAAAATGTCAGTGACTATCGTAATGATGACTATTGAGAGTACATCAGTTGGGGAAAAAAGAGATTGGAAAAACCTTTGGGAGCTTGGCAATAGCTTGAAAGTCTAGAAAACAGGAATCTTCTGACAGATGTCATGAAACATATTGAGTCAATTTTAGGACTACAATGACTTATTTAAAAATATTTAAAAATATTTATTTGCTATTTCCCTGTAATAATCCATTCCAATTGCATAATCATTTATAACTTACAAATAATTCTTGCTTCACAATTTCATTTTGTCCTGTCGGCATCTTGGTGATGTTAACTACTTCTGTTTTATAGATAAAGAGACTGAGCCTCAGAGACCCTAAATGATGCTTCAAGGCCCCAAGGTCAGTAGAGTAATAAATCTGAGGCCATTTCTCCTAAACGGGGGGGAGGCCAAGGCTTTTCTCACGATTCTGCATTCTGCGGACACTTCAGATGGCTGTAATTTCATGTGAATCTTACTGTGTCCCACGTTGATTGGAAGGTACTGTGGCCAGGGGCTATGCTGACCCTTCTCATTGGTTTCTCCAAGTGTCTACAGTGGGGCATCTCAGTCTTGGCGGCCCAATAAAATCCCTGAGGCTCGAGGCTCACTCTGAGACATTCTGATTTAATTTGCTGAAGATTTAGCCTGGGTATTAGTATAATTGTAAAAATCTCCCTGGGTGATGCTGATGTGTACTATAAACCAGATTCTAATGGGCAGGATCACCGGTTTATAGTAATGGCTCTCAGTATGCCAGAAATAGGGGTAGGATGTTTGTTTATGAGTGTGTGTGTGTGTGTGTATGTGTGTGTGTGTACCCATGCCCACCAGATTCACCTACCAGACTTTCAAAGAATATTCTGAACAAGGCTCTCTCCCCTGGGTGTATCAGAGATATTGTCTTTGTTCATTACAGTGTGATGGGGTCAGGAGAGAAGGGAGAAGGGTGTTAGATAGAGATTTGTATTTTGAAAAAAAATTATAGATGATTTTATTAATGACCTGCCTTCTTGCACCATAAAAATACTTCTTGTGATTGTGAAAACATAAAGTACCCTCAATGGTTAATTAACAAACTGACTGATTTTTCTTGTTCACACTGTCCAACTACTTGGAACAGGTAGAGTTGTGCATCCTAAGAGCTGAGGAAATGAGGATGCAGAGAGGAAAGTTACCCTTTGTCAGGGGCAGAATGAACTGCAGAGTGAATCTTTCTGAAAGACTTGACTTCAGGGACAAATCTTCAGGAACTGAAGGGAGATTATCATCTTTATCAAAGCATTCTGGCTACCAAAATATTTTCGGAGGGTTGTCTGGTTCAGTCGTTCACGCAGCAACAATTTATTGCATGTCCAATATGTGCTAGGCACCTGCCTCAGCACTGAAGATGAAATGGTGAGCAAAGCAGATGAGTGCTAACTTGTGGTTCCAGAAAGTTCGATTATTGTATGGAGAGAATGCTTCAGAGAGCCCTTGAGGGCTTGCAGGTGGCTCACAGCACATCTCAGCATCTGTGGTTGCAAGAGCAAGGTTCGGGGTGGCTGGCTAGAGTCAAAAGAACTAGTGACAAAGTTAGTTAGCCAAACGATGCCAGCTCCAGGGGAACCAGCAGCCTGGAGTGTGAGACAATTGGGGCTGAACTGCAATGGACAGTTAGGAAAACATTTCTACAGTCAGCACTGCCAGTTTGCAGGTTCAGCTCAGTAGCCAGATTAGGAATTAAATATGCAGACAGTTCCCTCTACTGGGAAGATGCTATTACTGCATACCAAGCGCCAGGTGGAAACAGAGATGGCAGTGAGATTTTCTGGTTTCTGAGAGGCACCCCATTGAAAGTACAGATCACCCCACAACTCTTGCGCATTTACCCCTGGCTCCTTTATTACATTTCTCTTTTTACTTTATCTGGCCATCACACTGTCTTTTCAGCCAATCGCCTGATAGTACTGAGCGTGCACTGGGATAGGACAAGGAGCTCCTGTCTGGAAGGTGCCTATTGTCTTGTTGGGGAGACCAGGCATGCATACAGAAACCAGCTGAGAAGAGCTCTCATGTGTGTCCCTCTTTCAGTTTTTCCTTTGAAGAGGCTTCTTTCCTCTTCCAGTTTCCTCTTGTCCCCCTGAATCCATCCTCTCATAATCTCCAGCCTAGACAAAGACAGTAGCCCAAGGCCTGTTCTGTGCCTCTGTTCTCTCATCGTAGCCAGGTCATCTTGCTGCGTGCCCTTTTGTTATGCCCCTCACTTGCTTAATTTAAGAGCCCAGACTTGTGTGGACACCTCTTAGTTACTGTATTACTTTGAAAGTGACTGCTTATTGTCTGTTCCTCTAGCAAGGTGTAAACTCATTAAGAGCAAGAAGTGATTCTGATGGAGCGATAGGCACATAGGTATTTTCTCTATTACTTTATGTTGGAAGTCCTTCTATCTTAGTCTTTTTTCTTTTGCTAGAGGGCAGGGACCTTATTTAATTCATCTTCGTTTCCTTAACATTTACTACAGTACCTGCTAATACTTGGGTCTCAATGAACATTCTGATAGAAATTCTCGAACAAAGATGTTGATAACAGCATTATTGATAATTTACTTAAAAATGAAAATGAAAAAATGTATTCAAACATAGAGGAACAGGTAAGTGAATAATGTTATCTCCATGGTATGGCCAGTTATTAGTCAATAAAATTATACTTTGAGGGATGTTCAAATTCATGGTGATAAGTTTTTCGTATCATGGTAAATTAAAAAAGGAAGCTGTTTAAAAATTGAGCTAACCTGTACAAAATAGGCACAAAAATAGTGTTGGAAGGAAATACTAAAAAATGTTAACAGTGGATCTCTAATTTCCTGTGGGTCCATTTTTTTTTCTATAATGAGGTTATATTACTTCTTCAGTCAAAAAAAACAGCTATTACTAAATTCCATGGTATAATCAGTCCACGTCCATTTTTTTTTCAAGGCCATTAGGATTCCCTGTTGCATATAGAATGAAAACCAAATTGCTTTGTTTGGCAATTTAGACTAGGCTCAATAACTACCATTTAGCTTCATTTTTTTCCAGTCTTCTTTTTCTATATTCCATATTTCAGTCATATTAAATTTCTTAATAGTTTGTATTTTAAAACAATTTTATTAAAAATGCATACCCAATGATAAAAATTTTGAAAATTCTGAAAAGCATAAGGATAAGCGAAAAGTGGCTGTGAGATAGACACTATCAATATTTGTCAATTTCCTGTCTTCTTATATATATCAGAATTAATTTGCTTGCAGATTTATATTCACATATGTTTTATATGTAAATACTTTGCCACATATATATAATTCTGCATATTTTGTCTTTCACTCAAAAAGCATGTTTTCTGATTGCATTACAATTTATTGAAAATTGTTTTTGGCAAATAATCTCTCTCCTTAAATGATCTCATTGACTTCGTTGAGTTTAAATGTATATCTCTGGCTGAGAATTTTCTTTTTTGCTTAATACCTTCCTATCAATTACCAGTTGGACATCTACATTTGTTACTGGCCAGGTCCAGGTCCATTCTGCCCAAATGGAGTGAATCAATCACTGTGGCATAGGTTTTGCAAAAGAGGAAAGCTTTATCTGTAAGGCCACCAAGAAAAGAGGTGAGAAAACAGCTGTCAAATCTGTCTTTGTGAAGATAAGGCTTAGGGATATTGACAGTTTAGGGGAGTGGGTGGTCTAAGGGATGGGAAGAGGTGGTTGGTAGTGGGGGCAAATGAAGTAACCAATTCATTCTACACGAGTGTAGTCAGAGTTCATGGCATTTCATAGGACATATGCACAGGAAATGGTGGTGTTAGCATGATCTGGAGGAGTTTTTTGCCCTCTGATGTCAAAAGGCCACCTCTCGGGTACTTGCGCAGGCCCAGTTGAAGGGTTAGTGGTCTCAACCAGTTTGAATGAGATAGGAGGTGGCCCAAGTTCCTGAAAAACAACTGAATCTACTGTTGCCATGGCGACCTATGGATGTTATCTATACAGTAGCCAGTGAAGGTTAAGTTTCAGTGTTCAGTGGTGTGGCCTTTAGCTGCTACAGCCTTCAGCTTCACAGAAAAATGAAGAAAAAAATAATGAAAAACAAGCAACCAAAAGCAAGCAGGCAGGCAGCCCTGATCAAATTAACCCGTTGGTTTCACACTGATTGGTATTTCAAATGTAACATGCCGTAAATTGGACCCAATCCTGCTTCTCCTCAATTCTTCCCAATTTAGGAGTTGAGCACGTCCATTGACCAAGTCACTCCTGAGAGAAACTCCGAAGTTATACTTCACATCTTTACTTCCTGTCGGGGGTTGAATTATGTCATCTCTCCTTTTCCCCCACAAAAAAGACATTCCCAATAAGGTCACATTCACAAGTCCTGACCCCCAGTCCTTGTGAATGTGGTCTTATTTGGATATAGGGTTCTTGCTCATGGAACCAAGTTAGATAAGCTCATAATGATTCGGGTGGGCCCTAAAGCCATTGACTGGCATCTTTATAAGGGAAAAAAGAATGAGATTTGGATACAGAGTCTCAGAGGCGACCTAGAGGCAATAGGGCCATGTGAAGATGGAGGCAGAGACTGGGGGGATGCATCTGCAAGCCCCAGAGTGCCAGGAGCCACCAAAGCTAGGAGGAGGCGAGGAAGGATCCTCCCCAACAGCCTTTGGAGGGAGCATGGCCCCGCCAACACCTTGATGTTTGGACTTCTGGCCTCCAGAACTGTGGAAAATACGTTTCTGTTGTTTTGAGCCACCAGGTTTATGTCGCCCAGGCTGGAGTGCAGTGGCGTGATCTTGGCTCACTGCAACCTCCTCCTCCCCGGTTCAAGTGATTCTCCTGCCTCAGCCTCCCGAGTAGCTGGGATTACAGGCGCCTGCCACAGTGCCCGGCTATTTTTGTATTTTTAGTAGAGATGGGGTTTCACCATGTTGGCCAGGCTGGTCTCGAACTCCCGACCTCGTGATCCACCTGCCTCGGCCTCCCAAAGTGCTGGGATTACAGATGTGAACCACCATGCCTGGCCCTCTCTCTTTTTTTTTTTTTTTTTAAACACCATTCCCCAGTATAAACCACCTTCCTGTATGTCTCTTCCATGCCACTCTAATAGCCTTCCTAATGACCTCGCTCTTATCCCAATCCTTATAACAGCCCCTGTGAGCTTCCAACAATGTGTCTCCCATACCAGGTCTTTCAATGGCTTCCTATTTCACCTGGGAGGTGAACAGGAATCCCTCAAAATGCTAAATGATCCTCCTCCTGCCCCCTGGCCAGCCCATCACCTGCTGTTTCCCCTGCTTGCCACTCGGGCCACCTTTTAGGTCCTCAAGTGCTTTAGTCTCCTGCCCTCCTCAGGGCCTTCACACGTGCTGCTCCCTTAGCCTGGAGTGCCCTTGCTCCCACCCTTCCTGGTTAACTCCTAACTGCTGCTCACCCTTCTGTTCTTGGAGAGGCCTCTCCAGACTACCTCATATATATTACATTTCTGTTGTCATCTCTCATGACACTGAATACGTCTCCATGGCCTTATCCCAGATGGCACTTTATCTTTACTTTTGTGACAGTTGGCTTATTGTCCACTGCCCCACTGTCCTAGCTTCTCCTCTGATCTTTATTTTCATCTACTAGAGCAGTTCCTGACACAAAGTGAATGCTTTGAAACTAAATATTCAATTAAACATGTTCCCTCTGACTGCACCTCAAGGTTATTGAGAGGACTCACAATAGACAATGCTTAAACCCATCTGTAGGTCTTGAGGCTTTGAAAGAGGCTGATGTTCCTGTGAATATGATGGTGAGCAAAAGCAAAGCTGGTTAAATATGACCTCTTAGAGGAGGTCAGTGGCTTAGAGTGAGGGCTCTGGAGTCCGTTGCACTTGGATTTGAACGCCAGTTCTGCTATTCATAAATCTGTGATCCAGGGCAAATTGTACCCATCATTGGTAAATTAGGTTAATCGTGCCTACCTCCCAGAATTGTAGGGATTCACTGAAAGAGTAAATGCACACGGTCAGTGATCAGTAGAACACAGCTGCTTTTATCCTCCTCATTTTTGCCATCAAACCATCATTCCTAAGACTGTGTTTTCCCACTTGAAGGTTGCTGGGGAGTTCCTTGTACTGTGTTTGGGCCTGCAGTGCCTGCCTAAACCATTTCTGATGAAGCTACACCTTTGGGTACCATGCTTTGTCCCACCTGCCCATCTCAGGCAGAGACGGTCTCTGCCTCCCAGGCATTCCAGACTGTTCCTGGCCTTGGCTCCTGGTCTCCCTCTGAGGGCTGTCATGCTGCAGCCAGTCCCAGCGAGTGCCAAGCTTTAGCCCAGACACCAGAGAGTGAGAACTCTGGTGAGAGGCTCGTGGCAGGAAGGAGGAGGCTTGTGGGAAGAGGTGGAAAGGGTAGGGTTGGGGGTGGAGAGTGCAGGTGAGGAGCGGGAATTAAATCCAGCTTTTGACTCTGTAAAAATTTCTCCAGGAGGAGTAGTCTTTCAAAGGATGGTTCCCAGAGTGACAGCCTGGGCTAATTGCCTGGAGAAATAAACGAGAGGACAGGCAATGAATAAAAGCCAGCTCTCAGCAGGAGTCTGTGTATCACATCCTTCCTTTTCACATTTCATGTTCATATTTAAAGCTCCCATCCAAAGACCCATAAAACAACAGTCTCTACCGGTAATGATTTCCTGGAGGCCCCCTGGAAAGCATTAGAAAAGATGTTTCCTTTTAATAGGCTTTTCGGGGAAGAGAAAATCAATAATTTCTAGGGAGATGCTTTACAGATGCAAATTTATATTATCCAAATACTCCTGGTTACTACCCTATTTCCTCTAAGAAATGGCTGCATGTTAATGTTGTCTCTGGTAAAGACAGACAATGACTTGCAGTTCTCAATATGGATACAATGAAAGACATGCTCAAGGTAGTAGATACCTTGCAGAGCCTTCTTACGTGGTCTTAGTTACCTCTAGCTGCTTTTGGCTATTGCAAATAAATTTCTTCACGTGATTTACATAATGGAATATTTAATAGAATTATTCTTTTTAAGACCCTGACAAATTAAACCAGTACCTAATGCAGATAGCTCTACATTTAATAGAGGCTTGACTAATGGGTCTGTAATAAAGATACACTATATTATAAGGACCTGGGAATTGAGGTATAATCAGAAGATGAGTTTTCTAAGAACACTGCTTTTCAATCAAGTTGTAAGTTGCTTTGAAAAATCAAATTCATTAGTGGCCAGCCATGGTTCTACAATCTGCAGATGTGGTTTTCTCTTTTCTCCATCTTTGCATATTTTATTCTAATGATCCTCCATCTGTTCTTTCTTCTGAGAAATGGGCTAAATTTCAGAAAATACAAATCAGAGATGAATGTAAAACAAAGGTGTCTCTCATATTTTAACACACCCCGTCTCTCCATGCTATCCCACAGCGCAGCCCCCACCATGCTTCACACCATCAGTCTCTGTTCCCTCTACTTGGAGAAGACCTTGTCCATTCCAAAGTGAAGTGAAAAAAGAAATGTAGGAGGGGAAACCTGGACATTCCATGGACGCGACTGGGGGTGGTTCAAAAGAGCTCCTTACCCAGAGTGATGGGCTTGACATTTTGTCCTTACTGTTGTCCACTGAAAGGTTAAATAACAGGTAGTATAACTTACATAATTTTAAAGTTCTTTTTATTTTGAGCCAAGGTGGAGTACTAACAGCCCAGGAAATACGGACTCAGCACAAACTAAGAATGTGTCCCAGAGTGACCTATACAAGACATAGTATTTTTTTAATTTTAATTTTTTTTTTATAACATGGGGTCTCTGTTGCTCAGGTTGGAGTGCACTGATGCAATTACAGCTCACTGCAGCCTCAGCCTCCTAGGCTCAAGCAATCCTCTCATCTCAGCCTCCTGAGTAGCTAGGGCTACAGGTGTGCACCACCATGCCTGGCTATATATATATATATATATATATATATATATT
Source organism: Homo sapiens (assembly GCF_000001405.40). Lineage (NCBI taxonomy): Eukaryota > Metazoa > Chordata > Mammalia > Primates > Hominidae > Homo > Homo sapiens. Next base: position 24,885,714 of record NC_000008.11, on the reverse strand, counting down.
TTATTTTTTTTGGTAAATTTTTTTGTAGAGATGAGGGTCTCACTTTGCTGCCCAGGCTGGTCTCCAACTCCTGGCCTCAAGCAATCCCCCTGCTTTGGCCTCTCAAAGTGTTGGGATTAGAGGCATGAACCACTGTGTCTAGCCATAAGACGTGGTCTTTATACGTTTTGTTCATAGAAAATGGAAGAATGGGGGTAGTGAAGTAAAGGTGATATTTTTATAATTCTGATTGGTGCACAGTGACGTTAGATATAAGACAAAACAAATACATGGTCAGCACATATAGGTTAATGAGCATGTAGATGTGTTAGGGTCTAGAGAGGGATGATTGATTTTATCTTGCCTTTATGTTCTAATGAACAAAATTATAATCAGTATCTGTCGATAAAATATTTGACAAACTCTTGCTTTGCAGATGAGAGTTCAGATTTAATTTATAGGCCTAGTTTTTATTACCCATATGTCTCACCTATAGTCATCTTGGGTCACTTTATTTTATTTATTTAACATTTTATTCTAATTTTCCTTTTCTTGACACTGTTGCTAATCTGTGGATGACTTTGGGCAGGTCCTTTATCCCCTACATTAGTTATCTCTCTGTATTAGTTATCTACTGCTGTGTGGCAAATTACCTCCAAATTTAGCAGCTTAAAACAATAAAGGCTTATTATCTCAGATTCTTTCTTTTTATTTCCTTTTTAACAAATAGGATTTGCACCAGGATCACATAATTTCTAAGGGTTAGGAATCTGGAAGCTGCTTTGCTGGGCGGTTTCAGCTCAGGGTCTGTCCTTGCTCTTCCCACTGGCCTGCTTACAATTCCCATCACCAGCCACTACCTTTAATAAGGGCACTGACACTACCAGAAAATAAAATACTTTTGGAAGAGACATTTGGAAGAAGAAAAGTTAATGCAATGTACGATTGTCAGCTCCTAGCGCTCCCCTCCAAACCAGCTGAACATGTTTTGGCTCCTTCGCACAGGTGAGAGGCCACGTGGCAAATGCAAAGTGCCTAGAGTGTAAAGTAGCAGAAGGCTGCCTTAAAACCCCAGCTTCCCCACGTACACTGTGAGCCTGGCCAAGTTCCCTGAGATCTCTGAACCTCAGTTCCTCGTTCGTTACATGACGGAAATCGTGTTGACCTCATAGGGTTTACTGTGAGAATTGAATGAGGTAATTCCTTTATATGTATATGTAAGTATTTTATTTTATATTCAAGGGGTACATGTGCATTTTTGTTACAAGGGTATATTGCTTGATGCTCAGGTTTGGGCTTCAGTTGATCCCCAAACGGTGAAGACAGTACCCAATAGGAAGTTTTTCAATGCTTGTTTCCCTTCCTCTCTCCTCCCTTTTGGAGTCCCCAGTGTCTATTGTTCCTGTGAACGAGATAAATTTTCTTTTTTTCTTTTTAATACAGGCTCTTGCTCTGTCACTCAGGCTGGAGTACGGTAGCACTGTCGTAGCTCACTGCAGCCTTGAACTCCTGAACTAAAGCAACTCTCTCGTGCCAGCCTCCCAAAGTGCTAGGATTACAGGTATGAGCCACCACACCCAGCTAGTTTTAATTTTTTTTTTTTTTTTTGTAGAGACGGGGTTTCACTACGTTGCCCAGGTTGGTCTGGAACTCCAGGACTCACTCAATCTTCTAGCCTCGGCCTCCCAAGGTGCTGGGATTACAGGCGTGAGCCACCGTGCCTACTCGAATGAGGTAATTCTTGACAAAATAAATGTGTGGCTAGTACATCTTAACATGCTTTTCTTGCTGTACTTGTCTCTGTAGCAAGTGCTGGCTGTGCATTAGCTTTCTTGTCCCCTTCACCCCTTTGGTAGTGGAGCCTGGAGAGAATTTACTTGGGAACTCAAGTGTGCCAGCAAAGGAGACACAATTGATGAGGGTACTAAGCACACTGTTTGGGTGATGATGTTTTTCAAAACAATATCATTAGATCTTCACATACAGAGCTGGGAGATAACATAGTCCCTATGACAGATGTTAGACTAGGACCCCAAATGACCTCGTATGGTGTGCCAGTGTCTTCTTCATTTGCTCCAAGGACACAGCATGAATAGAATAGGCTTTGCCATCAGCAAGGGCCCTCTCCTAGTTTTTCCCTAGCATTTCAGATGCTTGGCACCTGTAACCGGATTTTCCCTGCACTGAGAGTCAGTGTGTCTTGATGAAATGAGCACTGGTTTGGAGTCAGAAGACCTGGGCTGGTATCATGCCCCTGCAGCTTAGTTGACATGTGTTTGGATGAGTCACTTCTCTGAACATATCTTTATCATCTATAAAATAGGCATCCTAATAATATTTCCTAAACACTTATTCTGACAAGGTTTTATGAGGACCAGAAGAAATAAGGAAAGGCAAAGCTTTGTAAATCGGAGATGCCTCACCAGCACTATCATTCCTGTGACTTCCGATCACCAAGGAGAAGGGACCAGCTTTTAGCACACAGAGCCTGGGATGGTAGAATGCCAGACATTTCACAGTCCATTGGGGGTGATCTATGGCAGATGGTGTTCCTAGCACCTTTTTCAAATTGGCTTTACTGATCTAATCACATTATGGAGGCAGCCACTTGCTCAGCCAGAAAGGCAACATTAATACTCAAGACAATGCTGACTCAGTTACAGGCTTAAGCATGCTTAGCAATTATAGCTGTTACTTATTGAGTCTTTCAAAGGTGGCATACATGGTGCCAAGCACTTGACATGCATTATTTCATAGCCAGGACTGCCATGTGAACAATTTCAGTGTGTATGAATGTTCTCTGGAGTTGTGCAGTGCCCAGTATGCTTGACTGTTCATGGAAGTCCTGCTCACAGAAACCCTATGAGGTATATTTGCATGGGCTTGTTGAGGAATCTTGGTTATCTAATTTATGGAAGAGAAAATAGGAGATTTGGAGTAATTAACATTTTCATAGCCATAATACCAATGGGTAGTAGAGTCAGAATTCTAAAGCCTCTGCTTTTATTACTATGCTATGTATTATTTCATGGGTTTAATGAAATTGGCAATGTCTTTGAGCCAAAGACCACGAGGAGCACACCTGTAGTTGAACAAGTTGGGCTTATTACTCCTCGCAGTGAGGAAGAACACATACCACAAATAATTTGTCTAAGATTTGTGCTTGGGTTAGGTGATCTTGGGGAAGGCTTATGGAAGCAGAGCTTTGCTCTGGATTTGATGCTGCTAGGAAGCAGAGACTGGGTATTTTAATAACTTCACTAGGCAGGGCAGACTGCTAAACAGCTAAAGCTATTAATGGCAAAGAAGCAATAGTCATATATTAACTAGGAGAAGGGGATGTTTGGCATTTTGTGTCTTGGACAATGTCCGTTAACTGTTCAAACATGATTATGAGGGATTTTGTTTTTGTCTTGATCCATTGTGGTTGCAGAGTGGACTTGTCTGATGTTCATGTTCTAAGAAATCGTGCGTTTGAAAGGAGAACGCTAATGGCTAGCTGTATCAGGCTAGCCCCTGATGGTTTTCTATCTCTCAGGATAAAAGGACTGGAGGGCACTGGGGTATACACCTGTTAAGTGCGTTCAGCTGTGTAGCTCAAAAGTGATGCTCACCGTTCTGTGATAAAAGAGGCAATAGAATATGCAGATGCCATGTGGAGTCATCACATTTTACTAAATAAGAAACACTAAATGAGAATCAGAAATAGCTGGTTGTAGGAATTTTAAAAATAGGTTTTGTTTTGTTTTGTTTTGAGACAGAGTCTCACTCTATTGCCGAGGCTGGAGTGCAATGGCGTGGTCTTGGCTCACTGCAACCTCTGCCTGCCAGGTTCAAGCAATGCTCCTGCCTCAGCCTCCCGAGTAGCTGGGACTACAGGCATGTGCTACGACATCTGGCTAATTTTTGTATTTTTAGTAGAGATGGGGTTTCACCATGTTGGCCAGGCTGATTTTAAACTCCTGACCTTGTGATCCGCCCACCTCCCAAAGTGCTGGGATTACAGGCGTGAGCCACCACGCCCAGCTAAAAAATAGTTTTTTTTACAGCTTAGTATAACTCATACTTTTTCTCACAGCACAATTGTCTGGTCCAGACGGCAGTTCCTATGTTAAGGTGCTATTTAACCGTTTTTGAATGATTCAAGTCAGCCTTGATGAGTGAAGATAGTATAATATGGTGGTAAACATATATGTTTGGCAATGAAAGACATGGGATTGAGATCCATCCATGACATAAGGAGCTTCTGCGGATGAAGAAAATGTATGGGAATTCTGTAGCAACTTGAGGTTAGAAGGTCAAGCATCTATGACACATCCATACAGAGAGGTTGATGGAACGAGAACTGTTAAGATGCACATTCTTGTGATGCATAAGGAGAGACATAATGATTTTTACAGCACAATCATCATGAAAGATAAAATATAAGTTGAAGAAATGGAAGCCATCTGAGCAAGGAGCTACCCTATTGCGGCAGGGATTGGGGATGAGATAGTGAGAAATTCAGCTTTTAGTTTATTTTTAGAGATGATGTGCCCAATAAACCATGGGCTTAATTTATCTGTGGCTTCAAGATAGTTTGTCTTAGGGAAGTGAAGGCAGGTGAACATCAGCCATAAAATAAATTAAGTGAATTAAATAAAGTTCCCAAGTGCTTCTAAATGTGGCAGCCAGACAGGAACATATTTAGCTAGGGCCACACTCTAAAACAGTTGTCTGGTCTGCCCACTCGAAACACCAAATCCTTACTGCAATTGTCAGCAGTCACCTTGATCTAAAATATAACAATAGTTAGTTTTTTTTAACTTAGAACTTTAGAAATATGACAAAAGATTTCATAGAATAAGTTAAACAAAAGGTAGTTCACAGACTGGGAGAAGACGTTTGCGATGTTTAAAACTGACAAAGCATTAGTATACGGAATATAAAAATTCTAGACAATTCAGCAAAAAAGGCACAGAAACTTCTATAAAAATGGACAGTTGAAGACCAGGAATTTCAAAGAAGAACAAATATTAATTTGCTAACAAGTGTAGAAAGAAAGATCTACCTCCTTTGTAATCATTTTATAGCAAATTGAAATGGTAAGATACTATTCAACATATATAAGTCAGGCAAAAATGGACAAATTGCACAATACAAAGAGTGGATAAGGATGTAGGGAAACAGGAATCACTTCTGGTTGGAATGGATAAGTGTATCCATTAGTAGGAATTGATACAGTCATTTACAAGATGCTTGGGGCAGGACTTACTGAACGTAAGTTAATATATAATTTAAGATTCAGAAATCCCACTTCTGGGTATTTGCCACGGAGAAACTCACAGGTTTCTATATGTGAATCCATATAAGACTGTTTATGTAGGTGGGACAACCTAATCATCCATCACTAGCGATATGGTTTGACTCTGTGTCCCTAATGACACCTTAAATTGTACTAATCCCCATGTGTCAAGGGAGGGACCTGGTGGGAGGTAATTGAATCACGGGAGTGGATTTTTCCCATGCTGTTCTTACGGTAGTGACTAAGTCTCATGAGATCTGATGGCTTTATAAAGGGCAGTTCCCCTACACAAGCTCTGTCTTGCCTGCTGCCATGTAAGACAGGACTTTGCTCCTCCTTCATTTTCCACCATGATGGTGAGGACTCCCCACCCATGCGGAAGTTCATTGAACCTCTTTCCTTTATAAACTACCCAGTCTTGGGTGTGTTTTTATTAGAAGAATGAGAACAGATTAATACAACTAGTGGGATGGATAAGTGAAAAGAGGATAATGCATTCCGTGGAATGCTATGCAGTAATATTATAATGTGTATATATGCATCTATCATGTAATAATATATACAGCTACATAGAGAAATGTTAATAGCACAGTACATAGTGAAAAAAGAAGACAAAAAGAAATAGTAAAAAGCAGCAGAAGAAACAAGGCATAAGAACCTTTATTCAAATTGAACACACATGTACTTACAAAACTATTTTTACACTGATGCATATTTAAGAAGTATCAAATTCATTAGAGTGGGTGTCTATAGGAGAGAAGGAGGGTGATGAGAGCAGGGGTGGGGATGAAAAAGAAAAGTAAAATGCAATAAGACAAGGGCCTAGTGTAAATCAGTAGGTAAGTCAAGTGTCTACTCTGAGGTCCCTCATTCCTCAGTAAAAGGTGGCCAAAGTTGCTCACTGAAAATGAGTACTTTTGCAATATGAACAAGTTCCCACATTCCATTTATTCCATTGTCACCATTAGTATGGGTCAATATTCAACAAACAACATAAATGAATATATAACAAGCAGAATAACTTATCTTTAGGTCATTAGCTAAGATGCTTCATCAGGTCTGACTCGGGCCTTATTGGACCACTTGTCTCCACCTTTGTTGTCTATGTTCTGCTGATTTCTCCTCTGTGTTCTTGTGTTAGATCTATTCTGAACTTAGGATGGTTGTAGAGAATACTAAATGTCTGGTCTGAAATTTCTCACAGTTCAATCGTGATATAGTGTCTGTATTCCCTCAATTTCAAAAGAGACTTTCTTCTTCCAGTATGCTCTACAGAATGTCTGACACTAGTTACTTACCACATGATAGGAAAAGGATCTGTTTTTCCCAGCACTTGGGGGTTCCCAGTTAACAGTGAACAGCTGAAGCTATGGGAAGGTTGAGCTCTACATTTTTCTAGGAAGAGTGGCATCTAGATGGGATTGAATGAATGGCTCCCCATTCATGTAAACTTATTTTCTACTTCATTTTATTCCTTGTGATTATCTAAAATACTGCTTCTGACTATAGCATTTTGAGATTTTACTATTTAACATATCTTGCTTATTATCACTGAAGTTATTCCTGCATATTCCACCTCTTGTAAATTGTAAAAGATTCTTGTCTTCTAGGTCTTTCAGCCACCTGCAGAGAAGAGGATTAGTTAGAAAGCCTAGGCTTTTTTGGATTTGATTTTTAGTTTACCAACACAACCTTTTAGCATAGGTAAGCATAAGTAGGGTAGTTTAGTAGGAAGAACACTAATTTTGTGATCGTAGGTTAATGAAAATCTCCCAGAGTACAGTTTACTTATTAATAAAATTATAAAGTAACATGTGGAGGAATTGAGTGAGGTAATATGAACCATAGCTGTTACACAGTAGGCTCTGGATAAATAATAGTTCTGTTAGGGACCAAAACCATATATGATTTTCTATAATATTACTAAATCAGATCCATCTGTAGAGTGATGCATTTCTTGACAACATACAGAAAATACAATACCTGAGTCATTTTTTCTCACCCACTCTGCTGATGCATTTCTTTATGTGATTGTCTTTCTCAGCTCTGAGGAGGAGAAGGCCTATCATTACCGCGGGCGGTGGTGATTTGTTGCTGCCTCAAGAAACAGCAGCACTTTTCCCCCCCCTCAAATTGTCAAGTACATCAAACTTTAATAACTTTACTTCCCAGGAGAAGTTTCTTAGCTGTGGTGAATGGGTTCACCTGCTGGTAATCTCTCTTATTTCTTCAACTCCTAGGGTGGTTTTTCTTACTTGCAATGAGGATAGGTTGACACTTGCCCTCCAGGAATGACTTTCAAGACTCCGCCATAGGATTAACCCGCCATGATCTGGAATGGACAGCAGCAAATACATCAATAATATAATGACTAAGCAAAAACAACCACTGTTCTCTTAGTGAAGGGATGGATGGCAGGATTTTAATTTCACTTATCAAGAGGCCATTCATCTTGATAACCTCAGCTAGTAGATAAAAAAGGGTATAACTTGCAACATGAAAATAATTCTCCCATTTCCCTCCTGTTCTTGTATTCTCCTTTTTTTTAGAGTTTATTTTCTTAAGAGGAGATTTAAGTTCATGGCAACATAGAGTGGAAGGTGCAGAAAGTTTCCATATATCCCTTTTCCCACCCATAGACAGGATCCCCCATTATCAACATCCTCCACCAGAGTTGTGCATTTGATGAACCTTCCTTCACACATCGTCACCCAAAGTCCCTAGTTTATATTGGATTTCATTTGTGATGTTGGACATTCTATGGGTTTGGAGAAATGTGTATCTCTCTACAATTATACTATCAAGCAAAGTAGTTTAATTGCCTTAAAAATCCTCTGCTCCACCTCCCTCTTCACTGACCCTTGATCTTCATTCCTCCCTCCCCACTGACCCCGACCTTTTTGCCGTCTCCATAGTTTTGCCTTTTCCAGAATGTCATATAGTTGGAATCATACGGTATGTAGTTTTTTCAGATTGACTTCTTTCACTTAGTAGTATGCATTTAACATTCCTTCATGTCGTTGCATGGCTTGATAGCTAATCTCCTTTTAGCCCTGAATATTCTATTGTCTGGGTGTACCACATTTTATTATTCACATACTGAAGGACATTACAATTGATTCCAAATTTTGGCAGTGATAAAAAAGCTGCTATAAATGTGTGCAGGCTTTTGTGTGGACTTAAGTTTTTAACTCCGTTGGGAAAATACCAAGGAGCACAATTTCTGGATCCTATGGTAAGAATACATTTGGTTTCTGTAAGAAAAGCTCCTGTCTTCCAAGGTAGCTGTACCACTTTGCATTCTCACAAGTAATGAATGAGAGTTCCTGTTGCTCTATATCTTTGTCAGCATCTGATGTTTTCAGTGTTCTGTTTCGTGGCCATTCTACTAGACAAATAGATGCGTAGTGGTATCTGATTGTTTTAATTCTCATTTGCCTAATAACATATGATGTGGAGCATATTTTCATATGTGCTATGGTCTAAATGCTTGTGGCCCCCCCAGGATTCAAATGCTGAAACCTAATCATCAAGTTGGTAAGATTAGGAGGTTGGGCCTTTGGGAAGGTGATTAGGTCATGAGAGTGGAGTCCTCATGAATGAAATTAGTACCCTTATAAAATAGGCCCCAGGGAGCTTGTTTGCCCCTTCCACCATGTGAAGACATAACAAGAAGGCACCGTCTATGAACCAGAAAGCAGCCCTCACCAGGTATTGAATCTGCCAGCATCTTAATCTTGGACTTCCTAGCCTCCAGAATTGTAAGAAAAAATTTCTGTTTATAAGCCATGCAGTCCAAGATATTTTGTTATAGCAACACAAATAGTCTGAGACAATATGCTTATGTGCTATTTTTATATGTTTTTTGGTGAGGTGTCTTGTATTTTAAAAATATCTCATCCTGCCTTTTTTTCTTATTAAATTTGAAATCTTTGTTATATACAAGGAATACAGAATGCCACATAGAAGTTCATGATTCATAGTGGCCTGCCTAGAGCCACGTCTTTGGGGACAAGCCCCTCTCCTAATTTGGTGACCACCTCCTCCAAGTGGAAACTCACCAGCCTCCCACAGCCTCAACCCTAGTACAGATCCCATGTTAAAAATATAAAACACCTCTGAAATGGGAAACAAGGATTTACAGGTAAAGGTATGTTATTTCTTCACAGGCACACAATATGATGTTAATGGCCTGCTTCCTTGTTCAGGTTGTTGTTAACTCCAGTTTGCATCCCCTCAGCACGTGGGTCAAGAAATGGTGCAGTGTTAGGGATGGGGGACAGCTAGTAAGAAGCATAGTTGACAGTGAATTAACCCGTATTGAGACCAAAGGAATATTATAGAAAATCCAGAGAGGAGAAAACCCACAGGCAGATAATTTGCACACCAACTCTTTAGGAAATTCATAGATTGTTATTCTTAGGCAGGGTTCTCAGAATTTATAAGTTCCTTAATAAACCCATCCCCCAGCTTCCTGAGAAGAGACTTTAGGTTTTATCCAGCTTCTGAAACTTGCTGACCATGGACAAATACAGGAATTTATGCAAGCTGGTAGTGTTAAGTTTTTAATATACAGATCGTAGTCATTAAGTGCTGTTAGAAGAAGATGAATATGCAATTTAGAGAGAAACTTGCATCTAATTACCAGCTTAATTAATACGGGGGGACTGCAGCAGTAAAAAAATTATTTCTTCTTCAATTTGCTAACGTGTATTGTTGCTTCCTCCTCTCCAGGCTCAGGGACCTGGGCTTCAAGGGTAAGCAGATGATGATGAGCAGGCAGGCTGATCCTGAGCAGGCAGTGAGGTGGGTGTCACTGTCACATGGGGGTTATGCCACTGTGCATTCATGGAGTCCAGGCTTTCCCTCCCTCCTGGATAACTGCCTCTGTTTCTCCCCTTTTATCGTTCATGGGCCTGACATTTCTCTTTTGTGTGCTTCTCAATGTGATTCTATTTTGAGGTTTCTGGATTTACTTCCCTTCTTCCTTTTTTTTTTTTTTTTTTAATTTCCATAGGTTATTAGGAAACAGGTGGTGTTTGGTTACACGAGTAAGTTCTTTAGTGGTGATTTGTGAGATTTTGGTGCACTTATCACCTGAGCAGTATACACTGTACCCAATTTGTAGCCTTTTATTCCTCACCCCCTCCCACCCTTTCCAAGTCCCTAGTCCATTGTATCATTCTTAAGCCTTTGCATCCTCATAGCTTAGCTTCCACTTAGGAGTGAAGCAAACATAGGGTGTTTGGTTTTCTATTCCTGAATTACTTCACTTAGAATACTGGCCTCCAATTCCATCCAGGGTGCTGTGAGCATCATTATTTCATTCCTTTTTATGGCTGAATAGTATTTCATGGTATATATATACCACAATTTCTGTATCCACTCATTGATTGATCGGCATTTGAGCTGGTTCCATATTTTTGCAATTGTGAATTGTGCTGCTATACACAGTGTGTGCAAGTATCTTTTTTGTATAGTGACTTCTTTTTCTCTGGGTAGATACTCAGTAGCGGAATCACTGGATAAAATGGTGGTTCTACTTTTAGTTCTTTAAGGAATCTCCACACTGTTTTCCGTAGTGGTTGTACTAGTTTACATTCCCACCTGTCGTGTAAAAGTGTTCCCTTTTTACCACATTCCTATTTTTGATTTTTTGATTATGGCCATTCTTGCAGGAGTAAGGTGGTATCACATTGTGGTTTTGATTTGCATTTCTCTGATCATTAGTGATGTTGAGCATTTTTGCATACATTTGTTGGCCAGTTGGATATCTTCTTTTGAGAATTGACTATTCATGTCCTTAGCCCATTTCTCAATGGGATTGTTTGTTTTTTACTTGCTAATTTGTTTGAGTTCCCTGTAGATTCTGGATATTAGTTCTTTATCAGATATATAAATTGTGAAGATTTTCTCCCATTCTGTGGGTTGTCTGTTTACTCTGCCGATTGTTTCTTTTGCTGTGCAGAAACTTTTTAGTTTAAGTCCCACCTATTAATGTTTTTGTTGCATTTGCTTTTGGGTTCTTGGTCATGAAGTCTTTGCCTAAGCTAATATCTAGAAACATTTTTCTGATGTTACCTTCTAGGATTTTTATGGTTTCAGGTCTTAGATTTAAGCCCTTGATCCATCTTGAGTTTATTTTTGAATAAGGTGAGAGATTAGGATCCAGTTTCATTATTCTACCAGTAGCTTGCCAATTATCCCAGCAACATTTGTTGAACAGGGTGTCCTTTACCCTCTTTGTTTTTGCTTGCTTTGTCAAAGATCGGTTGGCTGTAAGTATTTGGCTTTATTTCTGAGTTCTCAATTCTGTTCCATTGGTCTATGTGTCTATTTTTATACCAGTACTGTACTGTTTTGGTGACTATGGCTTTATAGTATAATTTGAAGTCAGGTAATGTGATGCATTCAGATTTGTTCTTTTTGCTTAGTCTTGCTTTGGCTATGTGGGCTCTTTTATGTTTCCATATGAATTTTAGGATTGTCTTTTCTAGTTTTGTGAAGAATGATGGTGGTATTTTGATGGGAATTGCATTGAATTTGTAGATTGCTTTTGGCAGTATGGCCATTTTCACAATATTGATTCTACTCATCCATGAACATGGGATGTGTTTCCATTTGTTTGTGTCATCCATGATTTCTTTCAGCAGTGTTTTGTAGTGTTCCTTGTAGATGTCTTTTACCTCTTTGGTTAGGTATATTCCTAAATATTTAATTGTTTTGCTGCTATTGTAAAAAGGGGTTGAGTTCTTGATTTGATTCTCAGCTTGGTCGCTGTTGGTATACAGCAGAACTACTGATATGTGTACATTAATTTTGTATCCTAGAAATTTGATGAATTCATTTATCAGTTCTGGGAGTTTCTCAGAGGAGTCTTTGGGGTTTTCTAGGTGTACAATCATATCATCAGCAAACAGTGACAGTTTGACTTCCTGTTATTTCTTGAGTCCTGTGTCTCTCTGCTCCCTGTGTGTCCACCCTGGTGCTGTGACCATCAGCTCCAGATCCTAGCCTGATGAGATGTTCAAGGGACTTTGAGGTTCCTTGTAGATAAGGAGATGTCAGCACATGACTGCCACTGAAAACTTGCACATGATTTGCAGATGAGAGCATGCTCCAGTAGGAATGGCCTTGAGCCAGTTGCAAGTAGGGGATGGCCACCTCTGTGCATAATGGTGCTCTCTTTTGGCCTCTTGCAATCTTAAACTTTCTCACTGTGATTCCCCATTACACTTCTGAACCTTTCCTAATTCCTCTTCCTCACCTGTCATGTTTCCTATTAGTTTAGGATCCTGTTAACTGATCGAACTGAAAGTCCACATGTTACCCATTCCTCATGGCTAAGCTTAGGATTCAATAGTTCAATGAAATCTTTTCTGACCACCACAGAGCTTAGTGATTTTATCTTTTTCTGGCTGTAGAGTCCTTAGTCAATGCAATTTCTTTGATCCCTGATGACACTTCACAAGTATATCTGTCATCTCTACTCTGTGCCAGGCACTGTTGAAGGCCCTAAGAATACACAGGTAGATAAAATTGGATAAACTTGCAAGCTGGCCAAGAGAGACAGCCAATAAAACAGAAGAAAGATAATGTCACATTATAATAAATGCTATTGCAAATAAAACTGAGGATAGGACAGATTGTAGAGGAACTCCCTTAGAATGATAGATATCAGAAGAGGTGACTGTTGAGCTGAGATCTGAAAGGCAAAAAGGATCCAGCTATGGAAAGACTTTAGGGTGGAGGAAACAACCGCAAAGATCCTGTGGTTGAAATGACCCTGTTGTAGCCAAGGATAGGAGAGAATTCCTGTGTAGCCATGCTTGGAGCTCAGCAAAGGCAGGCACACAGACATGCAGTGAGGCTAGAGGGTTGAGCAGGAACCAGACTATGCAGCACCTTGTATGCCAGGGTGAATACTCTGGAGGGCTTAAAGCAGAGAATAAATTGACCTAATTTGTAGTTTTAGAAGACCACCTGTTTGCTGTGTAAAGACTGGACTGTCTAGGGACAAGAGTGGAAGTGGGAGCACCAGCTTTGAGGCAACTGTAGCACATGGTCCAAGCAAATGATGCAAGTAGCTTGGACGGAGAAAAAGGGATGAACTCCAACAATATTTTAGAGACAGAGAGAAATGAGACAATTTGATGACAGGTTGGACGTGGAGAATAAGGGAAGACGCCATCAGGTATGATTCTGTGGTGTAGAGCTTGAGGATATTGGTGAACTGAGGAGAGTCAGGAGTTCTACTTGGCCACTGTGGTGGACATTGGTCATTCTTCTTAGCCACTGAGCATAACTGAGCATCCTTCCTATGTTTGGGGATTTCCCTACTTTAGGAATCTGTTTCTCTAAGATATAAGTCAGAATCCTGCTTTACCAGTGGCCCCCAGAGCTGGGTTGCAGCTTGTGACCCTGGCTCAATCAGACACACATGTGAAGCTCCAAGTTGGCATCCATTCTGGCCATGGAGTCAGCAGCCTCATCAGTTTTCAGAGGCAGCAAATGCAGAGATTTTAGGCATACCATCTGAGTCCAGTGTCTACCCAGCAATGGTAGTACTAGTATCTCCCTCCAGCAGTTCCACATTGTGATATGGGGATTGTCCCTGGCTGTTGGCCCTTAAATCTGAGTCTCTTGTCCTCCTAGGAATCTTGCCAGCTATCTAATACCCTACAAATACCATATCTGCATAAATGATCAGGATAGGACTTTGCTTGTTTTCGACAAGAACCTCAAATAGTTCTGCCATGTCGAGAAGAAAAGTATTAGACATGTAAGGAGAGACATAACCTGGCAATGGAAATGACAAATCTGTTGTTTAGTGGACAGGTCATAGGTGGGGTTATATATCTGAGAGACACTGGCATAGAGTGGTATTTAAGTCATACTGAGAGCACTGAAGGAGAGAATTCTCAGAGAAGTGGACCTACCCTGGGGCCGTACTATACAAGGAGCTCCAACAGGAAAGCTAAAGCCAATGAAAGGACTGAGAGAAAGCTACGGTGACACAGAAGGGCTGTCTGTAGCATGAGTTCTCAGGAAAGCCAAGTGAAATTATTTCAGGAAGGAGTGAATGGAGTTGTGTCAAATTCAACCAAGAAGCACTGACTGGCATTGCTGATTAGATTTTTAGGCATAGCATTAACAATTTCTTAGGCAATAAGTTAGAATATGGGTTTGGTGTTAGTCAGACCTAGGTATGAGTTACAGCTTTATAATTTACAAACCATGCAATTTTGATCAGGTTCCTTAGTCCCTTTAAGACTGAGTGTTTGCGTTTAAAAATGAAATAACACCCTCCACAAAAATTAATGATCTTAAAATCATGGATTGAATTATATACCCCCCAAAAGATATTTTAATGTCCTAACCTCCAGTACTTGCAATCTGAAAATAGGTCTTTGCACATTTAATTGAGTGTAAATGAGGTCATTAGGTTGGGCCTTAATTCAATTTTGACTGATGTCCTTATCAGAAGAGGGTAATTTGGACACAGACACACAAGGAGAATGCCATGTGAAGACACAGAGATGCACAGACACAGACAAGATGACCATGTGAAGATGGGGGCAAAGATGAGAGTGATGGAGCCACAAGCCAAGGAATGCCTGGGGCCACCAGAAGCTGGGAGAGGCAAGGAAGGGTCCTCTCCTCAAAGCTTCAGAGGGAGCATGGGCCTGCCAACACCTTGAGTAATTTGGACTTCTAGGTTTCAGAACTGTGAGAGAATAAATTACTCTTGTTTTCAGCCACCCAATTTGTAGTACTTTTCTTAGGCAGCCCGAGGAAACTAATACAGATTTTGGTACCAGGAAGTGTGGTGGTGTTATAACAAAAACCCAAAAATGTGAAAGTGGCTTTGGAATTGGGTAATGGTTATAGATTGGAATAATTTTGAAATAGTTCATAGCAAAAACCTAGATTGCCTTGAAGAATTGATGGTAGATACATGGACATTAAAAGCAATTTTTTTGTGGGCTCAGAACAAAGAGAAGAAAGTTGTAGAGAAGGCTTCTATTGCCCAAGAGAATATGTGTACTGTCACGAACAGAACATTGCTAGAAATTGAAATACTGAAGGACCTTCTGGTGAGGTCTCAGGTGGAAATCAGCATTATTGAACACTGGAGGAAAGGTTAAAAATCGGTGGAAAACTTGTCTGAATTATGTTCTGTCATTGGGTGGAAAGTAGAACTTGCAAGTGATGAACTTGGATATTGAGCTGAGGAGATTTCCATGCAATAGGATATTCATATCCTGTTGGTTCTCAAAGAGCCCTGATTGGTAAAGCATTAAATGAGATTAAATGAAACAATGCATGTAACACAGAGCATGGTTTCTGCACAGACTAAGAGCTCAACAAATAATAAAGTGAAGGTTAAGGGTGTGGTCTCCAACTTTCCAGAAAGGCTGTGGACAAATTGAACTGCAACTTGCACTCTCAGAAACAAAACAAACAAAAAATGCAAAACAAAACAAACCAAAAATACAAAACAAAACAAAAATTGCTGTAACATCTATTAATCATTCTTGTCAAGATCACAGAAATTTTTCTTCCTATTGGTCAATGGTGGAAAAATATAAATCTGAAATGTGATTAGAAACTTAACAGCTCTGAGATATTTTACCTTATTTTATGTTTCTGAGGCAATATCAAAGCCCTTAGGATAAAAAGCCTATTTAGACAATTAGGCTCCTGGTTTGTTTTTTCCCTGCAAATAATTTTGTTATTTAATGCCATACTGGAGTAAATTAGTCTTTTCTAAGTATTTTATAGCTCATAATACTGATAAAATCTGGATATTAAGGTACATTTCCAGGGATATCTGCTATCATAAATGTATTTAGTGTTCCCTGAAGTTCAAGCCAATTCAGTAACCCAAGTAACAGAAATGAGAACTTTACAATTTTTGGGGGAAGAGATAAAAATATTACTTGCAGGTGATACAATTACCCTTTTAGATCTAGTATAATCCTATTAAAATGCCAAAGGTAATTTGCAAAGACTGAGAAAACCTAACATGTAGTTTTCAAGGTCATCTCATAGACTAGACAGATGAGAAAATACAAATAATGTGTGCGTGTGTACAGTGTGCCTTATCAGATATTAAAATGTATTATGAGACCATAGTACATTAAAATAATGTGATACATTAAAATAACATAACGTGATAAGGATAGGGAGAAACAGCTTTAACAAAATAAGGTCAAGCAATAGATCTTAGTGCACATCACATTAAGTATATCATAAAAGTAGAATTACAAATCAGTAGAGAAAGGAATGTTGCGTTCATTCCAATTAACATTTTTAAGCAACTTTCTTGTGTCTGACACTGGAAGATATAACTAAGAATATGATAAGTCCTATAATCTCAAAAAGCTTAGTCTTTATGGGAGACAGATAAATAAAGATAAACTTAGAAAATGTAAGTCACCTGAGCTATGGCATCATTGCAGGGAAGGCACAAACTTGATGCAGCCTCAAGAGTTAAGTTCAGTTTCTTTGCGGGAGTTATGTCTGAGTTGGATTCTGAAGGGCAAGTAGGAGGTAAGCAGGGGAAGGGATTCTGAAGGGCATTTTGAAATAAGCAGAAGGCGTGAAGGCCTGAGGTCCGGGAAGGGCACAGCACATTTGCGGAGCCAGAAGTGCTCAATCTGGTCCTTGTCAGTTGGGGAAGGTTGTGAATGCAGGCTGGGAGACACAGGTAATACAAAAGTTAAGGAGATCTTAACTTTTGCTTGCTAAAGAGATCTTAAAGAAGACCCAGAGCCCTATTAGACATAGTAAAAACCACTGGAAAATGTGAAGATGACTTCTAGGATTCCGACTTGGGCCACTGGAGAATGGTGAGAGGTATGTTTGCAGAGCCAGTAGGAGGTGATGAATTAACTTGTGTACACGTTAAGCATGTAATGAATATTTGTGTCTTTTATCCAATAAGCATCGCTGGCTAACTAGTTGAATTTATTGAAGGCTTATAAGAAATACAAAAATGGAATCCTCATGGATTAGAAACAAAACTTAAAAAAAACCCTAGAAAAAAAAACATGCATTGATAATATTTCTTAGTTTTGGGTGATAACCTATTAAGGTACCTTTATATTTTCCTTTATATATTTGCCAAATTTTCTAGAGAACATGTAGCACTTACACTTTTAGGGAAAACCTAAGTCATGAAAAACCTTGCTTGCAGTTTCCTATTAATAACAACACGCTGAAATCTGAAGGATAGTATCTGAATATAGTGACATGCTCTTAAGTGCCTGCAAAGATAATAGGGGATAGGCTTAATATTGGGAACTAGAAGCCTGGATTTTTAGGAGACAGATTCACTCATAGATTGTCTAAATACATATTGTGTGGACACTCTCTAGACACTGGTGATGTGGCAGAGCCAAACCTCCAAAGTCCCTGCTCTGTGGGGCTTACGTACAATATCAGAGGCACATTCTAGCAGCAGAGTTGGACATGGGTTGCACTGCTGGGCAAGCTGAAATCTCGGAGCTGGCAGGGAACTCAGAAGTCTATTTTATTTTACAGATGAGGAAACAAAGACTCCAGTTGAGGGGCTTCTCCCCCATGTCATTAATTGTCACAAGGGCAGGACCGGAATTCAGGTTTCCTATTTCCTGAAATAGGATTGCCTCATAAATATATTGCTTCATCAATTCATGTCTTAGCATTTACTAAGAGAGCAAAGAGTATTCACAGAATGAGGTTTGTGTGTCACAGAAGGGCCCCTGTGGTCCTGGCTTTGCAGTAAACGGTCATACAAGAATGTATCCTGGCTGGGTGTGGTGGCTCACACCTGTAATCCCAGCACTTGGGAGGCAGGGGCAGGGTGTGGGAACCACTTGAGCCCAGATATTCAAGACCATCCTGGGCAACATGTTTGAGACCTTGTTTCTGTTAAAAAAATAAATAAATAAATACAAAACTTAGCCAGGCATGGAGGTGCACCTGCAGTCCCAGCTATACTTGGGAGGCTGAGGTGAGAGGATGGCTTGAGCCTGGGAGCTTGAGGCTGCAGTGAGCTATAATTGAACCAGCACACTCCAGCATGGGCAACAGTGAGACCCTGTATTTTTTTGTTATAAAAAATACATTCTTGCTATTAGAAGATGCTGTTCATTTTCATTCATTCAGCAAACACTTACCAAGATTCTTCTATGTACAAGGCCCCATGTTGAGAATACAACTGTGATTAAGACAAACTGTTCCTGTTCTTTTGGAGTTTACATTTTGTCGGGGGAGAGATAATAAAAAAACTAATTGCAGGGGCTTTCATTTTTTTTAGGTAGGAAAGTTCTATAAAGTCACCTGGAACACTAAATTAGCAAACACGGCGCCATTGCTCTTAGGGGGAAACACAGAGTTAGGTTCCTGTGAGCCTCTGGTCACGACATTTTTGTCAGCTAATCAATATATAACCTTGTTTTATGTGTGTTTCTGTTTAAAGACGTCTTATTTAATATAGTTGATTCATTAACATGAACTCAGGGCTAACAGCATATCACTCATGCCTGAATGAAATTTACCTATTTTCTCTGTAAGGCACATCCCAGCCTTTTTGCACTTAGAAACACTAGACAGCACTTTAATGCTTGGGGACCATTTTTAAACAATGAAATCGTCAAAAAAGACACAAAAATGTGAAAAATGTGGCAGTAACTAGATCACAAAAAGAATATTTACAGTATGAGAGTAGAAACAAGAAGGCAGAATGCCACCATGTTGGACCTCAGCTGGTCCGACATGTGCATCAGACAACTCAAAATTTCTTCTACTTTGTGCGTGTCAATGAATGACCATGAAAGCATCATAAGTATTGATTTGGAGGTTACTAAACTAAATTTTAGTGAGTGGGCAAATTTGCAGACATGAAATCCTTGAATTAAGGCACTAACCTGCATCAGACATTGACTGTATGTTATTAACTGTTTCTATACCATTGCAATTGTGCTGATAATTACGGTGATGCAATATCCTTTCACAGGGAGTCTGGAGGTCAGAGAAGATTTTCTGAGAAACAGACACTAAAGCTGAAATCTTAAGGGCAAATTGGTGTCAGTTGGGTTGAGTGGGGAATGATGACAGTCTATTTCAGGCAGAGCAAACAGCATATGCAAAGGTCTGAGATGGGAATGAGCATTGCATATTTCTAGGGCCTGAATGAAGTCCCTTATAGCTGAACTACCCAGACCCATGGGGAGGGAGGAGCCAGATTATGCAGGAACTTGTGACTCCAGTAAAGGATTAAAGAAATTGAGACAGGGTTTTACTCCATCACCCAGGCTAGAGTGTAGTGGCCCAATCATGTCTCACTGCAGCTTCCACCTCCCCAGCTCAGTTGATCCTCACATTTTGGCCTCCCAAGTAGCTGGGACTGCAGGCATGTGTCACCATGCCTACCTAATTTTTGTATTTTTTGTAGAGATGGGTTTTTGTAATGTTGCCCAGGCTGGTCTTGAATTCCTAGGCTCAAGTGACACACCTGCCTTGTCCTCCTATAGGCTGGGACAGTAAAAGATTTTGATCTTTATTCTAAGAGTAATGGGAAGCCAGGCTAAGAGATAGTATATATTTGTGTTTTAAAAGGGTCATTCCCTCTGTTTGAGTGTAAAGAAAGGTCTAGATGGGGCTGAGAGGATGTGGGGAGGGCAGTTGGAAGATTATTTCAATCACTGAGCAGAGACAGTACTAAGGTTAGGCTAAGGGCAGGGTGCGAGGGAAAAGCGGCATTAGGATCAGAGTTGGGTTTCTGGTGTGTGCAACTGCATAGATGAGGGTGCTATTTCCAGAGGTCAGGAACAGTTGGAAGAAAGTGAGTTTTGAGGGAATTAGCTCAATTTTGTTTTGTAGTTAAAGTGCCTATGAGATATTGTGGTAGGTGAAGAAATGTGCCACCGAGTTCCCCCTTCAGGGAAGGACTTGCTATCCAGCCCAGCGGAAGGCAGGCTGCAGATAGCCATCAGCAGTCAGCAACTTCAGGGTCTGCCGGAGGGGCAGAGCTGCCTCCCTAGAGGGCGTGCCCCTCTTGGAGCAGCTCACGTCTGGTGAATGAGTAAGGCGGGACACTCGGTGGGCAATATTGGCTCCAGAGCTCCTTGCTTAGGGTCCAAGGGGAAACTGTAGGACGTTCAACTTCTTCCTTGGACAGGTTCATATAGGAAACACCTTATTACTCACATTTCAGGTCAGTGTGTGCTCTGCAGGCTCTGGCCTGCATCAGATAGCCAAGTGGAGACCAAATCGGACACATGGATGTGATCTAAAGATGCATGTTCACAAATGGTCAATATGCAGGTGGCGAATGAAGATATGAGAGTGGCTGATTTTGTGTAGAAGAAAGAATGAAAAGGAGAAGTAGCCTAGGAATCAATCTTGGGAAACTCCAACCTTTGAATGTGAAACAGGGAAGGATAAACTAAAAGACTGTTCAGAAAGGTGGGAGGATACCCAGGAGGAGACCATGAAAGACAAAAAAGAAAATAGTTAACTCCACAGAGTGCTGCTGAGAGGCTACGGAGGCCCAGGTCAAAAGTATACCTTGCAGAAGTCATTGGCAACTTAGCTCAGTGGTTGGGTGGGCTGTTGAGGGGAGATGCAAGGTTTCAGTGGGTTGTGGAATGAGTGAGAAATTAAGAAATAGAGACAGTGAGTGTAGACAACTCCTTTTAGAAATGCGACTGAGAAAAGGACAGAAGACATAGGGCTGTAATTGAAAGAAAAAATAAGGCTTGAGATATTAAAAAAATTACACTTTTTTTAATTTAAATTTAAGTTTTTTTATTTTTAATTATTGCGGGTACATAGTAGGTGTATAGCTTTATGGGGTACATGCGATGTTTTGATACAGGCATGTAGTGTGTAATCACATCATGTAGAATGGGGTATCCCTTCCCTGAAGCATTTATCCCTTGTGTTACAAACAATCCAATTATACTCTTTTAGTTATTAAAAAATGTACAGTTAAGGTATTGATTATAGTCATCTTGTGCTATCAAATAGTAGGTCTTATTCATTCTAATTTTTTTTGTATGAATTAAGTATGTTTGAATGACCATGGGGGAACCAAGCAAAGATGGTGAGTTAGAAGACACAGAAGAGAGAAGAGATTATTGATAGGAGATGATTCTCGAAGTGGGCTACAGAACACAGACAGAGAGATTGGACCGAAACTAGGAAGAAGGGAGTTGGCTTTCACAGGAATTGAGGAGAGGAGAGAAGATACAGATAGGTTGTAGGTTTGAAAGTAGGTGCTGGAAAGTTGAGGGCTCCTCTCTGGCAGCTTCAAATTTCTCTGTGAGGTTGGAAGTGAGGTCATCTTTTGTGACTGAGGGAGCTTTTTGGGGTGGTGGTGAGGCAGGAGAATAGGATCTGGAGGCAGAGAACCTAAGGCTGATTCATGTTGACTTCCTATAATTAAACCAAAAGGAAAACCCCAACTTTCCATGCCCAAGTAACAAGAGGACCATAGGCTACACCCTTTGCAACAGCCCCATCCCCCCTTCTCTGCGTGGCAGGTGAAAAATTGAAAGTACCTCTGATTGGTTCCCTCCTGCAACCAATCAGACTGGTCACAGGCCAAGTTTTCATTTGCCTAGGAGTGTAACTTCACTTCAGCCTCTAATTGGTCCCCTCCCACAACCAACCAGAATGGTCGTGGGCCACCACATCATTTACATAGGGTGTACACCAAGTAACAAATGGGAAACCTCTAGAGAATATTTCAACCCCAGAAAATTCTGTAATGGGGCTCTTGAGCTGCTTATTTGAGCCCACTCCCACCCTGTGGAGTGTACTTTTGTTTCAATAGATCTGTGCTTTTCTTTCATTCATTGGTGTGTTTTGTCCGATTCTTTGTTCAAAACCCCAAGAACCTGGACACCCTTCATCAGTAACAGGTTTGGATGAAGAGAATGGAAAAGGTTTAATACAGTCACCAAGGAGCATGGGAAAATTAATTGACTAAAGAAATTCAGTAGTAGGAATATAGAACTATGTTGTGAACTCGGCTGAATTCTGAATGTAGACTTGTTAGCCCACTGAAGTGTCTTTTGGGCATTTTGAATCTTAAGGGCACGAGATCTAAAATAGCACCATTTCCCCACACCATTGATGTCTTACAGGAACACAGAAAACTGACAAGAAAATGCTTTGCCACAGAAGAAGTCAATATTCTAAACATATAAAACTATGAGTTCAAGTTTCATCCTATGATTTCCCTACTTCTTAATCTTCAGATATTTCTGTGTTAAGTTCTTAATATAAATGTTATTTGTCAAGCAATTTGCAGCATATAAAAATGTTGACATTAACTTTTCTCATCTAATCCTCTAACATCCTTCTAAGGTGGATGATATTATTTGCCACTTAACAGGTGTTTGCAAAGTTATGGGCATGATCCAAGGTCAAACTATTGGTAAAAGTCAGGACAAGGACATGTGCTCCGGTCTTCTCCATTCAAAGTCTGTGATCTTTCACTGGCTCATGTTCCTGGATCTCAGAAATGTACTAGATTTGGGCTCGTTTGTGCTGATGAGTTTAATTAGTGAAGGATAAATAATTTCTTTTCTGGTTTGTTTCATTTAATATTTCCCCCTGAGTTTGAGTTTGTGATCCATTATGATAAATTCTTGTTCCTTTGTATTCTTAGCAATGGCAGGCTTGGAATACTAAAGGAAGCAATTGACTTAAAATAGTGAATAAGCCCACTTTCCATGAAGTTGTTCTTGTCTGTGCTTTGCCTGAGTTATGGCTACCTTAATGTGGTAACTGGCACCACTTCAACAGCTGTAATATCTCTTCAATTACAGCTGCCTGAAAATTACTTAAAGTTTCAAATGCTTGGTGCATCAAGATAGGGCCATGGGGAGGACAGATGAGTCATGTGAAGCTTGTCTTTTCAGGGAAGAGACATTTCCTTAAGTTCCTTGTGCCACTGAAGCTTCGAGAACGGTTGAGGTTACTCTAAGAGCAACAAAGAAAGATAAATAGAAGGTCTTAAAACTGGTAACTTGGAGCAAATTATATATTTTTGAAATAGATTTTTAAGATACTAAGTTGAAGCTGATAATTTTGAAACACAATAATTCATTCTTTTTTGAACACACATTTATTGAGCATCTGTTGTATGCCAGCTACCGTGCTTGACATTGGAAGTGAAAAGGGAAATAAGGCACCTTCCTCATTATCAAGGATATGGGGTCTTCTAGTGGGCAAGATTGACTCATATGCAGATAATCAAAACATCAGTGCACAGATAGGACTTAGTAGCCAATAAGTATCTGCTCCATCATATCCCTCTATGTGCAATCTTAGAAGAGTACATGTATTAAATGAAAACACTTAAAATTGGTTTCTTCTGGGTTGGAGGAGACCATTATTTTAGAGAAATCTTTAGTTAAATAATATATTTCAACATATTTAATTAAATAATATATTTCAATCATATAAGAAAATAGGACAAATACTATATGATTCCACTTACATGAGGTACCTAGAATAGTCAAATTCAGAGGCAGAAAGAATGGTGGTTGCCCGGGGCTGCTGGGAGAAGAAACAAGTAGGGAGTTGTTATTTAATATCATGGAGTTTCAGTTTTACAAGATGAAAAGGGTTCTCAGGATGATGCTGATGATGGTACTACAATGATGTGAATGTACTTAATGTTGCTGAACTGTACACTTGAAAACAGTCAAAATAACACACTTTATGCTGTGCATATTTTACCACAATGAAAATAATACAAATGAAATAGAAATTAATAAAAGAGATTACCATGTTCCAACCATGGATATATGTGTTTTGTCATATATTCTTTAGATTTCTCTCATTTTAAAGAAATAAAATGCTAAAATACAGTAAATGCCTCCCTTCTCTCTGCCTCACACTTTTCTCCTCTTTTTCTGTCTCGTCAGCTATAGGTACTATCCTAAAGTTTGGGTGCATTATTTCTACGCGTTTAAAAATACTTTTACGGCTGGGCGCAATGGCTCACGCCTGTCATCCTAGCACTTTGGGAGGCCGAGGTGGGCGGATCACGAGCTCAGGAGATCGAGACCATTCTGGCTAACACAGTGAAACCCTGTCTCTACTAAAAATACAAAAAACTAGCCGGGCATGGTGGCAGGCGCCTGTAGTCCCAACTATTCGGGAGGCTGAGGCAGGAGAATGGCATGAACCCGGGAGGCGGAGCTTGCAGTGAGCCAAGATGGTGCCACAGCACTCCAGCCTGGGCGACAGAGCCAGACTCTGTCTCAAAAAAAAAAAAAAAAAAAAATTGCTTTTACTACAGTCAATGTCCTCTTTACAGAGACTACTAGAAACACATCTGTAGTTGCATGCAAACTGTGGAAAAGTCTGGGGTGTCGCAACACAATGATGGCAGAGAGGACTTAGAACAGGATTTGAGCTTGCAGTAGGTGATTCTTGGGAGGGTTTAAGGAAACAGGGTTTTACTCTGCATTGATGATTTCAGGAAGTAGGGTAATTCTGTGATTACATATCTTAACAAATCTCAAGCCTAGAGCAACACTAAAGTTGTAATTGTTTAAGAAGCAACAGTCACGCATTAGCTAGGATAGATGGATATCTGGTCATTTTTGTGGTACATATTTTTGTTAGTGTGCAAATATTATTATGGCATGGTTGTATTTTTGTTTTATCCCATGATGGTCACAGAACGGCCTTGTCTGATGTTGATGCTCTTTGAAGTTGTTTACAGTCAACAGGAGGATACTAAGGCCTAGCTGTGTGTGCCAGGCTCCTGGATATCAGTGGCTATATTTTCTTTGTTGCTACGTACGTACTTCTTTATAAGCAATAAACATTATTTTATGGGTCTTAGTTTGAATGGATTATAATATGCTGTAGCTTTTTTTACTCCATAGTGTGAGATTAGCTTAGGTTGATAATAGAAGATCTAGTCCATGTCTTTTTGTTTGTTTGTTTTGTTTTGTTTTGTTTTGTTTTGTTTTGTTTTGAGACAAAGTCTCACTCTGTTGCCCAGGCTGGAGTGCAATGGCGTGATCTGGGCTCACTGCAACTTCTGCCTCCCAGGTTCCAGTGATTCTCATGCTTCAGCCTCCTGAGTAGCCAGGATTACAGGTGCGCACCACCACACCTGGCTAATTTTTGTATTTTTAGTAGAGATGGGGTTTCACCATTTTGGCCAGGCTGGTCTCAAACTCCTGACCTCAGGTGATCCACCCACCTCAGCTTCCCAAAGTGCTGGGATTACAGGCATGAGTCAATATACCCAGCCTAGTCCATGTCTTTTATATGCTGTTGTGCATTCAACTGAAGGATGGTTAGGTTGCTTCTATGTTTTCTTGTTAAAAATTGTGCTGATACACCTTGCATACAAATAAAAGTTTCTCTATACCATTTTTTGCAAAGAGAGCAACCAGGTGTCAGAAAGTAGTAAAATGCTCAACAACGTTGAAAGACTAGACACCAGCTTGAACTGGCTCCCAGGGGCAAAATCTGGGACAATCTGAGGAATAAAA
Source organism: Homo sapiens (assembly GCF_000001405.40). Taxonomy (NCBI): domain Eukaryota; kingdom Metazoa; phylum Chordata; class Mammalia; order Primates; family Hominidae; genus Homo; species Homo sapiens. The sequence goes on along the minus strand of NC_000008.11, from coordinate 24,859,929 downwards.
TAATAAAAATAATGGATTATAATCCATAGAATAGAATACAAGTTCATGCTACTTGAAATAATTGAATATTATCAAATACTCACATGCATTGCAATTTTAATCAAACTGTTCCTTTATTGCTGTGTTTTTGTGATATAGCTAAGAAATCATTTCTTATCCAAAGAACATAAATACATTTTCCTATAAAAGTTTTAAAGTTTTGATCTTTGCATGTAGCTTTCTAATAAATGTAATTTGTTTTTGCTTATGACGTGAGGAAGGGAATCTAATATCCTTTTCCACATGGGTAACCACTTGTTCCAGAACTATGGAATGCTTTCAGTATGTTAAACAAAAATTTCAAGGCTCTTTATTCTGATTTACTGATATATTTATCTCTTAATTAACTGCTCTATTAATTATAGCTATTAACTGATATATTTGTCTCTTAATTAGTATAAAGCTTTAAATTAAGACTTGATATCTGGTTAGTCATCTGTCACTATTCTTCTTCAATATTGTTGGCTCTTTTTGGCCATAATCTTTGATACACATTTAAGCCTCCTGTTAAGTAAATTCTGTGAAACATCTTACTGGGATTTTGATATGAATTGCGTTGAATTTACAGATTTCAATAATCATAATATCAAATGTCTTCATTTTTAATTATGGAATATTTCTCCATTCCTTTTAGTCTTACTATATTCTATCCTTTTCTTCATAATTATTTTATACATACTTTTTAGATACATACCCAGATATTTGTATTAGCTGGGAATTGCCTGGCTGCCTGAGAGAGACCTTTATTTCAGTATCTTTAAAATATTAGAGCTCAACCCTCTAAATAGAACCCAGTGTTAGGTAGTTGCTGGTATCTCACTGAATCCAAATGCTAAGGGTAAGGTCTCTGGATTTTCTCTTCTTCTCTGTCATGGTCCCCAAATGGTTTCTGGAACTTCTGCTGTAGTGTCTGATTCCAAGAGGCTGGAAGGAGGGAGTACAGAAGGACAAAAAGGGATTCCTATCCAACGATGTTTGCTCACACCGAATTAGAAAATTTAACTTCCAATAGAGGCTGGAAGGTAGAGTTTTTCAGCTGGATATATTGTCACTCTGAATAAAATCGGAGTTCTTGGCTGGGTGCGGTGGCTCATGTCTATAATCCCAGCACTTTGGAAGGCTGAGGCGGGCAGATCACTTGAGGTCAGGAGCTCAAGACCAGCCTGGCCAACATGGTGAAACCCCATCTCTACTAAAAAATACAAAAAAGCTGGGCATGGTGGCCTGTACCTGTAATCCCAGCTACCTGGGAGGCTGAGGCAGGAGAATGGCTGGAACCCGAGAGGCAGAGGCTGCAGTGAGCTGAGATTGTGCCACCACATTCCAGCCTGGGCAACAGAAGGGGACTCTGTCTCCAAAAAAAAAAAAAAAAAAAATCGAGTTCTCTTATTAAGAAAGAAAAGGAAAAGTACATATGGGATGTACTAGCAGTTGCTGCTATAGGTTCTTTTAACTTTTGTTATTTAAAATATCTTTTTCAGATTAAAAATATCTTGTTGATTGGTATTCATAGGGATACCTATCCTATTTCTATTCTTAAAACATAATTTACATGCAGAAAAACTTACCCTTCTTAGTACATTTCTGTGAGTTTTGAGAAACACATGGTCATTGTTTAGCTTGAGGAACACATCAGACAGAGTGAGAAACAGACTATTATGAAGTCTGGTCAGAGAAGTAGGCAAGACCTCACTATTAGGGGGCATTATAGGTGATGTTAGAGAGGCTGGTTTTAGTCTAAATGCAGTAGGAAGCCACTGGAGAGTTTTAAGCAGGGGAGTGATGTGATGTAATTGATGTTGGAAAACTCATTTTGAGTTTTCTCTGGAGAATAGATTGTAGAGGACGCAGGGAAGAAAAGAGTTCAAGCATGAGGCTCTTGAATATTCCAGGCAAGAGTTCACAGTCATTGAACAAGGGTGGTGGCACTGGAGATGCCATATACTCACAGATGCAGTGAGTATATGGCAGTCAACAGGATTTGCTCTTGAATTTTCATCTTCAATGATTTCTATTACTTGGATGTGATTCCCTCTGGAATCAGATGTTCAGAATAATCACCGTAATTTGTGAATTTCCTTGCTTGCATACACTCTGCTAATTTGGCAAAGCTGTTATTTTTTCTCATTTCCCCTCGATGATCCCAAGTGTGATCTACAAGCTGCGTGATATAGTTACTTTTATGGATAAGAGAAAAGAATGAAAAAATATTCTATTTAATAAAAGAATTTTAAACATGCTCATATAATCTGGCTTTTACATGAGGATTTAAAAGTGAGTTAAAAAAAAAAACTACTGGATGGAGAACTTTTCTCAGGAGCTTTGGGAAGGTCTTGCCCTCTTAAATCTCTTCCATAAATTGCTTAACTTCCATTAACAATATTCTTTAACATTTTTTAATGTAGCTTTCCTAAGAAGAATGGCATATTAAATCCTCAACACTGTGTTATACATTTCTTTATTAATTCACTTTGCCTTCTGAATCATTTCTGATTGCACGTAGAAGTTGATATTTCTAACAATCAGTTTCATTAACTCAAGCAGAGTAAAAAGGGACAGAATCTATTTGAAATAAAGAGATGAACAAATGCAATGAATAGACTGCAAGAAGTTCTCTAGTCCTGAGGCCCCCTGGCCACCTGGTCTACAAAGGTTTTGGTAGAACTGTAATAAAAATGCATATCATAAAGCAGAGATAGACTATGCAAATAAATAGGGAAAGAATACCAATAAAATATGAATAAAAAATGGAAAGCCATCACATTAATAAAAAAAGAACGTAACTTTGAACCATAAAAGACAGCATAAATACTGTATTTGAGCTATAAATTTGGGTCCGGACTTCCTGGAACCAATATTAAAAAAGAGTCCTAGCCAATTGCCCAGTTCTTATTATAAATATATCAGGAATCCCAGTTTGAGCCTAAGAAGGGTTTAATGTAGAATTGAAGTTTGTCTAGGTCTACAGTGTACCGGCTGTGTGTCTCCCAGGTACCTCCTGGAAATAGACTTCTAAAAGAAGTGTCCTTTAGGGGCAATGCATTTGTGGGCAGGAATCAGACATCCATGTGTGTCATGTCACCCAGTAGTCTTCTGAGCAATTCCTCTTTTTGGAGCCCTAGTGTGTAAATAAACGTGATCCAGACATGAAATGTCACAGTTTGAAAGTCAAGCTCCATAGCAGAATTTCCCAAAATGATATATGTTGGGACATTTTCCCACAGGATGTTAATACATATTTTGAAAAACAAAATGTGTGTGTTAAACATATCTAAATAGGAGCCTTTTTAGCAGCTGAGTCCTATTAACAATCACATGAGCAGGCTTAAGGCAGATTTTAGTAACTGTTACTTCCAACTGCTTATGCAAAACAGCCTTGCAAAGTCTATTCTCTACAGTAATTCTGGGTGTTCCCAGAGGGTTTCTGAACAGTTCTGGAGGGCTTCCCTGTGATGTCTGCTGGATACAGCTGCAAGTGCTTTTGATCATTACTGCTTCTGGGTTGCACCTCTGTCTGATTCTGTTTCCATCTTCACACATGGCACAGCAATCTCTTGCCGGGGAATATGGTCTCTTTTCAGGTCATACATTACTGTTACCCTTGCTAGATATTGCAGTACATCCAGGACCTTACACTACACTGCTTCTGCTTCTGCTATTTCCTACTGGCGACAAGGTTTTCTGCTTGGAGCAACTATTACTTCCACTATATCCTCTGGGCCTGCTGTCCTGAGGGAATATGTATTACAAATACATATTCACCAATGCACTAGAAATTTTAATAGGCTAAGTTGGCTGCTTATCAGCGATGAAGTGGAGATAAATGACAACCGAAATGGTAGTACTTCAATATCTTACATAATTTGGGGTGCAACGGCCCTGCATTAATTGGAGTGAGAGGCCGTTAGGTCTTAAAGGCTGGCATCTTGGCTCCACTTCCCACATCAAAGACGTCAGAGCACTGGGCTTGGTGGTTTATGGCAGGCTCAGGTCCTTGTCCATTGTGGGCTGGGTAAACAGACTCAATCTGCAATTTCACTATTTTAGAGGAAGGGAAGAAGTAGAAAGCCTTGTTTAGGTCTCCAGTTAAGCTATATGCCTCAGGACTCACCAGAAAAGCTCTGCATTTTGTGTATAAATTGCTTGTTCAGCGGTTAAGGAAGTGGTACTTTGTTTGCCATTGGTCTATTGTCTTTTGTCTATTGCCCCTCCCCTTATAGAAAACCCGTGGAACCAGAAACCTACATCAAATTACTAGTATTAATACTAATTGCTAATATTAATACTAATTACTGATATTAATTACTAATATTAATGCTAATTATCAATGTGTTATAAAGAAAAAATGCAAACCAAAATGGAATAAATACATTTTTCAAAAGTGTGTATTTGAGAAAACTGACTGTAACAAACTCTAGTGACTCATGTTAAACTTACATTAAACACACTAATGTGGTTTACAGGTCAATGTAAAAGCCAAAACCATAAAAATATAAGAAAATACACGTGAATATTTTTTATTAGGATGGAGAAGAATGTTGTCTGCCAAAACACAGTAAACAAATAAAAAAGGAAAAGATCAGTAGCTTTGACCACACTTAAAAAAACAACAATCCGAGGCCGGGCGCGGTGGCTCACGCCTGTAATCGCAGCACTTTGGGAGGCCGAGGTGGGCAGATCAGAAGGTCAGGAGATCGAGACCATCCTGGCTAACACAGTGAAACCCCGTCTCTACTAAAAATACAAAAAAATTAGCGAGGCGTGATGGTGGGCTCTTGTAGTCCCAGCTACTCAGGAGGCTGAGCCAGGAGAATGGCTTGAATCCGGGGGGCGGAGCTTGCAGTTAGCAGATATACAGTCACTGCACTCCAGCCTGGGTAACAGAGTGAGACTCTATCTCAAAACAACAACAACAAAAAATCCTCTTTGTAAGTCAAAATGTACCAGAAGCAATATTACTGAAAGGAAGGTTGAATAGTAATTGAGATCACAGACTTTACATAATCTTATCTGACTTTTTGAAAATAAGAGTTGATGAAGTCAATGAATCATTTAGCAATAGCTTTCAAAATATAAAAGGGTAAAAACTTTTTGATCTAGCAATTGCACTGTTATGAATTGATTGTGCATATATATTTGTAATGTACAAATATGTTTATTGGTGTATTATACAATATGCTAATTGCTATTGTATGACAACAATAACAACAACTGGAAACAACTTTCTATCAAGAGCGGACTTGTGTGATGTATTTTGTTACATCCGCACAATGGGATAGGATGCAGCCACTAAAAAGAATGAAGTAGCTTTATATATATATATATATATATATATATATATATATATATATGTATATATTTATTTGTATATATTTATATATATTTATTTGTATATATTTATATTTATTTATTTATATATATTTATATATAATATATTTATATATATTTATATATAATATATTTATATATTTACATATATTTATATATTTACATATATTTATATATTTATATATTTTATATACATATTTTAATATATGTATATTTATATATTTGTATATATATTTATATATTTTGTATATATATATTGTATATATATTATATATTTATATATTTACATATAGTATATATATATTTGTATATATTTATATATTTGTATATATTTATAGATATATTTTATATATATTTTTATAAATATATATTTTATATATATATTTATATATGGAAAGATTTCCAGAACTGCTAGGTGAGAAAATGATCTATAGACGTATGCTTGATTTTTTTTTTTTTTTGTTTAAAAGATCTACATATTAGTATTTGCAGCTTTTTCTTTTCCTGATATAATCAGAGAAACCATTGACAGAGGCTACTTTTGGGGAATAGAACTGGAATTTGGTGGAAGGAAGATGTGTAACTTTCTGTTTAATTTTTTCATATGTCTATGATTATTTAGAAATGGAAATTTTATTTACTTTTTGAGATGGAGTCTTGCTCTGTCACCCAGGGTGGAGTGCAGTGGTATAATCTTGGCTCACTGCAGCCTCCGCCTCCTAGGTTCAGCTGATTCTCCTGCCTCAGCCTGCTGAGTAGCTGGGATTACAGGCATGTGCCACCACACCCAGCCAATATTTTTAGTTTTAGAGGAGACAGGGTTTCACCATGTTGGCCAGGCTTGTCTTGAACTCCTGACCTCAGGTAATCTGCCTGCCTCGGCCTCCCAAAATGCTGGGATTACAGGCGTGAGCCACCGTGTCTGGCCAAAAATTTTATTTATTTTATAGAAAAGCATATACTTATATTTTAAAACCTCATGCTGTTACTATAAATACATTTTATCTGTCAATTTTAAAAAGAGAGCATATACCATAATCTGACACCTCTGAGGCTAATCCTGTTATAAATTTGGGAAAATTACTTTATTTCTCAGTCTTATTTTACTCATTTGTAAAATGGGAAAAATAATGTGTACTTCATAGGATTTTTTGAAGATTGAATGAGATAATGGCATATAGAAACACTCAATAAGTATTTGCTATTATTATTAATGTAATTAGAAATTATCCACTGGCTTTTAAACTGTTCTTATTTGCATTATATTGTGTGTCATTGCTGTGGGATTAAAATGCAATTCTTAGTTTTTCATATTCTACTCAGAGTTAATGTTGTACCAATTCCCATAAAATATATAAACTTGCAATTGTAAGGTCTGTTTATCCCCTTTGCCATGCCTTTATGCTATTGTTATTACAGGTATTGAATATGTATTATAAAAGCAACAAGATGATATTATCATCTTGCTTTAAGGAATCGTATGTATTTTTAAAAAACGAACAGGAAAATGATCTTTTTTTTATCAGATATTTAAAGCCTCTGATGCGTTTTATTTTTTGGTGAAGATTCATAATTCCATCTGTTATTTGCTTTCAGACTGAAGAGTGTTCCTTAGCATTTCTTGTTGTGCAGGTCTGCTTTATGGATCCTTACATATCCCACTTATTGTGTATTTTCTTATATTGCAGAAATATTAATGTGTTTTATTATGGAGCCCTGAAGCAGATCCTGCTTGGGATATTATATTGTGTCACTTGGATAAATTCTACATAACCTCAGGAGCTGACTCAACAAGCTTTGGTGATAGTCTATGGCAGTGGAATTAGTAAAAGAGAAAGAAAGAAGGCAAAGATGATTCCCAGTTCTATTGCTTGGGCAATAAGGGTGAGTGCAGTGTCATTTAATGAGAGGAGTGACAAAATAGCCATTTTAATGGGGAATTGGAGTGAGAGGGGTTGCCAAGTTTAGTTTTGTACATGTGAAAGTGGCACATCCATGTCCAGGAAGTAGGTAGGTACACAGGTCTGGAGCCTAGAAGGGAGGTCTACATTAGAGATGTTCAGGCCTCTGTGCCATCACAGTGGGTGATAATTGAAGCAGTGAGATCACGCAGTTATTCAAAGATAATGTACAGGACAAAAAAAATCAGACCTATGGTAAATCTTAGCATCAGCAGTTTCAATGGAGTAAAGGGGGAAAAAGCAGATTTCAATGAGATGAAGAATGACTGGAAGGAGAAAATAAAACAGTGAGTGTAGATGGCTCATTTAAGAAGCCTGGTTGTGAAGAGAGAGAACCAAAGAGGTTTTAATTTACTTAGTTTTTCAACATGTATGAGACCTGAGTATATTCTTCCCATGTTGATAGAAGAAACCATAGAGGGAGAGGTTTAAAGATATTTGATCAAGGACCATTCTCCAAAGGGGGGATGAGATCTGGAGGACAGGAGGTGGAGAAGGAGATGTGAACATTAGGGAACAGGTTAACTCTTGTAACAAAAACAGGAAGACAAGGGTAAAAATGGATGCAGGTGAGGGCATTCTTGCCTAACAGCTCCAATTTTCTCAGTGAAGTGGAAGATGAGTACTGAGAGTGGAGGGGATAGATGAGCTGCTTAGATGGTTTCATGAGAACAGATAGGTTTTGAAACAGCCACTGTGGAGACTCAGAGCAAGAGTTAATTAGGGAAATGGAAGGTCTTGTAGATGGAAACCAGGATCTCGTAAATCTGTAGTTACACCAACAATTCCTTCTTCCCACTATGAAAATCGGAAGAAGAATCTGCCTGACATCATAAAGTGTCCCTCAATCCATATGTGTTTGTGACAGGATGTTCCTCTCTTTCTCCTTGTGAGTTCTCAGCATCCAGTGACATTCTGCAGCCTCCTATAACCACTGAAGTATAAGCATGAAATTTTCAGCCATTTGACACTAAATCTTTCCTCTTGGGTCTTCTCACATCAATGGCTATATGAATACAGCATTATAAAGATCTAAGCATAAACCTACCTGAGAGAAGAACACCTAAATGTTAGCTTCGGTGCATGATTTAAGCAAAGTCATTGCCTGAAAGAAAAATAATTTTCTACTCTAGGAACAGTTCCCATGAGACGTGACAGCCAAAGCCCTATGAGCTCCCCAAAGGCTTCTCCCTGAGACTAAAAATGCTTCATTCAGGGTATTTCATGTGGGATATCTTTAGTAGCCATTGATTTCTTATAGAAACTATGCATCATGCTTCCCCGTTCCTTTCATTCATGTGCTCTTGACAGCCTTTTTGCTGAACCTTACAAGGGAAATAAATGTATCACAGTAGGCTCTGAAAGGACATGAATTTAGAGATCTACTTGAGTTTTATGGGGACCCCAAAGCACTGTCAGGAAAGGTCTGAACTTGGAGCCTATTCCTAGAGAGCAGATGCCATCAGCTGGCAGATGATCTTGGGGTCAATGGATTTGGCTTTAGGGGACAGGAAGGCAGAAGAGCAGAGACCTACAGCTGACAAGCTGACTGACGTTCATAAGGGATGTCACAGAACCAAATTAGCCCACGTGCTAGTGGAGGAGTAGGGAAAATTGTCCTCACTTAGAGAAGCAAGAGGCTGTATCAGAGACAAAGCCCTGCTAATTGGTGAAAGTCTAAGTAGATGACAAGAGCAGAGCAGGGGAGATACCAGAGTCACTTCAGTTTCTTTGTGCATTTGTTCATTCATTCATGCAGGAGGTATCTGTGGAGCTAGCCCCAGAAAAGAGGCATGCCTTAGAAACTGGCTAGGAAAGGATGGGGGATTTTAAATGGAGGGAGTGAGAGGAATATGATGCAAAAGTAGAAAACTACAAATATAACATTAAGAATGGTGAATGGTTTCATTTGCTGAGAATAAAATGATTTTTTTTTTTTGAGATGGAGTCTCACTCTGTCACCCAGGCTGGAGTGCAGTGGTGTGATCTCAGCTCCCTGCAACCTCTGTCTCCTGGGTTCAAGCAATGATCCTGTCTCAGTCTCCCAAGTAGCTGGGATTACAGGTGTGTTCCACCATGCCAGCCTAATTTTTGTGTTTTTAGTAAAGACAGGGTTTCACCATGTTGGTCATACTGGTCTTGAACTCCTGACCTCAGATGATCCACCTGCCTCAGCCTCCCAAAGTGCTGGGATTACAGGTATGAGCCGCTGTAGCTGGCTAATGAAAAGAATTTGGAGAGAAGTTTGGATTAGATTGGGTAGAATCTTAAATGCTGGGATAAAGTCTCCCCTGCTTTCCATGGCATTCAACAGGAGTTTTTATTAGGTTGATGCAAAGGTAATTGTGGGGTTTGGCATTACTTTTAATGTAATATGAAACAACCTGATACAAAGGTCAATAGGAATGGACAAGGTGCACTGGAAAGGAGAGACTGAAGATCAAAAGACCAGCTGGGTAAGTTTTGGAAAGCCCACCTGACAGAGGCTAAGGAGTCAGGGAAGCCATTGTGGGACTGGAGGAGAGGAGAACACATAAGACATCAAGGAGTTATAAATACGCTGACAGGATATGGCACAACAACAAATAGGATGTGATTGATAAGGGAGGAAAGACTTGAGGTTACAAACCCGGGAATCTGTGAGGATGCTGGTACCTTGACTACCCAGAGAGAAAACAGTCCCCAGTGATTGTCCCACGTGTCACCTTTGTCAGAGCACTTAGAACTTTCTTCTTCCCTTTCTTTGTTTTATTTTTTTTTTATTCACTAGAAAGTATGCTTCATGCAACTGGAGAAATATGTCTTCATCAATATATCCGTTCCTCCTAAATCCTCAACAATCAGATAATTGGTGCTCAATAAATATGTGTTGAATAAATGCTGAGTGGTGCCCTTTTATATAAATGGAAATAAAAATGATGGGAATAATAAGTAATCTAAGAGAAAATAATTTCAGAAGTTACAATAGCTTAGCTCTGCCAATAACCAGTCAAATGGATTTAGAAATATCACATAGTGCCTATTCACAATAGCAAAGACATAGACTGGATTAAGAAATTGTGGCATGTATACACCATGGAATACTATGCAGCCATAAAAAAGGATGGGGTCATGTCCTTTGTAGAGACATGGATGAAGCTGGAAACCATTATTCTGAGCAAACTATCATAAGGACAGAAAACGAAATACTGCATGTTCTCACTCATAGGTGGGAAATGAACAATGAGAACACTTGGATACAGGGTGGGGAACATCACACACTGGGGCCTGTCATGGGGTGGGGGGGAGGGGGGAGGGATAGCATTAGGAGATAATACCTAATGTAAATGACGAGTTAATGGGTGCAGCACACCAACATGGCACATGTATACATATGTAACAAGCCTGCATGTTGTGCACATGTACCCTAGAACTTAAAGTATAATAAAAAAATAAAGAAATATCACATAGTGGCTCTTGTCTCAGTTTTCTGATCTAAATCAGGGATAATATTATTTCGCCCCCCCCCATTTTATGGTTTTGAACATAAAATCATACAATGGGTATGAAAGCACTTTGGAAAATGAAAAGTGGTGATTCAAATATAAGATTTTATCAGGGGAGGAGGCAATGTTATTTGTAACTTGTTCTCTAGAAGTATAACAATTTTGGAATTGAATCATCTTTAGAAATTATTAAAAGCACTAAATTATTGTTTTCTTTCTTTTTTCATCCCTTAACATGATATTGTGACTAAGAGTGCTTGTTGGATAAAGCTTTGATGTATGAGTCTAAAGGGGCTTGGAGTAGCCTCTCACCAATTAAATTTCCTCTAGACAAACCCCGCATAACTTTAAAATGAGCTAATGATAATAATACGAGGTACGATTTTCTGGAAAGTGAATCTTTTGTCAGAAAGAAGATTGGGCAGTAAATATGTCTCAGGAGGGAGCTGAGGTCTCTACACAGTTCAAACTAAATGCACAACAGTATTTCAGATGTCACAAGGTGACTGCATCTCCTAGAATATCATTAATCAATGTTCTAGGGTTTTGATAGAGAAAGCATCCTTTGCTCTCCTGGGGCTCTTGTGCTTTTTCCACTGAGTATTTCCTTTGGAAAAGTTGTCATCCTTCTTTCTGCATTTTATGAGAAGCTGCCTCTCTGCCTGAGCTGTTGGTTTGTAGGTCAGAGTTGAGTGGTCACATGGGAAGAGCTAGGAAGAAAAAGGTTTGGAGTAAGACTGCTAAGTCTACCGACCTCAACCAGACTGGGTGTGGGTTTGGGGTGGGTGGGGGAAAAGAGAAACCAATGTTCCCGGTTCTGGGTGCTTGAGGGTCTCCTCTATGGGGACAGCCAGGGCTGAGTTGCTCAGTGATCAGGTGACAGGTCAGGAGGGAGAACAGGGATGACAGTGTTGGGTCATATAACATGCAATGGAAGGACTATCTAATACAAAACAAAAAAAAAAGCAGCTCATGCAAAATAGTTATCTTACATTCACTTAAATTTTGTTTATTCACACCCACCCTTGAGGCTGCTGGTTGTCTTTCTGTGAAACTGCCCAGGATGGCTGGTTTTTTGTCTTGATATAGTGGAAATCACATGAATTTGGAGTCAGATAAATTTGGGTCCAAATCCCAGCTCTGCCTTCTCACAGCTGTATGACCTTGGACACACTATCTAACCCCAGTGTGCAATATGGGAAATGGGCTCCTCCTCAAGGATTTGGTGGAAGGATTAAAATGATATATTAAGTTGGTACAAAAATAATTTCGGCTTTTGCCATTACTTTTGCACCAACCGAATAGCTTGCAGCTCATGCCTTGTATTCAATATATTCAGTGTCACTATCACTATTCTCTCCATCTCCCCTACTCCTGTTGCTTCTATGATCAGTTAGTCTATTACATTTATCATATCAGTATTTTATGCTTTTGTTGTGTCTCAACTATAGGAAGTATTAAAAGGGAAGAAAGAAGTTGAAGAACTACATAGTAGGAAATATCCCAAATCCACCATCTCTTCTCTCTGGGAGGTGGTCTTAGTTTCTGGAAACGTTAATACTAAGTCATCAGCAACCCTTATGCATAATAGTAAATGAGACAGTCACTATTCTTATTAGGATGCTATCTTAGTTGGATTGGGCTGCTATGACAAATGACCTTAAACTGGGTGGCTTATAAACAACAGGTATTTCCCACAGTTCTAGAGGCTGGGAAGTCCAAGATGAAGACACTGACAGATTCATTGTCTGCTGGGGGGCCCATTTCCTGCTTCATAGATGATATCTTCTTCTTGTGTTCTCACATGGTGGAAAGGGATAGTTGTCTCTCGGGTCTCTCTTATAAGGGCACTAATTTTATTCATGAATGCTCCACCATTGTGACCTAATCACCTTCCAAAAGGCCCCACCTCTTAATAGCGTGGGAGTTAGAAATTCAGTATATGAATTTTGGGGAAACATAAATGTTCAAACCATAGAAAGTATGGGTTTTTCCAACCAAGAGAACTTTTGGTAGGGGGCTTTTCTGTGATTTACTTTAGCCTACTAGCTGTTGAAAAAATTCTCCATTGCATAATATTCTAGCTGAATTATTTATATTGCCTACAACTTGATAGCACATTTTTACTCTAGAGAAGACATTACAAAATAGTAACTGGCCATCACAGAGTATTTACATTTTATGACAGGTTATTTACAAACTAGCTTATTTCTTACAACCAATGCATAAAGTAGATTATTTTCTTTGTAAGTGAGGAAATAGAGGTTTAGAGAAATTGAGTGTTGATGGACACATAAAGAAGAGATAGCATTCATGTTTACATCAAATGACTCCAAAACCCATGCTCTGTTAAATAAGACAGTCAAGTAAGTCTAACCTAAATAGAGCTGCTTTCTTTGAGACTTCTGGTTGTGTAGTTCAATTAGAGCTGGAACGATCACTTACACAAAATCATTTATATTTTAGTGCTACTGGAAAAATTGAGCCTCTGCAGTGTTCTGCTTTTATCTTGCTTTACTTTCATTAGGCTGGACTTACCTTTACTGTTTTACTTTTGATGCCATTGACCTGGCACACAAACCTAGGGCATGATGTCCCAGTTTCAGAGGCAAGAAGAAAAGAATCTGCTTTATTTAAAAACTATATGCTATATCTGGAGTTTTTCTAGTGAGCTTTTAGTGCTCATGAAAGGCAGCTACATGGAATTTCAAATGACAACTTAGACAAAGATATTTACCAAATAAACACATAAAGATTCCATAGGTTTGCAAACCATCTTCTTTCCGGGAAGACGTAGAAAAGACTTTCAAAAGGCATGGATGACTCAGTCAATATAAAAGCCTTAGACCTCTCTTTCTCAGTTCCACCAAGTCCTAACCTGAACTCAATTAGTTAACACAGTCTCTGTTGCTATCATCCTAGTTCAAACCACCACCTGGGCTGACACCTTTTATATTGCCCAGTATCCAGTTTTCCCGTAACCCCTATGATCTAGCACACTGCAATGTCTGAGTTACTACACCAGGGTAAGCTTATTTTTCTTACTTTAAGATATTTCAGCTAGCAATATCCTCTGCTGAGTATTCTCTTCCTTTGACAATTACATCATTAGCTTGTTGGGTCTTAGCTTAGTTGCTATTTCTGCAGAATGACTTTTCCAACTTTCCCCTCTAAAGCAGCCATCGAGTGACTCTCTGTCTCATCTGCCTCTTACTTTTCCCCACACTATGTATTATGATTTATTATGTTACTGCTTATTTATAGACTTATTTCTTAATCTTGAAACAAACTTTTCAGACTTCTTTGTTCAGGAACTTCAGAACCATGAACAGTGCCACACACCTAGTGAATATTAAATATTTGTTGAGTTCATAATAGAGATCTTATTTTTTTTAAATTTTATTATTATTATACTTTAAGTTTTAGGGTACATGTGCACAATGTGTAGGTGAGTTACATATGTATGCATGTGCCATGTTGGTGTGGTGCACCCATTAACTCGTCATTTAGCATTAGGTATATCTCCTAATGCTATCCCTCCCCCCTCCCCCCACCCCACAACAGTCCCCCGAGTGTGATGTTCCCCTTCCTGTGTCCATGTGTTCTCATTGTTCAATTCCCACCTATGAGTGAGAACATGTGGTGTTTGGTTTTTTTGTCCTTGAGATAGTTTACTGAGAATGATGATTTCCAATTTCATCCATGTCCCTACAAAGGACATGAACTCATCATTTTTTATGGCTGCATAGTATTCCGTGGTATGTATGTGCCACATTTTCGTAATCCAGTCTATCATTGTTGGACATTTGGGTTGGTTCCAATTCTTTGCTATTGTGAATAGTGCCACAATAAACATACGTGTGCATGTGTCTTTATAGCAGCATGATTTATAATCCTTTGGGTATATACCCAGTAATGGGATGGCTGGGTCAAATGGTATTTCTAGTTCTAGATCCCTGAGGAATCGCCACACTAACTTCCTCAATGGTTGAACTAGTTTACAGTCCCACCTACAGTGTAAAAGTGTTCCTATTTCTCCACATCCTCTCCAGCACCTGTTGTTTCCTGACTTTTTAATGATTGCCATTCTAACTGGTGTGAGATGGTATCTCATTGTGGTTTTGATTTGCATTTCTCTGATGGCCAGTGATGGTGAGCATTTTTTCATGTGTTTTTTGGCCGCATAAGTGTCTTCTTTTGAGAAGTGTCTGTTCATGTCCTTTGCCCACTTTTTGATGGGTTGTTTGTTTTTTTCTTGTAAATGCGTTGGAGTTCATTGTAGATTCTGGATATTAGCCCTTTGTCAGATGAATAGGTTGCAAAAATTTTCTCCCATTCTGTAGGTTGCCTGTTCACTCTGATGGTAGTTTCTTTTGCTGTGCAGAAGCTCTTTAGTTTAATCAGATCCCATTTGTCAATTTTGGCTTTTGTTGCTATTGCTTTTAGTGCTTTAGACATGAAGTCCTTGCCCATGCCTATGTCCTGAATGGTAATGCCTAGGTTTTCTTCTAGGGTTTTTATGGTTTTAGGTCTAACATGTAAGTCTTTAATCCACCTTGAATTAATTTTTGTACAAGGTGTAAGGAAGGGATCCAGTTTCAGCTTTCTACATATGGCTAGCCAGTTTTCCCAGCACCATTTATTAAATAGGGAATCCTTTCCCCATTGCTTGTTTTTCTCATGTTTGTCAAAGATCAGATGGTTGTAGATATGCAGCGTTAATTCTGAGGGCTCTGTTCTGTTCCATTGATCTATATCTCTGTTTTAGTACCAGTACCATACTGTTTTGGTTACTGTAGCCTTGTAGTATAGTTTGAAGTCAGGTAGCGTGATGCCTCCAGCTTTGTTCTTTTGGCTTAGGATTGACTTGGCGATGCGGGCTCTTTTTTGGTTCCATATGAACTTTAAAGTAGTTTTTTCCAATTCTGTGAAGAAAGTCATTGGTAGCTTGATGGGGATGGCATTGAATCTATAAATTACCTTGGGCAGTATGGCCATTTTCAAGATATTGATACTTCCTGCCCATGAGCATGGAATGTTCTTCCATTTGTTGATATCCTCTTTTATTTCATTGAGCAGTGGTTTGTAGTTCTCCTTGAAGAGGTCCTTCACGTCCCTTGTAAGTTGGATTCCTAGGTATTTTATTCTCTTTGAAGCAATTGTGAATGGGAGTTCACTCATGATTTGGCTTTCTGTCTGTTATTGGTGTATAAGAATGCTTGTGATTTTTGTACATTGATTTTGTATCCTGAGACTTCGCTGAAGTTGCTTATCAGCTTAAGGAGATTTTTGGGCTGAGAAAATGGGGTTTTCTAGATATACAATCATGTCATCTGCAAACAGGGACAATTGGACTTCCTCTTTTCCTAATTGAATACCCTTTATTTCCTTCTCCTGCCTGATTGCCCTGGCCAGAACTTCCAACACTATGTTGAATAGGAGTGGTGAGAGAGGGCATCCCTGTCTTGTGCCAGTTTTCAAAGGGAATGCTTCCTGTTTTTGCCCATTCAGTATGATATTGGCTGTGGGTTTGTCATAGATAGCTCTTATTATTTTGAGATAGGTCCCATCAACACCTAACTTATTGAGAGTTTTTAGCATGAAGGGCTGTTGAATTTTGTCAAAGGCCTTTTCTGCATCTATTGAGATAATCATGTGGTTTTTGTCTTTGGCTCTGTTTATATGCTGGATTACATTTATTGATTTGCGTATATTGAACCAGCCTTGCATCCCAGGGATGAAGCTCACTTGATCATGGTGGATAAGGTTTTTGATGTGCTGCTGGATTTGGTTTGCCAGTATTTTATTGAGAATTTTCGCATCAATGTTCATCAAGGATATTGGTCTAAAATTCTGTTTTTTGGTTGTGTCTCTGCCAGGCTTTGGTATCAGGATGATGCTGGCCTCATAAAATGAGTTAGGGAGGATTCCCTCTTTTTCTATTGATTGGAATAGTTTCAGAAGGAATGGTACCAGCTCCTCCTTTTACCTCTGGTAGAATTTTGCTGTGAATCTATCTGGTCCTGGACTCTTTTTGGTTGGTAGGCTATTGATTATTGCCACAATTTCGGAACCTGTTATTGATCTATTCAGAGATTCAACTTCTTCCTGGTTTAGTCTTGGGAGGGTGTATGTGTCGAGGAATTTATCCATTTCTTCTGGATTTTCTAGTTTATTTGCGTAGAGGTGTTTGTAGTATTCTCTGATGGTAGTTTGTATTTCTGTGGGATCGGTGGTGATAACCCCTTTATCATTTTTTATTGTGTCTATTTGATTCTTCTCTCTTTTCTTCTTTATTAGTCTAGCTAGTGGTCTATCAACTTTGTTGATCCTTTCAAAAAACCAGCTCCTGGATTCATTAATTTTTTGAAGGGTTTTTTGTGTCTCTATTTCCTTCAGTTCTGCTCTGATTTTAGTTATTTCTTGTCTTCTGCTAGCTTTTGAATGTGTTTGCTCTTGCTTCTCTAGTTCTTTTAATTGTGATGTTAGGGTGTCAATTTTGGATCTTTCCTGCCTTCTCTTGTGGGCATTTAGTGCTATAAATTTCCCTCTACACACTGCTTTGAATGTGTCCCAGAGATTCTGGTATGTTGTCTTTGTTCTCGTTGGTTTCAAAGAACATCTTTATTTCTGCCTTCATTTCATTATGTACCCCGTAGTCATTCAGGAGCAGGCTGTTCAGTTTCCATGTAGTTGAGCGGTTTTGAGTGAGTTTCTTAATCCTGAGTTCTAGTTTGATTGCACTGTGGTCTGAGAGACAGTTTGTTATAATTTCTGTTCTTTTACATTTGCTGAGGAGAGCTTTACTTCAAAGTATGTGGTCAATTTTGGAATAGGTGTGGTGTGGTGCTGAAAAAAATGTATATTCTGTTGATTTGGGTTGGAGAGTTCTGTAGATGTCTATTTGGTCCGCTTGGTGTAGAGCTGAGTTCAATTCCTGGGTATCCTTGTTAACTTTCTGTCTCGTTAATCTGTCTAATGTTGACAGTGGGGTGTTAAAGTCTCCCATTATTATTGTGTGGGAGTCTAAGTCTCTTTGTAGGTCACTCAGGACTTGCTTTATGAATCTGGGTGCTCCTGTATTGGGTGCATATATATTTAGGATAGTTAGCTCTTCTTGTTGAATTGATCCCTTTACCATTATGTAATGGCCTTCTTTGTCTCTTTTGATCTGTGTTGGTTTAAAGTCTGTTTTATCAGAGACTAGGATTGCAACCCATGCCTTTTTTTGTTTTCCATTTGCTTGGTAGATCTTCCTCCATCCTTTTATTTTGAGCCTATGTGTGTCTCTGCACGTGAGATGGGTTTCCTGAATACAACACACTGATGGGTCCTGACTCTTTATCCAATTTGCCAGTCTGTGTCTTTTAATTGGAGCATTTAGTCCATTTACATTTAAAGTTAATATTGTTATGTGTGAATTTGATCCTGTCATTATGATGTTAGCTGGTTATTTTGCTGGTTAGTTGATGCAGTTTCTTCCTAGCCTCGATGGTCTTTACAATTTGGCATGATTTTGCAGTGGCTGGTACCAGTTGTTCCTTTCCATGTTTAGTGCTTCCTTCAGGAGCTCTTGTAGGGCAGGCCTGGTGGTGACAAAATCTCTCAGCATTTGCTTGTCTGTAAAGTATTTTATTTCTCCTTCACTTATGAAGCTTAGTTTGGCTGGATATGAAATTCTGGGTTGAAAATTCTTTTCTTTAAGAATGTTGAATATTGGCCCCCACTCTCTTCTGGCTTGTAGAGTTTCTACCAAGAGATCTGCTGGTAGTCTGATGGGCTTCCCTTTGTGGGTAACCCGACCTTTCTCTCTGGCTGCCCTTAACATTTTTTCCTTCATTTCAACTTTGGTGAATCTGACAATTATGTGTCTTGGAGTTGCTCTTCTCGAGGAGTATCTTTGTGGCATTCTCTGTATTTCCTGAATCTGAATGTTGGCCTGCCTTGCTAGATTGGGGAAGTTCTCCTGGATAATATCCTGCAGAGTGTTTTCCAACTTGGTTCCATTCTGTCCGTCACTTTCAGGTACACCAATCAGGATGTAGATTTGGTCTTTTCACAGAGTCCCATATTTCTTGGAGGCTTTGTTCATTTCTTTTTATTCTTTTTTCTCTAAACTTCCCTTCTCACTTCATTTCATTCATTTCATCTTCCATCACTGATACCCTTTCTTCCAGTTGATCGCATCGGCTCCTGAGGCTTCTGCATTCTTCACATAGTTCTGGAGCCTTGGCTTTCAGCTCCATCAGCTCCTTTAAGCACTTCTCTTATTGATTATTCTAGTTATACATTCTTCTAAATTTTTTTCAAAGTTTTAAACTTCTTTGCCTTTAGTTTGAATTTCCTCCTGTAGCTCGGCGTAGTTTGATCATCTGAAGCCTTCTTCTCTCAACTCGTCAAAGTCATTCTCCATCCAGCTTTGTTCCGTTGCTGGTGAGGAACTGCATTCCTTTGGAGGAGGGGAGGCACTCTGCTTTTTAGAGTTTCCAGGTTTTCTGCTCTGTTTTTTCCCCATCTTTGTGATTTTATCTACTTTCGGTCTTTGATGATGGTGATGTACAGGTGGGTTTTTGGTGTCGATGTCCTTTCTGTTTGTTAGTTTTCCTTCTAACAGACAGGACCCTCAGCTGCAGGTCTGTTGGAGTTTGCTAGAGGTCCACTCCAGACTCTGTTTGCCTGGGTATCAGCAGCGGTGGCTGCAGAACAGCAGATTTTTGTGAACCACAAGTGCTGCTGTCTGATCGTTCCTCTGGAAGTTTTGTCTCAGAGGAGTGCCTGGCTGTGTGAGGTGTCAGTCTGCCCCTACTGGGGGATGCCTCCCAGTTAGGCTACTCGGGGGTCAGGGGTCAGGGACCCACTTGAGGAGGCAGTCTGCCCGTTATCAGATCTCCAGTTGTGTGCTGGGAGAACCACTGCTCTCTTCAAAGCTGTCAGACAGGGACATTTAAGTCTGCAGAGGTTACTGCTATCTTTTTGTTTGTCTGTGCCCTGCCCCCAGAGGTGGAGCCTAGAGAGGCAGGCAGGCCTCCTTGAGCTGTGGTGGGCTCCACCCAGTTCGAGCTTCCCAGCTGCTTTGTTTACCTAAGCAAGCCTGGGCAATGGCGGGCGCCCCTCCCCTAGCCTCGCTGCCACCTTGCAGTTTGATCTCAGACTGCTGTGCTAGCAATCAGCAAGACTCCGTGGGTGTAGGACCCTCCGAGCCATGTGCGGGATATAATCTCCTGGTGTGCCGTCTTTTAAGCCCGTCACAACAGCGCAGTATTAGGGTAGGAGTGACCGAATTTTCCAGGTGCCATCTGTCACCCCTTTCTTTGACTAGGAAAGGGAACTCCCTGACCCCTTGCACTTCCCGAGTGAGGCAACGCCTCGCCCTGCTTTGGCTCATGCATGGTGCAGTGCACCCACTGTCCTGCACCCACTGTCTAGCACTCCCTAGTGAGATGAACCCGGTACCTCAGATGGAAATGTAGAAATCACCCGTCTTCTGTGTTGCTCACGCTGGGAGCTGTAGACCAGAGCTGTTCCTATTCAGCCATCTTGGCTGACCCTCGATAGAGATCTTATTTATATTGAGTTGAAGATGAAAGACAAGGAGATATATAGTCAGCAGTATCTTTCAATATAAAAGATAAAAATGTGTGTATAATGTTATACATTATTGTATTGTTAATACATGAAACAATATTTAAATATATTATGCACATAAAAATACATGTATATTTCTATAATGAATTAATCAGAATGGCTTTTTAACAACATAATCCAGATCATATTACTCTTATTCTTAAATCCTTTCAAGACTTAAAGGCCCTACATGACTTGCTTCCTGTTTCAGGTGTATTATCTCCTATAATTTTCTCTCTTACACATTCTCTTTGAGCCATTTCTGGCCTTCACGCTGTTTCTCAAACATACAAGGTCCATCATAATTTAGGGTATTTGCAATAATTCCTCATTCTGTCTGGAATGGTCATCCCTTAGATCTTCTGTAAGTCTTTGCTTAAATTTTACCTTTTCTTTATTTTTTTATTTTTATTTTTGAGACAGAGTCTCGCTTGGTCACCCAGGCTGGAGTGCAGTGGCGCACTCTCGGCTCACTGCAACCTCTGCCTCCCAGGTTCAAGTGATTCTCCTGTCTCAGCCTCTTGAGTGGCTGGGACTGCAGGCACACCACCATGCCTGGCTATTTTTTGTAGTTTTAGTAGAGGTGGGGTTTCCCCATGTTGTCCAGGCTGGTCTTGAACTCGTGGCTTCAAGTGATCTGCCTGCCTCGGCCTCCCAAAGTGCTGGAATTACAGGCATGAGCCACTGGGCCTGGCCCTAAATGTTACCTTTTCAATGAGGTAATCCTATTTTTCTTGTTGGCAATTCCAATCTATTTCATTGCCGATCTTTTGCACTCCTCATCTTCCTTATTCTGCCCACTATTCCCTGATAGCATTTGTCAATCTCTAATACACTCTGTATTTACTTACTTCTATATGCTTATACATTTTATTATTTATCTACTTTAAAATTGTATGTATTATTTATTGTCTGTCTCCACTAGAATAAAACCTTGGGAGATGAGGAAAACATGGGTTTTTGACATTTTATTTCACTCTTGCAGCAGAAGTTCCTCAAACAGTTTCTGGGATATAACAGGTTTTCAGTACCAGTTGCTTGTGAAGTAAGGAGGGCCAGTCCAAGTCTCAAACTGAAGAACTTGGAACCTGATGTTTGAAGGCAGGAAGCCTCTGGCACAGGAGAAAGATGTAGGCTGGGAGGCTAGGCCAGTCTTGCTTCTTCATGCTTTTCTGCCTGTTTTATATTCACTGGCAGCTGATTAGATTGTGCCTACCAGATTAAGGGTGGGTCTGCCTTCCCCAGCCCACTGACTCAAATGTTAATCTCCTTTGGCAACATCCTCATAGACACACCCAGGAACAATACTTTGCATCCTTCAATCCAATCCAGTTGACACTCAATATCATCCATCACAGAGGGCCTTCTAAGCCTTTGGAATTTAAAAGTTGCATTATGACCTCAGTTCCCTGATGGGTTGAATAAAATATATGATTTTGTGAATTGTTTGATTTTTTTTCATTGTAAGGGAGAGATATTCTCTTGTAAATTTCTATATTCTAAGTTCAAGTGGAGACTTTGTTCTGTTTATTTTAATGTAATTCTTGCTATGGTTAGGTTTGTCTATCATTTTTCTAGTTGTTTTCAATTTGTCCAATCTGTACTTTAAAAAAATAGCAATGTGTTACCCATAATCAGGAAAAATAACTCAATAGAAACAGACTTAGAAATGATAGATGAAGGAATTAGTAAACAAAAACTTCTAGATAATGAATATAATTATGTTCAAGGATATAAAGAAAAACATTCACACAATGAGGAATCTCAGTAGAAGTAAAAACAAACCACGTAGGGATTTTCAGTTTTAGAATTAAAAAATACAGTATCTGAAATAAAAGTTTCACTGATGGGCTTATCAGAAGATTAGCCTTTATAAGGAAATTCCAGTGATAATGAAGATAAGACAGTAGAACTTGAAGCACTGAGGGAAAAACAATATAAATTGAAGTGAACTGAACCAACATCAAGTGAGACAACATCAGGTGTCATAACATTTGTAGAATTTTATCTCAGAAGGACAGAAGACAGAGATTATTCAGGAAAAAATTGAGAAAATAATGACTTAAAAACTTCCAAATTTAAAGAAAAATAGCAACCCTAATCAGTGTAAACACAAAAATGCCATAAGTAGGTACACACATGAAATCAGTAAAACATATGAAAACCAAGGATAACAAGAAAATAGCAGCTAGAGGGAAAAAAGATGTATTTCCTATAGAGGGTCAATGTTAAAAATCCCTTTGACTTGTCAGAAATAATGCAAGCCAAAAAGCCATGGAATGACACTTTAAAATGCTGAAAGAAGAAAAAATGTCTTACAATGTGCACATGTACCCTAAAACTTAGATAATAATAAAAAAAAAATTAAAAAAAAAAAAAAAGAAAAAATGTCTTGTGTTCTATGTTCATCAAACTTTTTTTTTTAAAATTGGAGGTAAAATAAAAATGTTTTCAAATAAACAAAAGCTGAGAGAACTTGTCACCAGAGGCTTACGCTGCAAAAAATGTTTAAAGAAGCTCTCAGGCTGAAGGAAAATAATACAAGAGGATATTTGGACCTACATGAATGGGTGAAGTGAAATCAGAATGGTAAATATGTGGGTACACATTAATGAATGTTCTCATTTCTCAATTTATTTGAAAAATAATTGGCTGTTTACAGCAGATATTGGTAACAGTGTATTGTGGAGTTTCTAACTTAGGGAGAAGTAAAATGTCTAGTAATAATAGTGAAAAGTGGGGAATGGGAATTCACTGTGTAAAGATTATCAGATTATACATGAGGTGGTATAGTATTCATGATAAAATGTGTTTAAGGGTGCATATTGTAATCTCTAGAGAAATCACTAATAATTATACAAAATATTATGGCTTAAAAAATCCAACAAAGAAGATAAAACAAAAACCTAAAAATGGAAAAAAAAAAAAGACAGCAGATGGGGAAATCATTTGATTTTTGTTTGCTTGGGTGACATGGGATTACATATTCTTTTTTTTTTTTTTTACAGATTTAATAATACAGTAAGCTAAACATTTTAATTGTTATTTATTACTTCTTACTTTCTAGATGTCAGTCCTTAGGAAAATCACTGTAATCCTCTGAGCTTCACTTTCTTCAGTGGAAGAACACGTGGTTAGGCTACATGATTGCTAAGAGCCCAATGATTCTTAATTTCTCTAGGTTTTAGCTCTTTGCCCTGTAACTGAGATTGTAATCTGAGCAGAATTTCAACATGTCCTTTCTTTGATGGGCAGTGGGGAGTCTTGTGTTACCCATGTTGTCAGCATGTAATTAGATTTATGTAGGTCCAAGAAAGTAGGGATGCTTGGGGTCTCATGGCAGCTTCAGATTGATAAGAATCTGCTTTCACCTGACTTAATGGTGTCTCTAATTGAGCCACAGAATGCAGAAATTATAGTTT
The DNA here is from genome assembly GCF_000001405.40 of Homo sapiens. Classification (NCBI taxonomy): domain Eukaryota; kingdom Metazoa; phylum Chordata; class Mammalia; order Primates; family Hominidae; genus Homo; species Homo sapiens. Next base: position 24,836,070 of record NC_000008.11, on the reverse strand, counting down.
CATTTTTCTGAGAGCATCTTATGTTCTCAGTGGCATTTGTGGCTTCCTGAATAATTAAGCTAGGACTAGGATAAAATTTCTTCCTGTAGCCCATAAAGGTTACCAGTATGTGGCCACAAAATAGGTTCGACTTCCTTATAGTAACTTTTTTTTCAGTATAATTCCCCACCAAGTTGCTGGAAATTAGCCCCTCTTTATAGCTGGTAATGTCTGAAATTTAGTGTGTGTCCTGCAACAAATTTCTCAGATATGTCTTTCTGGTCCCTTCAACTTAATATGTTGCTTCTGAAGCTTGTAATATGGCCGATTTTGTCTCTCTTTCTCTCTCTGCCTTTCTCACTCTTTGTTAGCCATGTAGAGGGCAGAAGGTAATTCCTAACTCCCTTCAGCAAAACTGAGACCACAACTATGATTTTTAACAAGGCTTTGGTTAAGGCTTGGGTCAACAAAACTATGGTTCAGAGGTGCCATAAATGGAGACACTAAACCTGCAGGTGCAAATTTGACATCCAAATTCCTTAGCACGGCATCTTTCTATGTAGCTTCAGGTCTGCTTTCTCCTAGAAGGGATTCACTTACCTCCACGCTTGGCAATGTTCCAAGCATTTCCATTCTTTGGAGTCAACTATTCCCTCTTCTCTAGGCTCTTCTCAATGATTTCTACAGACTAACCTATTCCCAGGGTTATTTATTTTTGTTCAGAATATTTATATTTTCACTATGCATCAATAATTATTTAGACCTAACTATAGGTTTTACTGGTTTATTTGTTACCATTTTTTGCTTAAGCCTAAATTATTCTCTTTTTCCTGTTTCTATTTTTGCTGGAGTGTATCCTAAATATTTCTTTTATAGATGCTCTGTGATTGGGTAACTTTCTGAGTCTTCAGAAATCTGAAATAGTCTTTATTATTCCTTCCTGGTTGAATGTTAGCTTGACTGTCTAATATTTCAGTCTCATATAATTTTCCTTAAGTAATACAATTTCCCCATTGTCTTCTGGCAATCAGTGCTACCAGTTAGATAGCCCATGATGGTCTATTTCTTTTTTCTTAGTGGCTAATTTCTCCATTTGATTTCCCGTTTTTTGAAAAGGCTTTCATGACCTTTTTCCTTTATTTTGGGGGTTTTGAAATGTCATTTGCCTTTTTTCTAACTACAGAACACGGCTCTTTCTTTTGAATTCCCATTGTCTGACATTCTTTGCGATAAAGATCCTTTTTAGCACTGAGAAATTTTCTCCTGGAAGATACTTAATTATTTCTTCTCCAACATGTCTATTCTTCTCTTTTGACTTCTTTTTAGATAGAATCTGGGCATTCCAGATATCTCTTCTATGTCATTTAATTTAACTTTTTCTTCATCCCAATCTATCTTGCTTGTTTCTGTTTTGCTCTGGGAGTAGTCCGCAGCCCAGTCCTCCAACTCATTAATTTCATTCTTCAGTTGTGTTAATTATGTAATTCAGCCCAACTATACATTCTTTCTCTTTTTTATTACTTTTTTTTAAAGTTTGAAAATCATTTTTAAATTTCCAGGATCTCTAGTTGTTTTTTTTCATGGATTTGCTGTTTTCCCAAATATGAAATTATCAATTACATTTATTAAATTTGTTCTACTTGTTCTATTACATGTTCTCTTCAAAATGTAGTTCTCCTAGTTGTTGAATTAGTTGACTGTGTCGCAGTGAAAGATATTAGTCAGAGTTCACCAGAGAAACAGAATCCAAGGTACACACACACACACACACACACACACACACACCCACACAGATTTATTATAAAGACTTGGCTCACATTATTATGAGGCTGAGAAGGCCCATGATCATCTATCTCCAAGCAGGAGACCCAGGAAACCCAGTGCTATATAGTTCAGTCTGAGCCTGAAGGCCTGAGAACCAGGACTGTGGATGGTATAAAGCCCAGTCCAAGGGCTGGAGAAGACTAATGCAGAGAGAGAGGTTTCAAACTTCTTCCTCTCCTTTGCCCTATTTGGGCTCTCAAAAGATTGGTTGATTCTCACCCACCCTGGGAAGGGCAATCTGCTTTACTTACACCTTCAGTTAAAATGCTAATCTCTTCCAGATGATTATTAAGGAAGGGTGAGCTACTATTCTGGGTATCCTGTTTTTCTAATGCAGGAGCTTGTGTTCCATTAGCATTGACGGCATTACCCAGGTGTTCCCACCAAGTCTTAGCTGCTGTTTTGTGCAGGGTGGGGAAAGCGCATCAACCTTTTTGCTGCTGGCTGCTCAGTACAAACTCAGGACGTAGTAGGGATCATCCTACTTGCTACTCTCTGCTTGTAGAACCTCTGCCTCCAATTTCATCTACCTACACACTTGCCTCTGGCAGGTGTCTTGGGCTATAGTTTTCTTTGTCAATCTGACCCTGTGTCCTCATTCAAATCTCATCTTGAATTGTATCTCCTGTAATTCCTACATGTCATGGGAGGGACCTGGTGAGAAGTAATGAATCATGGAGGTGGATCTTACCCATGCTGTTCTTGTGATAGTGAATAAGTGTCACAAGATCTGATAGTTTTATAAAGGAGAGTTCCCCTACACGAGCTCTCTCTTGCTTGCCACCATGTAGACGTGACTTTGCTCCTCCTTTGCCTTCTGCAATGATTGTGAAGCCTTCCCAGTCAGTGGAACTGTGAGTCCATTAAACCTCTTTTTCCTTATAAATTACCTAGCCTCGGGTAGGCCTTTGTTAGCATGGTGAGAACAGACTAATACAGTCTGATTTCTATTTTTGCAAAATTTTTACAGAATTTCCATTACATGGATGACACTCTTTCTTGTTTCCTTATGTTATAGGTTTCTTATTTTTGTAAGCACATATTTTATTCTATGTCTAATAATTTGGGATATTAGGGGAATGTGGTATATGTGTTCAATTCAGCTCACCATGCTATTCTCTGATCCCTCCAATGGTTTCTTATCTCTGCCACAATTATAGACCCTCAAGTCCTCTCCACAGCCTCTTTTGACCTTCATGATCTGTCCCCAGGCTACATTTCTGGCCTCATTTTCTATTAATCTTCCCCTGTTGATTCTGCTCCAGTTTTCTTGACCTTGTTGCTGGGTTCACAAAAACACCAAGCTATGCTCCTGTGTAGTGCCTTCGCTGAGCACTTGCTGTTTGCTCTCTTCTGGAGTTCTTTCCCCAGAGCTGCATGAGTTGTTCACAATTCTGACAGCTCCCTCCTGTCCTAATTATTGAGATAGTTTCTGGCATTTCACCTTTATTTAGTGTGGGCCATTATTGACTTCAGGTTACAGTAAAAAACAACTGAATGTAATTAAACAATTAGAACTACTCTTAGCTACTCAAGCCAAAACATCAAATCCAGTATTTCTCATGATGATAAATTCCTGAAGCGAAATTGTGTTTCTTTGTCTCTAAGCTAGAATACTCAAAATCCATTCTGACATAAGTGTCTTGAGGTGTTTTTCAATATAAATGATAGGTTTTGGCTCTGTGTCCCCACCCAAATCTCATCTTGAATTGTAATCTGCATGTGTCAAGGGAGAAACCTGGTGGGAGGTGATTTGATTATGGGAATGGCTTCCATCATGCTGTTCTCATGACAGTGAGTGAGTCTCATGAGATCTGATGGTTTTACAAGTGTTGACAGTTCCTCTTTCAGTGGCTTTCTTTTAGCTCCTGCTGCTTTGTGAAGAAGGTGGCATGATTGTCAGTTTCCTGAGGCCTCCGCAGCCTTTCCTTTATAAATTACACAGTCTCAGGGAAGTTCTTTGTAGCAGTGTGAAAACAGACTAATACAGTAAATTTGCAAAACTTTGTTACTATTTATGTATAAACCTTCTTCTCTCTGGTTTGATTTTGTAATTAGGACCCTAGAGACGGATGAGATCAATTATAATAATAGAGTTGAAGGCAATGAGGGGCAGTCAAGGGTGGGGGCATAGAGAAAATAATCATTTCCTTAAATAGTAAGTCTTTTAGGTGACATTATTATGTGGGCTCTACACAAGTCACGACCAGCCTTATCACACAAGGGAGCAATGGCTACTTCTGCTGGCAGGGAAGAATTAGTGGACTTCAGGTTTGCGGTACTCCTTTAAATGTCACCCTTCCAGTTCTCAGCACCCTGTCATTTACAATCACAACCTTAACTTTCACATAAGAGAGGCTGTGAATTGCATCTGTGTTATTACTTAGCAATTGCTTTGCAGAATCATACTCTGTTTTCAGTTACAACAGCTGTATGGAGCTGCAAGTTGAAGTTTATTTAAGAAAATCATAGAAGTTGCCTGGTTTTCTTACTGTGTCTTGAGCAGAAAATTTAAACTGCCAAATATGTCATTTTGTTTATTTAAACTTTTCAGTGGAGGCAGAGTAGCCACCTCACTCACAGAATTCTAATCATCCTGACAATCTTTTCACTATGCTATAACAATTGATATTCAGTCTGATTAAATCATAACATCAAAAAGCACTGTAATTCAGATGATCACAAGTAATTCTTTAAGTTGCTGTTATGCCACTATTTGGAGTCCAAACTTTAAAACCTCCAAATCCAAGAAGGGGGGAAGATAGTTTTAGATTCCTGTCCTTGTTGGTCTGTTGCCTATAATCTTCCCTGCTACCAAATTCTTTTTAATGTTGAGTTCTGTTGTAGATAACAGAAACCACTCTAGCTATTTTAATAATAAAGGCATTTAACATATTATGTACTCTTAAAATTGTGGGAGTAGCTGAAGAGAGCTCTGTGGAGGCTTTCCAGGGATCCTTCAGGAATGGTTCCTAGAACATCACTGGAAAAGTGGCTAAGAGAGCAGTTGCCTTTTCTATTTCAGAATAAAAGAATGGTTAGAAAGTTGGAGAGATGGTTTAGCTTTGTGTCCCCACTCAAACCTCATCTGGAATTGTAATCTCCCAGTGTTAAGGGAGAAACCTGGTGGGAAGTGATTGGATTACAGGGACAGTTTCCCCCAGGCTGTCATACTGTTCTCGTGGTAGTGAATTCTCAAGAGATCTGATGGTTTTATAAATGGTAGCTTTTCCTGTGCTCACACACACACTTCTCTCTCCTGCCACCATGTGAAGAAGGCCCTTGCTTCCCCTTCACCTTCCACCATGATTGTAAGTTTCCTGAGGTCTCCCTAGACATGATGAACTGTGAATCAATTGCACCCCTTTCCTTTATAAATTAACCAATCTTGGGTATTTCTTTATAGCAGTATGAAAACGGACTAATGCTGCTGGGGAATTAGGAAACCATTATCTCAATTGCTGGGTCCAGAAAACAGGAGGGAGCCATTTCCAGAATAATTGACCATCTTAGCTGTAATCCCTTCTAGCACAGTGGATGCACAATAGCCTGGCTCTCAAAGGGCATGAGTCTAGGGACTTGACACTGGGACCATTGCTACCACTGCCACAGGAAAGCTCTGTTATTCCCACAACTCACCTTTCCAGAAGACACAGTAGAAGCAGAAAAATCCTATTTCTGCCTCCCTTTTTTCTTCCACATCTCACAAGGATGTGAATGCTTGGTGGTATCTAGGTTATGTATCAAACTCCAACTGTACAGGAATCTGGGAGATGTAATCTTGGCTTTCCTGTTCTAAAGGGTGCAGTTACAATACAGCATAATGGAGTTCAGGGGGTTAATCTATAACATCAATCATACTGGCTGTTGTTTTCTCTTTTGCACTTGCTGCAGATATGTCAAATATGTTTTACATATTTTTAATGAAGTCATTTGTTAGCGATTTTGAATTTTGATGTGGCCAAATTTAGCAATTTTAATTTATAAATTTTCTTTGCTTATCTCTTGGTTAAGAAGACCTTTCCTATTTTAGTAGGATAATATATATTCTCATCCAATTGTTTCAGCTTTTTGTTTTGTGCAAATGACATGAGTTGGGACCTAAATTTATTTTTTGGGCATGTCATCACTTGTATTAACACTATTAGTTAATAGTTGATTCTTTCCTAGTAACTTGAAATACCACTTTTATAATATACTAATGTTCCATATGTGCATATGGGCTTGTTTCTGGACTTTTTATTCTATAACAAATATTTATTTGTCTGGTTTCATGCATTAATTACCATAGCTTCTAATTCATCTTAATATTTGGAAGGGCAAATCACCCCTATATTGTTCTCCTTTTTCATAATTGTCTTGGCTGTGCGTCTGCATTTACTTTTTCATATTAATTTTAGAATTAGCTTGTCAAGTTTTATTTAAAAATCCTTGAGACTTTTATTATAATTGAATTAACTTTATAGATTAATTTGGAAAGTTTGATATCTTTATAATATTGAGTCTTCCCATCCAATAACATCAAATATCTCTCCATTTATTCTGGCCTCCTTTTATGTCTTTCATTAAAGTTTTGTAGCATTTTCCAAAGAAGGTCCTGTGTATTTCTTGTAAAGTTTATTCCTAGAAGCTTTATAGTATTTGATTCTTTTATGGTAAATAGGATCTTTTTATAGAAAATATATTGATTGTGTTATATTGCTCTTATATCTGGTTTTATTGCTGTAATCTTTCTAATTAGCTTAATGATTAAAGTTTATGTGATTTGGGGACTGGGAAAAGCCTTCTACTAGGACAGTAAAGCAGAAACCATGTGTACAGATTTTGCTAGTTTTTTCTGCAGAAAAATAAAGATTATAAAACATGATAAACATAAATGGAAAAATAGTACTGAGACAACATTTGAAATACATAAGACAGAAAAAATACTGATATTACTTACAGGTGAAGGGCTTCATAATAAACAAAGGAAAAGATGATCACCATAATAGAAAAAAAAGGCTAAGGTCATGAATAAACAATCTACCTAAACAAAAAGAAATAAGTATTTGCAAGAAATGTGAGGCAAAGGTCAAGCTCATTAATAAACAGGAAATGCTAACGAAAATGTTTTAATCCACCACCTACAAAACTGGGGAAGCTGAACAAGGGATAACCCTCATGTTGTCATTAGTTTGGAGAAAGAGAAAAAAGAAAGAAAAAAGGGAAAAGAGAAAGTCTTTTACACTTGTAGACCCTTCTTGAAGATTCTTTAGTAATAAATATCACGAGCTTTAAGTTGCTCCTGCACGTTAACCCAGCAATTTCACTTTTAGGCATTCTAAGATGTGTATTTCTGAGACATCTTAATGGATATACATGACTATGAGGAATTTTCTGTGGTTTGGCAAAAAGCTAACTTAAAGTTTTTAAGTAACAGAACTCAGGATTTGAAATGTGCTAATGTACATTGTAAACTGCAAAATAATATATTTTAAAAGTTCTCATTTAAACTTTGATTATAGAACTATTTTTGGGCAGAGAGTACTTCAAGAGATTAGACCACCATACGCAATATGATTTGAGAGGTATGGGCTTGACATTATCATAAAAGCATGTAACAATGAGCTGTAAGTGTGTTCATAATAGCATTGTACACAATAACAAAAATAGTTACTATAAATGTGTAAGAATATGTAATGTTTAAATAAGGCACACTATATTGATTTCATTGAATCTTATAGTCATCAAATACATTTTAGAAAAGTAATTAATGCAGAGAAAATGTTCCTGATACTTTTTAATAAGAAAAACCAGGCTATAAGCTTTATGTATAGTATGTAAAATACTTTGGGGGTACATATATGCACAGAAACATGGGTGTAAGTAGGATTATCAAAATGTGAATAGGGATAACTGTTACTTTGTGTTATTATTAGTGACTTATTTCTTACCTTTACTGTTTTGTTTTTCCTTTAATTAAACATCAATGACCTTTATTCTAGGAAATATGTTTTCTTAAAGTTATTGCAAATAAATCATCCTTTTATTTTCATGAATTAATGTTGAATGTGTATCCTCCCACTCCTCTATTTCTTTTTTTTTTGGTTTTGGGTCTTTACTGAGTTCTGTTCATATTACGCATTGTTTTTAATTGTATTTAATATTCTATGCAGCTGTCCTTGCTCTTTCGAGGTGACATTTAATACATGAATTTTTAAGTCAGACTTTATCTTTGGTGCAGAAAATAATGCCCTTTTAAAGCATCTGCTGCATTTTAAAATGTGTTTTCAGATAATATCTCTTCCATTCATCACTAACCTCATAAGTGAGTAGGTTACATGAAATCTGACCACTTCCTAGTCCTGAGGACAGTGTGTCATATAAATGGCAGGCCAACAGAGTTTGACCCTTGGGCACAGTGTCTATTTTGCAGTTCTTTCTGCTTTCCAACACCATTCACAAAAATGTAGGCACTACCATGCAGCTCTTTAAAGAACTCACTGGCCACTTCGTTTTCTCTTTGAACGAGGCTCCCCCTTGTAAAAAGCCAGCCTTCACTGTTTTTGCACTTCTGATCCAGCTTCCTTGTCCTCCTTCTCATCCTAGTATTTTTTATTGTTTTATAGTACCTGCCCATGTCGTGATAAGCAGCAACTGTGTTTCAGAACCTTTCCACCATATTTGTCTTCTCCACTTGCAATTCTTTCTCTTATTACCACGAACAGTTTCCCTCAGTTCTCTGACCATTCGTAAATCAATCTCATAAATTTATTTGTGCTCTTGTCTTAATAACTTATAATGTATAGTCTTACTGATGGGAGCTCTCAGGGAACTCTCAGTAACTCTCAGAAAAGCCATATCTACTGTTAGTGTCAGGCCCACATCTCAGGCCCCCAAAGACTTTTCCTCTCTGCATTTTGGATTCAGGCTGCTTCTCTCTCTCAGTGACCAATCATTCCCTCTAACTTCTCATTGTTAGGTCTGACATGTTCCTGTCATTGGACGTTTGCACTGGCTACTCTCACTACTTGGGATATTTTTTCCCTAGTTATCATCTTCTCAAAATATTTGTTCAAATAAGATCTCGATGCAACGTGTCTGAGCACCTCTCTTTAAAATTGCAGGCCCCTTCCTACCTCCTGACCTCTTGTCATTTCTCTTTTATCTTTCTGAGTTCACCTTTTCCTTATAGCAGGCATCATTTTGAAACAACTCTGACAATGTACTTATTTATTATGCTGTCCTGAATGTCTTCTATGTATTCTTCCAGATCCACTCTTCACACCTCTTTGCTCTATACCCTAAAAGCCGGCTTGTGAGCACCTGAGCTCAGGGCAGGATCATCACACACTGGCTGAGTTCCTGACCCACACTCACAATCCTGTAAGGTAACCTTATCCTGTTTTCACATTTCTGTAACAGCTTCCTCCATCATCATACATCTATTGTTTACTCTCTGTTTCTCTGTATTTTCATGGAAGCTCCATGAGGGCAAAATTCTGTCTGTTGTTCACTGACAGATCTTGTGCGCCCAGAGCACAGCTTGGCGAATAATAGATGCTCAGGAAATACCTGCTGAATGTTTAATGATTATTGGCTCTGGCTTCAAAAAAATACAGTTTCAGCCCATTTACCATATCCCTCATCACTCCTTTTTTTTCCCTACCTTCAGAGTTTGATAATTTACATTAATTATTCCTCTTGCCTTTTTAACTTTAAATAATATGCTTAAAACTTTATTTTTTGCTCTATAAAATTTAGACAATATCCTTGATTTCCTCCTTTTTGAAAAAGGATTAGAGCTGCTCTTCTCCCCTCCCCCTGTTCCATTGTTTCACATCTTTATAATATTAAGCTCAACAACAACCCTGCTGTTTTAAGCTCTATATTAGCTGCCATAACCTAATACTGCAGACTGGGCGGCTTCAATGACAAATGTTTACTTTCTTGTAGCTTTGGAGACTGGAAGTCCAATATCAAAGTGTCAGCAGGTTTGGTTTCTCCTGAGGCCTCTGTCCTTAGCTGGCAGTTGGCCGCTTCTCGCTATGTCCTCTCTTGGTGTTTTCTCTTTGCACGTGCGTCCCTGGTGTCTCTTCTGTGCGTCCAAATGTAGTCTTTTTATAAGGACAACAGTCAGATTGGATTAGGGCCTGCCCTAACGGCCTCATGTAAATTTAGCCATCTGTTTGAAGGCCCTATCTCCAAAGGCAGTCATATTCCTCGGAATTGGGGATTAGGTTTCAACATCTGAATTTTTTTTTTAATTTTTAAAATTTTCTTTCTTTCTTTTTTTTTTTTTTTAAGAGAGAGGGCACAATTAAGCCCATGACAAGCCCCAGTGAATTCTGCTGTATTTTTATTTATTTATTCTTAGTTTCCACGTACAACACTGAATTCAGCTTTATTTTGTCTACAGTTTGGTTCTAAAAGTTTAAGGCCAACATATAATATTGTATATTGAATATTTAAATCTACTAAAGGCTTTATCAAGCTGTGTGTTAGAATTGCATTCCCTTCACAGGACTTCTGTAGCAATGGAGGAGGAATATTCCTAGGGTGATGTAAATGGATTATTTCCCCACATTCTAAAATCATGCCACTTTTTATTTGCTTTGTATTTCAAATGACTTCCCAATTCAGTTGCATGATCTGCATGGCTCACAGAATATCAAACTTAACGTAATTTTCTCTTGACATCCTGTGAGCAGTGTCTCCTTCTCTGGCACCCGCTGCTTACATTTAGATGCATTTGTCTTTCTTTGCAGGTGAACAATTTCTTTTTCTCTCTGGAACTTTCGAATATCGTGTCCATCTTTGCAGTTCTCAAATTTTATAAGTTTTTCTCATCAGTCTTCTTAAGTCTCCTGTCTTTCTTTAGTACTAGCAAATTCTATTCCATTCCATTCTATTTTAATTTTTCTTTTTAAACACCTGTTGACAATGAATTTTTGGTCTCTTCATGTCTCTTAAACTTTCTGTCATATTTTAGAGCTCCTTGTGTTTTAACTTCACGTAATGGCTAATTTTCTTCTTACTTTCCAATCTTGGGTTGAGTTTTCTATTTTAAGTACTATATTTTAAATTTCAAAGAGAAGTTTCTTATATAGCTGTCGTAATTACCCTTAAGAAGAAAACTATAATTAAAGTTACGCTTCTTTATCAATATCAATGACAAAACTCCTTCTTGTATCATAAAAATCAATTAGTAAACTTTTACTGCCTCTATTTTTTCTTCTGTTTATCCTTTTAAAGTCTGAAAAATTTGGAAATTTTTACTGGCTTATGAATATTACCTTACACCTTTAAAAATTATTTAACACAAAATTAAATGTCTTCAAATGTTATTTATGGTATATACAATAAAACATATGAGATTTTTAGATTTAATTCTACATTTTAGCATTTTCAGTGCTCACTGCCAGTCCTTATTGTAGTATGTATTTTCTCATTTTTGGTTATTAATATTGACCTTTTCTCATTACTTTGAGAATAGTCCCCCCACCCCGAAACATTATAGATGTTATTTCCTGAGTCCTTGTGCGTATGATCACCTTTCTGTTGGTTTTCCATGTAAATGACAAAGTGAATGGCCTCAGAACTCTTGATATTTTTCACTCACGACCATAAAGACATTAGAAATCTCCTTGACAATTGGAGTTGCTTGAAGAGAAATGGGAGTCCAGCTCTATATTTTCTTCTTTGTGGCTGTCTGAATTCTTATACCATGATTACTTTTTTTAGTCCTTGAAGAAAAATAATCACTGGAATAAAGCTAAATGCTAGTTTTTTTCAGAATATTGTTTTCTTAATATTCTGTGCTATAAATTTGTAGGTGTAGGTCTTCTGCATAGGAAAATATTTCTTTTATGTAGTTGATGATTGCTTTTGTAATATTGATTCTGATCTCTATGGAAACACTGACTATTGCTATTTTAAATCATGAGCTATTCTTCATAATCTGTATTCTTTCTGATTGCTTTCATAACTTATATTTTTTCTGCATTTTGATAGAATTTGTCATTTCTATGTTTGTAATCTACAACAGAATATAGATTCTGTTTCTTATTGCTTTCAATGTCATCTTAAATCTTATTATATCATAACTTACCTATATTATTTCCTTACAATAACTTCTCAGTTTTCATTTCAGTCTCATAGTTGTTACATATTGTCTTTCCTCTGTGTTTTGTTGTTATTTACTTTCTATGAGAGTATAAAGCAGATGTTTGCTAGAGTAAATAATTTTCAAAAATAAGCTCTTTCTCTGGTGTGTTTTGTGTTTATTTCTCATTTATACTGCTTTTTTATTTTTCAGACTTTGCTGTTATTTATGCTTACTTATTTTTAAATGAGAAAAGGTCTATTCTCTTCTGATATTTGTCCTGATATGAGTGACTTCTCTTTGGGCTTCAGAACTAGTCTAACAGAAATTGATGGTATCTTGTAGGACCCTACACTAAAAAGCCATGACTCATCTTCTGTTAGGGTGTGGGTTTGTGGAAGGATCTGGGCCATGGGCAGTTATAGCAGGGAACTCCATCTGTGTAAATATCCTTCTCTTCTGGAGTGTTGAAACTGCCCTACTGGCACTAACCATTAATCCTGAAGGCAATTGATTATGAAGGTTTATGTAGTATATTAGTCCATTTTCAAACTGCTGATAAAGACATACCAGAGACTGGGAAGAAAAAGAAGTTTAATTGGACTTACAGTTCCACATGGCTGGGGAGGCCTCAGAATCATGGTGGGAGGTGAAAAACACTTCTTACATGGTGGTGGCAAGGGAAAATGAGGAAGAAGCAAAAGCAGAAACCCCTGGATAAATCCATCAGATCTCGTGAGACTTATTCATTACCATGAGAATAGCACTGGAAAGATGGGTCTCATGATTCAGTTACCTCCCCCTGGGTCCCTCCCACAACACATGAGAATCCTGGGAGATACAGTCAAAGTTGAGATTTGGATGGAGACACAGTCAAACCATATCATTCCACCCTGGTCCCTCTAAATCTCATGTCCTCACATTTCAAAACCAATCATGCCTTCCCAACAGTCCCCCAAAGTCCTAACTCATTTCAGCACTAACCTAAAAGTCCACAGTCCAAATTCTCATCTGACACAAGTCAAGTCCCTTCCACCTATGAGCCTGTAAAATCAAAAGCAAGCTAGTTACTTCCTAAATGCAATGGGGGTACAGGTATTGGGTAAATACAGCCATTCCAAATGAGAGAAATTGGCCAAAACAAACGGATTACAGGGCCCTTGCAAGTCTGAAATCCAATGGGGCAGTCAAATTTTAAAGCTCCAAAATGATCTCCTTTGATTCCAGGTCTCACATGCAGGTCACGCTGATGTAAGAAGTGGGTTCCCATGGTCTTGGGCAGCTCTGCCCTTGTGGCTTTGCAGGGTATAGCCCCACTCCCGGCTGCTTTCACAGGCTGACATTCAGTGTGGATTTTCCAGGCGCATGGTGCAAGCTGTCAGTGGATCTAGCATTCTGGGGTCTGGAGGATGGTGGCCCTCTTCTCACGGGTCCCCTAGGTGGTGCCCCAGTAGGGACCCTGTGTGGGGGCTCCAACACATTTCCCTTCTGCATTGCCCTAGCAGAGGTTCTCCATGAGGGCCCCACCCCTGCAGCAGACGTTTGCCTGGGCATCCAGGTGTTTTCATACGTCTTCTGAAATCTAGGCAGAGGTTCGCAAACCTCAATTCTTGACTTCTGTGCACCTGCAGGCTTAACACCATGTGGAAGCTGCCAAGGCTTGGAGGCTTGGGGCTTCCACCCCCTAAAGCTACAGCCCAAGCTCTACATTGGCCACTTTCAGCCATGGCTGGAGCGGCTGGGACACAGGGCACCTAGTCTCTAGGCTGCACATAGGCCCAGCCCATGAAACCCTTTTTCCTCCTAGGCATGTGATGGCAGGGGCTGATGTGAAGATCTCTGACATGGTCTGGAGACATTTTCCCCATGGTCTTGGGGATTAACATTAGGCTCCTTGCAACTTATGCAAATTTCTGCAGCTGGCTTGAATTTCTCCCTAGAAAATGGGTTTTCTTTTCTATCACATAGTCAGACTGCAAATTTTCCAAACTTTTATGCTCTGATTCCCTTATAAAACTAAATGCCTTTGACAGCACTGAAGTCACTGCTTCACTGCTTAGAAACTTCTTCCGCCAGATACCCTAAATCATCTTTCTCAAGTTCAAAGTTCCACAAATCTCTAGGGCAGAGGCAAAATGCCACCAGTCTGTTTGCTAAAATATAACAAGAATCACTTTTACTCCAGTTCCCAACAAGTTCCTCATCTCCATCTGAGACCACCTCAGTCTGGACCTTATTGTCCATATCGCTATCAGCATTTGGACAAAGCCATTCAAGTCTCTAGGATGTTCCAAACTTTCCCACATTTTTCTGTCTTCTTCTGAGCCCTCCAAACTGTTGCAGCCTCTACCTGTTACCCAGTTCCAAAGTCACTTCCACATTTTTGGGTATCTTTTCAGCAATGCCCCACTCTACTGGTACCAATTTACTGTATTACTCCATTTTCATGCTGCTGATAAAGACATACCCGAAACTAGGAAGAAAAAGAGGTTTAATTGGACTTACAGTTCCACATGGCTGGGGAGGCCTCAGGATCATGGCAGGAACTGAAAGGCACTTCTTACATGGCAGCGGCAAGAGAAAATGAGGAAGAAGCAAAAGCAGAAACCCCTGATAAACCCATCAGATCTCATGAGACTTATTCACTATCATGAGAATAGCATAGGAATGACCAGCCCCCATGATTCAATTACCTCCCCCTGGGTCCCTCCCACAACACAACACATGGAAATTCCGGGAGATACAGTTCAAGTTGAGATTTGGATGGAGACAGAGCCAAACCATATCATGTGGCAAATTATAAAGGCTGCTCCCTGTTTCCCTTCAGTCCAGGGAGTGGAGATGGTGATCTAACTTTTCTCCCCTTTGACTGCCTCCTGTGACTTTGCATTTGTTTCTCAGGAAGAGGAATTGTGAATTGCCCCTTGGTAAGGCCTGTGAGGTTTGCTGCAAGTGGACACCTGTCCCCTCACACTGTGTATCCTTCATTTCTTGGGCTGATGCCCATTTTCCTTATTACTATGTTTGTTACATACGTGGCTATAGAGAAGTTTCTATGTTCCTATGAGTCTCAGTATGAAACAATCAGTAAAATGTTATCCTTTTTTAAAATGTGAAACATTCAGAAATATTTTATAATCCAGGAAAGCTTACAATTGACTTTTAAATCAGGAAAGTCACAGTATGTGCCTCAAAGGCTTGTTGTGAGGATTGAATGAGATTAGCCTGGTGCTGCACATGGTAAACTCTTGGAAAATTCTAGCTCTTATCATCCATAGTGGGTATTATTAATTTTCGTGTTTATGCCATTTTATTCAGCTTTTTTTCTGTCCACATGGCCGCTGTTCCTGGAAATCCATAATTAAGATCTTAGTTTGGCCTGCTTTGATGCTGCCTCTGTTGTTGGTGGGCCACTTGTAAATTCATATGCCCTTTGGATGAGACTTCAAAGAGACTGAAAGGTTATTTTGGACAGCACAGCCTCCACAGAGAAAGCTAATATATTCTTTCTCCACAAATGTCTCGTCCTACCCATCTCACATCAATAACAAATCACTTAAGATAGCTGATGACTACAGATTTATTAGATTATATGCAGTCATCTTCAAGGGCAACATAAAAGGTTTGGATGGAATCTAAAATAAGCCTTCTGACATGCAAAATGCTGATGTTATACTTTAATCATTGGGTTTTTATTTATTATCTGAAAATATTTTTATGAGTATGTCTTTTTCTTATTTACTATTTGGTTACTCAGTGATTACATGGAAAATGGAGGATAAATGCATGATTTCTTCCCTTTACCAGTTTTTAAGGTAATGAGTTGGTTTCCTGTCTTAAGATAAGTTAATTTTTTGCATCATTATAAATTCCTGATTTGATATAGAATTTTATGGACTTCAATTCATTGTATTTTTATTGATGCCCAAACTGAAAGATCATATCATGCATCTGAAAATATAGATCCAGAATGAATCTATATGACCCCCAAGGTATATTCTAGTAAAATTACTGGACTTTAAAGAGAAACAAAAATCATTTGGGCATATAAGCAAAAGAGAATGTGATATTTAAGGGGGAAGTTAGATTATCCTCAGACTTTTCAGCAGCAATCCTTTATGACAAAGGAAATGATGTGAATATATTTAAGATATTCAAGGAAAGAAAATGTGAGCTAAGAATGTATTAGAAACTGAATTTTGTTGATGAAGGACACAATCTGTAATTAAAATGCAAGAAATAAAGAGCTATTATTTCCATAAACTTTTCCTGAGGAATCTACTAAAGAACATTCCAGACAAAAATGAGAAGGAAGACCTCAGCATTAGGACTGATGATGAGGATAGAATATATAGTTATCTTTAGAAATCAGAGTAAATGGGGGTTACCTTTAGAAGTAAGGATAAATGAGGATTAAAAGAGAGAGTATGGTCTGCAATGACTACATGCTCTGACAATGTTGATAAAATACAATGTCTAAAAGGAGGGCAGATTGGGGAAAGCATATGTAAACATTTTTAATTGGTTTCAGTAATCAGAATTGGCTATGTTACTATCATCTTTCTGAAACTGTTTGTATAATGTGGGGCAGAGCATAGATAAATTATGAGGTATTCTAATTCTATATCATCTGTGCCTTGAGAACCAGAATTCTCACTGTGGAAGAAGGACAGTACAGAAGTAATATAGGACAAGGTAGGAAAATTCCCATTGCATTAATTTGAAAAGGAAATGTTTGTGTGAACTCATAGGACATCTTACCTTAAAAAAATCTTTCTCTTTTTCTTTCTCTTTCTTTTTCTTATTGTTTCTGTTTCTCTCTTTACCTATCACCTGTCTGTATCCTAGCTTTGTCCTCTGAAAAGGCCATAAAACAATGACCAGACCAGTCACAATGAATATTGGTAGCACTGAGATTCTTGCCTTTAAATATTGTTTCCCACTGAATTGTCTGTTTCTAGGTCAGGGTAGATGAGCTTGCAATAATCATGTCATTACAAGTAGCAGGCAAGCTGTCAAAGACTACTAGATTCATGTCCAAAGGACTCAGGAGCAAAACTGAGGAGGTGTCCACTGGCCAAATTTGGGCCAATATGCCCACAGTTTGTTCACCATTTTATTAGGAATGGTTTCACAAGTAGAGCAAAATATCCCCACTTTTCCTGCATCTCTGGATTGTACCATTAACATTTTACTACACTGGCTTCATCACACATCTATCCAGCTATCCACCCACTAACCTATCTTATTTTTGGATGCATTTTAAAGTAAATTGCAGCCATCTTAACTCTTCTTCCTAAAAACTTCAGCATGAAAATGTCCACTTCTAACTCACAACACTAGAAATGAAACACAAAAATGACCCTGATGACAGGCTGAGAGCACTGAGGAGCAGGGGAAGGACAGAAACAGGAAATCTAACAAAGGCAGAGATTCAGGGTGGCTGGAAACAAGTTCCTAGCCTTGACAGTTTTGCCTGAGGCCATTCACAGGGGCATGGTTCCCCCTCTACCTGAGCTTTAGCCATTTATCTTCATATACATATTTTCCCCCGTCATCTCTGACTTTATTCTTATTGGATCCTTTATATAATAGAGCAGAGCATTCTTGATATTGCATTTTTAAACCTAGGATAAAGCAGCTTCTTTTATATATATCAAGCTTCGAGCTTGTAATAGTGGAAGGAAAAATAACGAGTAAGTTATTCTCTGAGATTATCATGTCCCCTTAGGTATGAGGAAACTTGTTGGCTTTGTCTGCCACATTCCAGACACTCAGTACCACTCAGAACTCCCTCTGTTGACTGTGTTTGTTGCTTTTTCACCTAAGGAGCTTGAAACATGCTGTCACTCCTGCCAGGAAAGCCCACTCTCTCAGAATCACCTTTGCCAGGCTAAGTCCTGTGGCAGAGTGTGTATGTTTGTGTGGAGCTTTGTGTATGTTAGTTACATTATGCAATACGCACTTTCACATACACAAATATACTATTTCTCTATATTCCCCAACATTTAGTGTTTAAATGTGACACACACACACACACACACACACACACACACACACGTATTTACATACACTCACACACTCACCATATGAATAAACTGTCAATCTAAGTCATTTTCTATGGCAGCCTCAGCTGATGAGAGACAGCAATAAACTCTCCCCTATATATTTCCTTTCAGCTGTGGGTTCCTCTGGTTGTGTTGTTTTGATCAAGGACTTAGGATGATACCTTCTCAATAACTCAGTGAAAAGTCAGTTGGAATGCAAAGACACCAGCTTAGTTACTTTATATATTAATGACAGTTTAAGGGATTAATAAGTTTTGCTTTATAAGGGCCATATAAGATTCCTGAGGCTAAGTCGTGTTCTGCAATCCACAGACCTGCCTGTGTACCTTAATCACTGCTTAAATCTTTCATTCATAACTAAGGCTGGTACCAGTTTCTGGAGCATAGCATGTTTTTGGTACCAAAATACTTGAATATCCTTTTAATTGAAGATAATATTATCTGCCTCATAATAGAAGCTGTGGAGTTGCTTTTAGACAATTCTTAAACTTTATTATCATTGACATTTGCTCATGGGGTATGGAATATTTAGACTAAGCCATTTTAATGAAAACATTTCAGTTACAATTATGCCACAGATGATTATTTGCCATGACAGTCATTTCCAGAGCAAATTGTACCAAATCAATTTAACTCCATGACTGATTTTTTAAAAAGAGCAGCCAAGCCACTTCCAATTTTTCCATTTTCATTTTTATTTCATAAAATTAATTTTCTCAGAATCAATTCTATTCCATTTAAATTTTAAGACTAACATTTGATTCATCAATCAAATGTTTCAATTTGAATTTTAAGACTAACATTTAATTCATCAATCAAATGTTTCAGTCTGAATTTTAAGACTAACATTTAAGTCATCAATCAAATGTTACACCTTGGCTTTCTGCCATGGGAAGTTGCTTTAGTGGCTATTATTTCCTCTAAGTCTAATATGCTTTGGTTACTTTTATGGGATATAAATTCATCAAGAATATATAATTCTTTGATCTACTTTTACCAATTTTTCAAAATTCAAGTTTTAACAGTTAATACATTTATCTTATATTTATTTCTTTAACAGTGTTCATCATGAGTTAGATATGAAATTGATTTATGGGTATACATTAGCTAATCTAAGACAAAATTGAGAGCAATTTTGGGACAAAGTAAGGGAAACACACAAACTAAGAAATATGGTGACTAGGAAAGGGAGAAATGTGGGAAGAGAAAAGAGAAGGAGCACTTTGGGAGGCTGAGGCAGGTGGATCACTTGAGGTCAGGAGTTCGAGACCAGCCTGGCCAACATGGCGAAACCTGATCTCTATTAAAAATATAAAAATTAGCCTGGCATGGTGGCATCCACCTGTAATCTTGGCTATCTGGGGGGCTGAGGCAGGAGAATCACTTGAACCTGGCAGGCAGAGGTTGCAGTGAGCAGAGATCATGCCACTGCACAACAATGGATGTGAATGTGGTATGTATTCAGGGTGAGGTACTCAGTGCAGCCTTGGAGGTAAGCATTGTACACTTTTGGCCTGTCAACGCAAACCATTTTTTTTGTAGCTATTATATTTGAACAAAACTCCCGTATTCACAGCAGCTTGAAATCAAGGAAGAAGAAACCGGTTTGACCATCTTGGTTTAGGAGAGACATGAGAGGAAACAATATTCCATAGTGCATAATAAGTAACAAGTAATTCAGAGAGAGAGAAATAAGCATATTAATTACCAGAAGACAACTGCAAATAAGTTTTAATTTGAAGTTGCTCATAATTCTCTATACTTTTTTGGGAGGAGGGGGGTGGAAATAGAAGAAATGCATCCTTAAGATCTATAGCATATTTCATAGGAGGTGCACTTTTTTATGAGCCCCACACTGGGCACAGCTGCATTTTTGCTAGAAGGTCATCTGAAATGGCATGGTGTGTGGCAAGGTCATACCATCTGGACCTGCCCCGAACTCACTGGGTAATCTAAAGTAAGTGGTGTTTCCTCACGAGGCCACAGCTTCCTATACAAAAGAGTGTTCAATTTTGAGATTTTTCTAGCCCTTGTATTACAAGTTGGCTGTTTTGGGGATGTTTATATACCTCCTTTTGGGCATTCTGTAAATGAAGAGAGAGCGGTGTTGACACAGCTTTGCCTTTCTATGTACTATCTGATGACGGTGATGCTTTCATTTTTGAGCGGCTGCCATTCCTTCTATTATCGACTCCAGCTCGTGATAAGTCAGGGGGCAGGGGCTTGGCCTGGCTGACCCCGGTTAATGGGAATGGAGTGTAATCACATTAGCTCAGTTGAGAGTTTGGAAAATTACATTAGCTCATCCAACAAAAGTGAATCTGCCAATAATTTATGTGATGGATTTGCAATTAGAATATAGAAGCCTTTTCTTCTTCTTTGTGTCTCTCTGATAAAGAAACAAAAGGAAAAAACACCCGAAAGAGATTAAAATGTCAAACAGACCTTACAGGTTATATTTTAATAGAATTTCATTCTCTAACTGTTGGTTTGGGCCCCCTAAGTAATATTTTAGGAAATAATTTTTTGATGATTATTTTACATAATTTACTAAGAGTTCTTGGTAAAGGTAGATAAATACATTTGAATGGTTATTAAAAGTATTTGTCAGAGTTAAACATTTCCAGAATACTGATTTTATCTAAAATTCTCAGAGGTATATTTTTTTGCTAGGTCTTTATAATCCAATTATATTAAAAATACTACAATTGAAAGAGTATGAGATACTACTAGTACCTTGAGTTTGGAGCCCTTAACTCTGTCTTTGAGTGGAGAAAGTGTTTAAGGTAAACCAGGTAGGGTAAGTAGACATTTGCGTGGTAGAATCTGCCAAGAGGTACCTACCAATTAAATATTAATTTTTTGTCAATAATGTGTTAAGTGTTTTGTAGGTAATATATAAAAAGCCCTATAGGAGAGTTGCTATTTCATTTCACAGGTGAGAAACTGAAGCTCACACTTCTTAAACAGCTTGCCCATATCACATAACTGATAGATGACTGAGTAAAACTTCAGAGCCTCGAGTATTGTTCTGAATTCTGGCTGTGAATTAAAAATCACCTATGAGCTTAAAAACAGCTATATCAATGACAGCAATAGCAATAAAGACCTATTGAATCATCTTTGGGGTAGGAGCCATCTTTAGTTTTCAGAAGACCCACAGATAGCTCTGACAGGTGGCCAGGACTGACAGGTGTGGATGAGGGTTAGTATGGGCATTATGGACAGTTTCTAGTTTTGGAAAAGTCCTAGAGTGTAACTAGCAATCATAAATGAATGGATCTTTCAGTGGCCTTTAGGAGATGAGATATGCTTGTCTTCTGGTGGTAGACAATGATCAGCTGTACAGTTGACCCTTGGACAACGTGGGGGATAGACATGCTGACCCCCTGCACAGTCATAAATCTGTATGTAACTGTTTTTTTTTTTTTTTTTTTTTGAGACAGAGTCTTGCTCTTTCACCCAGGCTAGATTGCAGTGGCGCAATCTTGGCTCACTGCAAGCTCCACCTCCTGGGTTCACGCCATTCTCCCGCCTCAGCCTCCCGAGTAGCTGGGACTACAGGTGCCTGACACCACGCCCGGCTAATTTTTTGTATTTTTTAGTAGAGACGGTGTCTCACCGTGTTAGCCAGGATGGTCTTGATCTCCTGACCTCATGATCCGCCTGCCTTGGCCTCCCAAAATGCTGGGATTACAGGCGTGAGGCACTGCACCTGACCTGTATGTAAATTTTGACTCCCCCAAAACTTTATGACTAATAGCCTATTGTTGACTGGCAGCCTTACTGATAACATAAACAGCCAATTAACACATATTTTGTGTGTTATATGTATTTAAGACTGCATTCTTATAATAAAGCTAGAAAAAAATTATTAAGAAAATCATAAGAAAGGAAAAATATATTTGCTATTAAGTGGAAATGGATCATCATGAAAGTCTTCATATTGAGTATGCCGAGGAGGAGAAAGAAAAGAGGTATTGGTCTTGCTGTCTCAGGGGTGGCAGAGGCAGAAGGGGTGGAAGAAGTAGAAGGAGAGACAGGAAGGGCGGACACACTCAGTGTAACTTATTGAAAAACTTCTGCTTGTGAGTGGATTGGAGCAGTTCAAGCCCATATTGTTCAGGGGTCAACTCCATAGGTATATATTGCAAGTTAGTCCCTGCACTCTAGAGGCTTGACAAATATTTCTCAATTAGGTTTACTGGGAGAATTGGAGTTACCTTTTTTCTTCCACAAAGAAGAAAGGTGAGGAACATAACCTAGAACTCTCAATTTCCATGGAAGGAAAGAGGAGTTCTTCCCCAGGAGGGTGAGTTGCAGCCTCCTAGGGAAGAAGCAGCACCACAGTCCCTGGAGAAGGATGAGGATGTAAGTGGAGCAAGATGCTGGAGGCAGCATCACACAGGTGGAGAATGGAGAAATATCTGAAACACAGGCAATCTCAGTCCTCTTCCTCTCCGTGGTGGCAGACAATTAACGGGGAGGGCTGTATCCGCTTCTGTACATCACTCTTGAAGAGGAACATAGTAAAACTGGATGACTCTTTCAGAGAGTGACAGGGAGTTAACGGATTCAAAAAAGTTATACATTACCGAAGGAATTTGAATTGTCCCTTATCTCAGAATGGAGAATAGCCAATGTAGAGGGATACTTGTAAAATCTACAAAATATTTGAAGATACTGTTGGAAAATAGAACAGGTAAATTCTGTTTTACCCTAAGGGGTGCAACTAAAAGCAATGAATAAAAGTCAGGAGACATGAAATTGTTAAATAAAAGAAAATATCTTCTAAGAGTCAGAAATAGTAAGACTAGTTATAAGTTCCCAGTGGACAGGCAGGGCTGGGCTATTACATTATTATTGAAGTAATAGAGTAACTTTGAACGTTAATTGCATTTTAAAACTAGGTGGCTGTTAGTTTCTCTTTCAACATGTTAAACAACCTCTGACAAGCTCTGGAAGGGGGAAATCATTAGTCTCAGGCAGCATAAGTAATCCTTAAGTATGAGTTGCCTCTTGTCTATGTGGCTTATGGATATACAGAACGCATAGCAAAATCTTCTTGCCCAGTTTGGGTAGGTGAAGAATGGTATGCTGCTGTAAGCCAATATTCGGCTGCTAATCACAGAGGCTAGAAAAGCAATCTACAGAGCCCAAATGGGGAGATGATTGATAGATTAATCAGGAAAGCCAAGAGCAAGTAGCAGTAGGAGTCAGAGATGAACAGAAAGTGGTCAGAAGAATTCCTGGAATAGTGCTTCTGCCTATGACACCTTTATTCTCTGATCCCAATATACTTTCATGGATAAGCTGGGCTCTTTGAGATTCAGTGCAATTTAATTTTAATTCATTTTCATTTAAGAGTCATTCAGCACTTTTATTTATTTATTTTTTTGAGATGGAGTCTTGCTGTGTTGCCCAGGCTGCAGTGCAGTGGCGCCATCTTGGCTCACTGCAACTTCTGCCTCCCGGGTTCAAGTGATTCTCCAGCCTCAGCCTCCCAAGTAGCTGGGATTACAGGCGTGTGCCACCATGCCCAGCTAATTTTTGTATTTTTTTGTAGAGATGGGGTTTTGCCATGTTGGCCAGGCTGGTCGAACTCCTGACCTAAGATAATCCATCCACCTCGGCCTTCCAAAGTGCTAGGATTATGGGTGTGAGGCACCACGCCCGGCCAGCACTTTTATGTTAATGTACTTTATTTTGCCAAATGGCCATACAGTACCTAACTTTCAAAACTGTTGTATTTATGCATCTGGATAAATAAAAATTGCTTTAGTGTGGCAAAGTAGAGGAGTCTCTGAATTAGAAGTCAGAAAACATAGGTCTGATAAAAATATTCATTTGATCTTAAATTCATCATGAAAATGTGTTAGTGACTCAGTTTTGTCACTGGCAAAATGTCTAAATATGACTGTGAAGGTCCATTTTTCAAATTTAAGATTACATAATTATGTCATATATTTAAATCCCTTACATTTAATTATGATGACCACTATGCTTGTTATTGTTCTTAATGTTCTCTCTCAAACAGCCTAAGACTCAAAGTCTTGGTTTCATGAAACTGCCTTGGACCAGGATTGTAAATACTAGGTAGAGATGAATTGTCTGAGCCAATTATGTTTGTGGCAGTCTAAAAAAAATAGAGGTGTAACCCAAATGACCTCAGAATTCTTTCGAAGCCGTGTCTTGTTAAGATAATACACTATTGTTTTTTAAGAGAATGGTGCCTGGAAGAATTTATCGTCCTCTTCAACAGATTGCATCTGTCATAATTACTTTACCATTTATCATCTTTTCAATCTTTTTTAAAAATTGTCATAGAATATATCTAACATATAATATTTACCATTTTAGCCATTTATTAATATACAATTCAGTGGCATTAAATACATTCACAATGTTGTGTAACCATCAAGATGATCTGCACCCGAGACTTTTTCATAAGTCCCAACAAAAACTTTGTACACAGTATATAATAACTCTCTGCTTTGAGCCATTGGTAACCCACTTTGTCTCTATTTAACTACTGTGGGTACCTCATATAAGTGACATTACACAAATACTTACTATTCTGTGTCTAGCTTATTACCTATGTTTTCAAGGTTCATCCATGTTGTAGGATGTATATCAAAATTTAATTTTTTTAATGGCTGGATAATATTCCATTGTATGTATAGACCATGTTTTGTTTGTCCTTGTATCTGTTAATGGGCATTTAGGTGACTCCTACCTTTTGGTTGTTCTAAATCTGTTACTAGCATTGTTGTACAAATATCTGATTAAGGCCCGTCTTTCAATTCTTCTAGATAAATATTAGGTTGATGCAAAATTGATTGCAGTTTTCGTCATTGAAAGTAATAGCAAAAATCACAATCACTTTTGCACCAATCTAATACATAGGCGTGGAATCACTGGGGCATATAGTAGTGCTATGTTTAACCTTCTGAGAAACTGACAAACTATTTTACATAGTAACTGCCCCATTTTACAAACCCTCTAGCAACGCATGAGTTTCAGTTTCTCCCCATCCTTGAAAATACCTGTTACTTTTGTTTTTTGTTTTTATTATAGCCATCCTAATAGGTATGAAGTGGTATCTCCTTGAGGTTTTAATTTGCATTTCCTTAATGGCTAATGATGTTGAACCTTTTTTTTCATGGGCTTATTGGCCATTTGTATATCTTCTTTGAAGAAAATGTTCATTCAAATCCTTTGGCTACTTTGAATTGAATTGCTTTTCATGCCTTCCATCCACAAATTTAATGCCTTTTCTATCTTAAGTAAGCACTTGTCATGCATGGTCATGTAAATTTTGTAGTTTGAGGCATGACAGCAAAGCTAGCATAAAATTCTTTTTCCTTCTTCACAATTTCATAGATAGAAGATTCATTCTTACTGTAGATCATAACAACCTCAGCATATAATTTTTATTTTCTTATGAAAGTTGAGAACTTTCACTTTTTCACTGAAAGGAAGCATTTTACAGCTTCTCTTTGACGTATTTGAATTGCCCCCACTACTAGTCTTGCCCTTTGGAGCCAACATTAAGTCCAATAAGGTTTACCTGAACACAAGCACGAGCATAAGATTGTTATGCTACTCAGAACATCATGCAATTTAAAACTTATGAATTGTTTATTTCTGAAATTTCCCATTTACTATTTTTGTACCTCCGTTGAACAAGATAACTGAAACTGCATAAAGCAAAACCATGGATAAAGGGGAGGAGGGGACTACTATACTTACTCAATCTCATTAATTGTCATTGTTCTCTTCAGATTTTCTATTTCTTCATGATTCAGTCTTAGTAGATGGTATGTCTCTCAGAATTTATCCACTTCAGTTATCCAATTTATTGGCATATAATTTTTCATAGTAGTCTTTTATGATTTCCGAGGTATCAGTTACATTGTGTCCATTCTCATTTATAATTTTTCTTCAGCTCTCTTTTTTTTTTCCTTGGTGAATCTAGCTTAAATGCTTGTCAAGTTTATGTCTTTTCACAAGCTCAGTTCTTAGTTTTGCTTGTCATTTCAGTTGCTTTCCTCATCTCTACTTAATTTATTTCTCTTCTAGTCTTCATTGGTTCCTTTCCTCTGTTGCCTTTATGCTTAGTTTGTTTTTCTTTTTCCAGTTCCTTGAGATGTGAAGTTACATTGCTCATTTAAGAGTTCTCTTTTTTTTCTTAGTCATTTATCACTACAAATTTCCCTCTTAGCACAGGTCTTGCAGCATCTCATGTTTTGCTTTGCTGTGTTTCAATTTTTCATTTGTGTCAATGTATATTTTGATTTCTCTTGATTTCTTCTTTGACACATTGGTTGCTCAGGAGTTTGATGTTTAATTTCCACATATTTGTGAATTTTTGAAAATCCCTCCTGTTGTTGATTTCTACTGTTATACTACTATGCCTAGGAAGGTTGAGATGATTTCAACTTTTCTAAATTTGTTAAGACTTATTTCGTGGCCGAACATATGATCACTGTTGGAGAGTGTTCCACGTGTGCTTCAGAATAAAGTATACTACATTGCAATCAGATAGAATGGTTTGTACGTGGAAAACATGTACAAAATGTTTGGTCCATTTGGTTTATAGTGTTATTACACTCCACTATTTCCTCATGGATGTTGTATCTGGACAGTCCATTGTTGAAAGAGGGATATTGAAGTTCTCTGGTATTATTGTATCATTGTCTATTTCTCCCTTTCATTCTGTTAATATTTGCCTTATATATTTTGGTGCTTCAATTTTGGGGGCATATATATTTATAATTCTTATAACCTGTTGATGAATTGACTTCTTTATCATTATATAGTGATCTTCTTTATCTCTCGTGACAGAATTTGACTCAATGTCTATTTGTCTGATGTGAGTATAGCCACTCCTGCTCTCTTGTGGTTACCTTTTTTCTCCTTTCACATTCATTCTGTGTGTGTCCTTTTTTGGTTAATCTGAATCTCTTGTAGGCAGCATATTGTTGAATCTTTGTTTTTAAAAAAATTTATTCAGCCACTTTATTTCTTTTAATTGGAGATTTTAGTCCATTTATATTAAAGTAATTATTGATCGGTAAGGGCTTACTATTGTTATTTTATTGTTTTATTTTGTAGTTTGTTTCCTTATTCCTCTCTTGCTGTCTTCCTTTGTGATTTATTTAATTTTTATAGTGGTATTCTTTGAATTCTTTCTCTTTATCTTTTGTGTATCTACTAAAAGTTTTTTCTGCTTGTGGTTACCATGGATTTACATAAAATATCTTATATGATTCTAATTTAAGCTAAAACAATTTGAACTCATCCAAAAACTAACACTTTTATTTATCTCCACATTTTATACTAATAAGTTCACACTTTACCTCTTTTTATACTGCGTATCCATTAACTATTTTAGCTGTAGTTATTTTTAATAATTTTGTATTTTATGTTTTATACTAGAGTTAAATGTGATTTTCACACCATTGCAGTATTACAGTATTATTCTGAATTTCACTTTTTTTTAACTAGTGAATTTTATACTTTCTTACGTTTTTCTGTAGTTACCTGGCATCCTTTTGTTGCAACCTGAGGGACTCCCTTCAATATTTCCTGTAAGACAGGTTTTATGGTGATGAACTCTTTGACTTTTGTTTGTCTAGGAATGTCTTTAGCTCTCATTTTTGAAGGACGACCAGTATTTCTTTAAATAAACCTTCTGATCTCTTCTCTCTTCTCCTTCTGGGGCCTCCATTATTCATATATTCATGAGCTTAATGGTGTTCCATAAGTTTCTTAAACTTTCTTCATTATTTAAAAAATATGATTTCTTTTGGTTCTTCTAATTGACCGATTAGAA
Source organism: Homo sapiens (assembly GCF_000001405.40). Lineage (NCBI taxonomy): Eukaryota > Metazoa > Chordata > Mammalia > Primates > Hominidae > Homo > Homo sapiens. The sequence goes on along the minus strand of NC_000008.11, from coordinate 24,808,277 downwards.
ATGACTTGTTTTTCAGATTTCAACTTCTTTCTTCTGCATGATTGAGTCTGATATTTCAACTCTCAATTAAATTTTCCAGTCCTGTCATTGAATTTTCCAGGTCTAGGGTTTCGGTTTGGTTCTTTTTAATGGTTTTTGTTTCCTCAGTAGACTTCTAAGTTTTATCATCCATTGTTTTTTAAAATTTCACTTAGTTGTCTCTCTGTGTTTGCTTGCATCTCATTGAGATTACTTAAGATGATTATTTTGAGGCCTGTGAGTATACAGAAAGATGAGTTTAACCAGGATACATGGAACATATGAGAAATCCCATTTCTCCATAATCTCAGCAATGCTAGATATTATCAATCTTTAATTTTTGTCATTGTAATAGCTAAAACATGAAATCTTTATTTTACTTTTCATTTTTCTGGACTGTAGTGAGACTGAATATCCTTTCATATGTTTATCAACTATTGAATTTCTACTTCTATAAATTGTTGGTTCATGTCCTTTGGCTATTTTTTCTACTAAGTTATTTTCTCTTATTAGTTTTTAGGTTTTATATAATGGACATTAGCATATTATTTGTTATAGCTCTTTACCATTTTATCTCAGGCTGTAGCTTACTATTGATTTCAAGTATCTTTTGCTATGTTGATGATTTTTAAATTCACACAGCTGGTCATATTTTCTTTTGAGAATTCTGGGTTTATGGCTTGCATAGGTTTCTTCTTTACCACCCCACCTGAAGTTTATAAAGTTAGTCTCCTATATTTTATTATAGTATTTTTCCAAATTTTTATTTTTAGAACTTGATTATTCAATCATTTAATTTCAGTTTAATTTTGTATAAAGTGTGTGGTAGGGAATCTCTTATTTTGATAGATGAATAGCCCGTTGTTCAATAACTTTTTTCACTGCTTTAAAAGTCACTTTATCACATTTTAAATTTGTATACATACATGTATGTAAATATATAGTTACATATGACTTCTCTTCTGTGTCCCTTTGATTTTCTTGTGTGTCATTAGTCTTCTTTTAAAATTTTGTTGGCTATCCTTACATATTCACTCCTCCAGCTGAGTTTTATAATCTGTTTATCAATTCTTATGGGCCTTGGCTTGCATTAAATTTATAGATTAATTTGAGGAAACAATTCAATTTTTATCTGAGAGAGGAAAAGAAGAACACAGGGCATGGCACCCTATATATGCTCGGGTGAGCTGGTCCTATGGGTTTCAAGGCATTGTCAAAAAAATTCCTTTGTAGGAGAGTTCCACAGGAAGAGAGGGGGAAGATATCGAAATCAGCTTTCCCTTATCCATACATTTACCAAAATTAGACTTGGAGGTTCTAAATGCAGCAATTTTGATGAAACTACCTGCTGGAATGGAAAGTTGTATTACTTTCATTTTTTCCCATACTGATATTTACCTCTATTGAAATAAACTGATGTTCTCAAATTACTTATTTATTTAGTAAAAACAAGTTCAAAAGAGAACAGAAACAGATAGGGAAATGAGGCAAAAATGCTGATGTGTGGGAGAAGGAGTTTACAATAGAGAGAGTAAGGCAATAAGAATATTGACAAATTTTTAAAATAATTTATATTATATGTGAATGTTTTGGGTGAAAGAACCCTTGTGAGGAAATTAGGCCTTCCTATAAAAGAAAAGATACTAGATTACTGTATTAATCCTTTCTTCATAGACCCATAGAAGGCAGGCATTAGATGCCAACCCCAAAGTATCAGAACTGACCACCTACCTAGTTGAACACTGGGAGCAACTACACATTATTTCCATAGCAGCAGGAGTTTAAGGAACAACTCCTCTAAAATAGAAGCACTGCAGTTCTTGAGCTATGCTGTGAGCTATCAACTTTTTCTTTCATTTTCTTTCCTGTGGTGTTTTTTCTTTCTTGCTTTCCCCAAAAAAGAAAGAGAAATAAATGGTTAGAATTAAATTTCTTTCAGCAGCGTGCAGAACTGCAGTGTTGATACAGAACCTCATTTCTGTTGGGGCTAATAGTAAGGAGCTATTTTTAGACTGGATCTACAGTTTCCTTAGTAACAAGGGTTGAAAGAGCTCTGTTCTCCTGCTCGAAATATCCCCAGCCAGTAGTTTTGCCCTTGATTCCTCTAACTTTGGAATTCTTCTCAAGTGTTCATAGGTTCAGTATCATTTTCTTCCACCTTCATGTATTTCATAGTTGGAGTCCTTTCATTAATATTTACCAATCCAATTGTGTAGTATATTTTGTTTTGATGATAATGTGCTTTGTTGAATTGGGGGATATTTCATTTTGATTGCTAAGCTTTGTACTGCAGCAGCTAAGGTCTATGCTTAAGTTTCTCAGGCATTGAGATTTATAAGCTTTCTCTTATATTTCATATTTCTGGGCATTGTCCAGAATCCCAATCTTTTCCTTTAAGCATTTTTTTCTTCCCTTTATGTTTGTTCTCTTTTTGATTCCCTCCAGCTTGACCATCTGTCTCCCTCTTATTGCTTCCGCAGAACCATGCACTAAGTACCTAGGGGTGAAATGGCACATGCCATCAAAAGATTCAGTTTACAGAAGTCATCACTGATCTATGATAAGTACAGAAGGACTTCTCCAAAGTACTCTACGTCTTGTCACCATCTGGGCCTGTTCCCTCACCTAGTTAGAACACAGCAAATGAGGCCAAGGTCACAGATTCAGACCCCATATGATTCATGATTCAGTTCACTTTACACAAGGAAGAACTTTGTTTTGTTTCCATAGTCTGCAACCGCATATGCTGGTGGACCCAACTTGAAAATGAATTCATGCTGGAGGACCTAGTGAGAGTTGGGTTGGAGCCAGCCCCTCAATATTATAGAAAACTCAAAAGCATATGTTCTGGGCTGGATACTCAGCAGGACTCTTCCCTCCATGCACTCTTTATGTTAAACTTTGGAATAGATAAGTCGTGAACAATCATCTGTTCTAACTTGTGGTCCCACAGAAGAAAATAAAAACCCAATGCTTGGTCCCGTGCTCTGTGTCATTTGCCTCACTATTCATTTTTCCTAGCCACACTTCTATAAAGTGGATCTCCATGGAGTTACAAATTTTACAGATGAAGATTAATGGAATGGTGCAATTAAACCTGGTGAAATGAGCTGCCTTATGTAATTGGGAAGAGAGTTGCCATTAGTTAAATATAATATCCGATAACTTTAGTGAGCAGAAACTTTGAGCATCTTCTTTATTTGGCTTGTGTAATAGTAGTAAAATATTTGCAGGATGATTTAAGATTTACAGACCATTTCCATATTCCCCATCTTATTTGGTTCATCCAACATGAGTTTGGCTTGACAGGTGTTATATTTTTCAGATTAGAAAAAATTATGTATGAGATTGCATGACTTACTGATGATTACATAATTTATAAAGTCTTTGAACTCAGATCCAGGGAGCTTTCCATGATATCACACTACATTTCATTTCTTGACTTGTACCTACAGAAATATTTCAACAGAAATTTGATTATATTGTTGACACTATTTCTATTTTATTTTTGATTTGATTAGGGATGGCAGATTTCATACAACTTCTATAGTTGCAATTACACCCAAAATCAGATTTGTGAAACTTTGATATAACCTCAGAAGGAGTTAGAATAGCTGGTTCCAAAGGCTCGTTCCACACAAAGCACTTTTAGGTAGGTCATCTGACATGACAGTTGACAATAAAGTTTCTGAAAATAGATTTGCTTTCAAATCCTGGCTTGACCTTAGTTTATTCCTCAAACAATTCTACCCTACCTGCTTGGGAAATAACCTTGGCAACAGTCTTTCTAACACCAATTTGCCAAGTTGTGTGCTAGCTCTGCTCAGAATTGAAATTCAAAAGTAAAAAAAAGATTAAAGGAATTTTAGCTCAGAATCCTGGGAACAGGAAAAAGCAAGATGTTCTTAGTCTTTTGTCCCCCAAGACCATTGCACTTGAATTGTGTGATATTTCTGTTCCAATTAAAGGGATGCCTTACGTTCAAGGGGTCTAATTTACATTTTCCTGCTTTGCAAGCTATAACATTATTTTATCTTAGTTTTTACAACATTACATAATGCATTGTGTCTTGATGCAATTTAATGCCTCCTGCTGACTATTCAAAATTGCTAAGCAGAAGGTCAGACCAGATCAGTGAACAGCTATTAAAATGCATAGGCGGCAACACAAACAGTAGATAATTAGCACTTAATGTAAGCCAAAGCTGTGTGAAATGTGAAGAAAAAAATAACAAGGTGTTTCCTTAATTCTGTGAGTGCATCTTCCATTCACATTGCTGGCTGTGGCTTTAGATCCATCATCAATTTGCCCTTTTGAAATTGGTTTGTTTTACTTCTTGTGAAATATTTTACACATACAGAAGAGTAGATAAAACTCATGTACAGTTTAAAAAATAATTACAAAGCAAGCATCGTGAACCACTCAGACCAAGTAGAAATCTGCTATTGTTGTTCTCTACAGTCCGAACAGAATCTTCCCTCTCCTGATGCAACATCAACCAATGAAATTTACCATAAGTCCCTGCGTATCGCTATAGATTTTATCTTTTCAATAGTTTGCCCACTAAAAATTTTAATTTCATTTTGTCTTTGAAATGTACACAAATAAATCATAAAATGTTTTTCTTCTGTGATTGCTACTTTCATTCAATGGGATATTTGTAAGATTCATTTATGTTGATGGGTGTATTTATAGTTTATGTATGTTTATAGATGTATAATATTAATATTTAATTTCTGTATTGATTCTATCTTGATGCCCTTGGATTATTTCCAGTTTTAGAGCTATTTTGAATAATACTGCTATGAATATATCTCTATCTCCTGGCTATGTACTAGAGTTTCTCCAGAGTGTATATTTAGGTGTAAACTGTTACATGGCAGGGCATGCATAGTTTAAATTTCCCAGATAGTGCCAAACTATTTCCACAGTATTTGTACCAATATTCACTCCCACAAGAGAGTTCCAATTACTCTATTACTAAAACTTGAAACTATCAGATACTGCAATTTTGGCCAATCTAATGAGTATTTAGTGGTTTTTCATTGTGTCCTTAATTTGGATTTGGATCAACTAATGAGTTGATCATGTCTCCTTTTATAGGAGCTGTTTGGGTATCCCATTTGGGAAGAGCTTATTCAAATCCTATGCCCATTTTCTTACAGTTGAGGTATTTGACAGATTACAAGAACTTTTTATTTGTTTTGTATAGGTTACATGTTATATGTATTATTTAGAGCAATGATTTGAAGGAGATGAAGGAATTCACCATGGGAATATCTAAGTGAAGTGCATTCCAGGCAGTGCAAAGGTCCTAGTCTAGAAGTCTGCTTGGAGCACCATAGTAAGAGATAAATTACTAGCAGATTAAGTCATAGGGATAATGGAAAGGAGGCCTTGTAGGCCTTATAGAAATCTTTGGCTGAGATTCTGAATAACATAGGCAGTGACTAAAATTTTGAGCAAAGGAGCGACATGACCTGACTCCTCCCCTCCACATTTAAAATTAATAGACTTTATTTTTTTAAGCAGTTTTAAGTTTAGAGAAACATTGAATGAAATCTAATGTCCTGTTGGAAGAGTCTCTGCTTCCCATCCCTGCAACTGTGGGTTCTGCAAGATTGGAGACCTTGGCACCCCAAACAAGCCATACTCTTGCTAAAGTATGCAAGAGGATCTTATTGAACTACATGCTATATATGCTGCCAGGGCATATTGGATTCCTTTATATAAGGGCCAGGTAAAAAGAAGAGTAATAATCTTGGAAGGGGTGATTGATCCTGACAGTAGGAAGAGGCAGGTCTGCTTTTACACAATGGAGGTAGGAAGAAATAGCTGTGGCACCCAGGCTATATGCTTGGATGCCTCCTAGTGCTTCCTTGCCGAATCATAACTATGAATGAACATGTGCAGCAACCCCTGAGGATGGTAAGATTACCAGGGACTCAGATCCTTAGAAATGACCTGCATAGGCATTAGCTGAGAGGAGGGAAATTTAGAGTGAATGATGGAGGAGATGATGGGTATCAATTGTGGACCTAAGACCAACTGCAACAACAGGGACTATAGTTTATCTCGCTAAGTTTACCCAAAGGAAAGAAGGTCAGTGGAACCATGGCATGTGTGGAGGTGTGGATCTGTGCAGAGCAAAGCTGGGCTATGGTGGCCATGGAGATTTGCTGCTCAATCTCTGTTCAAGCAAATCTTCTGTAGGGAGCATAGGTAGTCAGTCACTTCCAGCTATACCTTCAGATGCAACATGGAGCTCACACTGTTCCCAGCATGATGGGGTTATGAGAATTGGGAAATTTCTGCTTCTAATGAGCAACCTTTCCTCAGTGAGCCTCCATTAGCCTGGCTGTGATAGTCTGAGAAGTGTGTGATAGTCTGAGGCTCTTCATACTCAATTCTCCTTTCTTCTTTCTCTTCTTTGACAGATGGCAGGCCTACATTGTAATCAAAAGCTTCTCCCACCTATCCAATTGTCTTCCCTTGCTCCTTCACACACATTTCCCCCAATAAATCTCTTGCTCATCCTAATTCCAACTTGACATCTGTTTCTGGGAAGACATAATCTGAAATAAGGCATGTTTAATGTAATTATCAACATGGTCTAATTTAAACCTACCATCTTGCTATTTCTTGTCTATTTCTCCCATCTGCTTTTCCTTCCTTCCCCTCCTTCTTTTGGATTTAGTTTTTTTAAAAAAAGACTCGTTTATTATCTCTACCTTGCTTTATTTTTTGGCACTTGAAAGGTAGGGTTTAACTTTCAAGCAATGCTATTCCACTTCACATATGGTGTAAGAAATGTACAGCAGAACACACCCAATTCTTCCCTCCTGTCCTTTATGCTATTTTCACATTTATAGCACATTTTACTTCTGTATGTGCTATAAACCTCAAAACACATTGCCATTATTTTTATTTGAAACAATCAAATATCTTTTGTGGAGACTAAAAATGATAAAATGTCTTTTATTTTTATACATAATATATATGTTTACTTTCGCCAGCATTCTCTATTTTGTGTATATCCAATATCCAACTATTTTCCATCTGCCTTAACTTTCCGTAATATTTCTTATAGTGAAGGTATGCTGCTGATCAATAGTTTCAGATTTTGTTTGTCTGAAAAAGTGTTTATTTCCCCTTCATTTTTAAAAAGTTGTGGTAAAATACACATAATATAAAATTTATCATTTTAACAATTTTAATTAGTTTATTCAACCATTAATCTGTTGAAGAACATTTTGGGTATTTCCAGTTTGGGGCTATTATTTAATACAAATAAAGTTGCTATGAAATTTGTGTACAGGTTTTTGTGTAAATGTAAATTTTCTTGGATTACATGGTGAGTGTATATCTAGTTGTTTTAAAGAAACTGTCAAATTGTTTTCCAGAGCGGCTACATCATTTTACTTTCACACAGGAAGGTATGAGAATATATGTATCCTTTGCATACTCTCCATGTGGTCTTAATTTGCATTTCCCTAATGACTAATGATTCTGAATATCATTTCATGTTTTTATTTTCCATCTGTATATTCTCTTAGTGAAATGTTGATATCTTTTTCCCAGTTTCTAATTGGACTGATTTCTTTTTTTCCTGTTGCATTTTTAGAATTTAAAAATATATTCTACATATGGGTTCTTTGAATTGAGTTGTAGTTTGCAAATGTTTTCTCTGTCTGTAGCTGGTCTTTTCATCCTCTTAACAAGGATTTTCTCATGATAAAAGCTAATTTGGATGAAGCCCATTTTATTAATTTTTTTCTATTATGGATTATGCTTCTGATGTCATGTCAAGAACTCTGTCAAGCCTTAGATCTCAAATATTTTATTTGTCAAAAACATTTATTCTGAGAATCTAAAATCTGTTCAAAGACTATTGGACTTTAGAAAAAGCCTCCACAAAATTGTCTTATTTCTTCCCTAATACAGTAATAATCTAAGAATAAGGAGGTAAAAAAACCCTTAAAAAATAACATTGCTCCAGTTTGTCTGCAGGTATGTGATTCTTTTATTGGTATAATTATCTTTTCTGTTTTTACAATTTTCATGTGATTTCAGAAAATTTTGGCCATTACTTAAATATTTTCTTCTCTCCTCTTTTCTAGGACTGTGATACATACATGAAATCACTTGATTTTGTTCCATAGTCCCTGAGGCTTCAAGTTATTTCCTTGATTGTGCATCCATTTGGATAGCGTCTATTGCTATATCTTTAAGTTCTTGGATCTTTTTATACAATGTTTAATTGGTTGTTAATCCTTTGTCATGTATTTTCATTTTAAAGCTTGTATTTTTTATCAATATAAATTTGATTTGGAAATTTTCTACATTTCCTACCTTATCACATTCATGTTTTCTTATATATTTTGAGTATATAGAATGCATTTATAATTACTGTTTTAATGTCCACTTCTGCCTATTCCATCATCTTATTATTTCTGAGTTTGTTTCTATTGATAATGAAACACATTTTCTGTTTTCTCTATATATGTTAGTTTTTGATTGACTGCTGTATATTTTACATTGTTAAATGTTAGATTTTGTTGTGCATCTTTAAAGAATATTGACCTTTTATTTTGTTGCAGTCAGTTAAATTGCATGTGCATTACTTTGAGCCTTTTGAGAGTTGTTTTAACCTCTTTTTTTTTGGGTAGGTCTAGAGTGGCCATTATTCTAGAGAAAATTTAGATTTTTTTTTTAAAGGTTTGGTCTTTCTAGGGTCCCTACTGAATAGCCCATCGTTTAGAGAGGATGTCTCCACACCTGTTAGAGGAAACACAAGAGATTGTCAGTTTTAGGTGACCTCTGGCAGTTGTTAGACTTACAGCTTCCTTGTAATAGTTCTTCCCTTGAAAGCTGTTCTGGTCTATGCTTGTTGGGTTTTACCTTATACATGCATTGAATGATCTTCAACCAAAGACTCAAGGAGACCCCTATGCAGATTTCTGGAATCTTTTATCTGTGTTACCCATTCTTCTGCCTCTGCTTTTCCAAACGCCAACTTCTACCTTTATTGGTCTGGAATATAAACTCTGGGAGATTGTTAGACTCTGTTATTTTGAAATCTCCTTGCCCACATTCAGTATTACCTTAGGCAGGAACTATTTTTCTGTTTTGTTAGGATCACTGTCCTCCACTGCCTGTTGTCCAATGTCTGAAAATAGTCATCTTCTATGTTTTGGGCAATGTTTCAGTTGTTTTTAGCAGGAGGGAAATTGTTGATTGTTTTACTCTTATGTTTGGAAATGTAAGTTCCCTATGTGTTTTTATTTTTCTCTTATTTCCCCCATGTGACTTGCTAATTTGAACTCCTCTTCTGCTCTGGGAAACTGTTTTAAACTAAAGTTTAGGACTTTATATTTATTTTTATGAATGTCCATTTTATTTTGCACCATTATCCTATCATATAGAGTCTTTTTTAAATTCGTTACCCATAATGTTAATTCTCCTTTTCAGTTCTTGCCACTCTCAAACTCTTTAATATTACTTCTTGGTAATAATTGAAGTGTTTGCCAAAATGTTATTAAGCAACTGCAGGGTAATTAAGACTAACATTTTGGTTAACTGTGAAATGCTAATAAAATATTTTGTATCTGGTTTGACTACAAATTGCCAAGTGGTGAAGTAGTCCCTAAGCAGCCCGCAGTTGCTAGGTTTGTGTGCCACATTTCTATAGATTCTATTGGTGAGGAAACAATCAGCCCTAGTGGATATAGGTGGTGTATTGTCCTTGGTGCAGCAAGCAGCAGGAGCTTTTTGTTCAGAGCAGTTCTCCTTGCCTCCCTCATCTCCCTGAGGGTGCTTTCGAGTGGGCCAGGGTAGGATGCTATACACAGTATATCTGTATCCCACCTGAGGGAAACTCAGTTTAGGAAACTCCTCATTTTATAAAGGACTCTTAGCAAATATGTCCATCATCCCCTCCAGACTCTATCTTTATTGCTCTGGAATATAAACAAATCTACTCCAGGGAAAGAAGGGAAGTTTCACTCTCCTGGAGTATCTTCTTATATAATCATTGTCCAGTTGGCTGTAAATGTCTTTGCTCAAAACACCCACAGCCTGAAAAAGTGCCAGAGATGCAGAGAGAATTGTCTTCTAATAGAAATATTCAAACATCTGTTAACTTCGGGACAGTTTCATCTTGTATAATGTTAGGGGAAAATTCATGTGTAGTCAAAATTGTTCTTGAATATCATTAAATAATGTGAAAGACTTATATACAGGAATTTGTATGTTAAATCCTATACAGTAATAAGTATGTCAAATATATAATGAAAGATGAGACCATGACCCTGGGTAATGTGCACATTCTGCTAATTGCTCTTCCTCTCCACCTGTCACTATTAAATTTATTTTTTTCCCTTTTGCCTAGTGTTGTGTTTGAGTAAGTTAATTATGAGTATGATAAAACTTGAGTGCATTGCATATATTTCTAATTTTTTCCACAAAGATATCATAAAGGAACATGTCAATGCCTTTTTCAAAAATCTTTTTTTTTTTTTATTATGCTGATGAAATTTCCCTGAGTTTACAGTTTGGAAGTCCAATAATAAGAAAATGCAATTAGTCTGACATGACATACTTAGTTAACTCAAAATGATTTCTAAGAATAACTCTTTTTTTATACACTCTAAACAGCATATATAAAAGTAAAACCTCTGTACTTTGGGGGCCATTTGCTTTAATTTCTTTGGTAGTTGACTTGTGAAATAAATTGTTTATGCCAGCTAGCCCCAACAGAAAAGCCATTAAACTTTTTGGATGTTGTAGATGTTTCTCTGTTTTCCTACTTTATGTCAAACTGGCAAAGAGGTGATAGTTACAATATGATTTTGAGAACAAACATTATCTCAGAGTAACTATTCTAATTGATTTTTGAGAAGGTCTAACCCTTTCTTGTTAACAGTTTGGAGATACCAGACAAAATAAATAGTAGAAAGTCAGACAAGACAAAACTTACATAATGCTAATGCTGTTTAGTATGCTAATCAATTGACTTACCTTCTAAAAGTTATGATCTTCAACTCGTTTCATATTTGGTGAGAGCCTACTATATTTAAGGGCTGTCTAAGTGCCAAGGGCATTCAAAAAAAGATGGTAAGTTAAGTAACAGTAAAGTCCTTGAATAATTCAAGACAACAATAAAATCAATGTCACAATGCATAATAGTCAATGAGTTGCTCAAGCAACAATTTTGCTCCAAACTCAGATGCACAGTGGCTCTAACTTCAAGCAAGAATCGTCTGGGAGATGTTTGCAGAGATGGAGTGTGGATGGGCTTAGCATGAGTGGGGAAGACAGGCAAGGACCTTATGAGTCAGTGTGCCCTTGCTAATAAAAGTATAGAGGGAGGGAAAAGCAGAGAGTTGTGGATGAGCCAGTTTGAGGGACCTGTGATTTTTAAGGAAGGCTACTGAATGGAGAAACAGAAAGAAAGCCTGGAGCCCAATTGTTCAAGGCCTTCAATACCAAGTTCATGAGTATGAACAAGCAGGCCAATAGAGTTATCATATTAAGCAGTGAGAGGAGAAGAAAGACTGTGAGTAATTAAGGTCAATGATTTTTGTAACAAAAAAACCCTGGTGTGGTAAAGTGAACACTGTCAGAATGGACCCTCCAAGAGCACGCTGCCTATTTTCAGGTTTGGGGATAGTTCTTTATTCCACATATAACTTTTACTCAATTTCCTAAATAATAAGCTCTCAGGAGCCTGGAGAAGAAGGCACCCAGCTTGCAAACTTAATTGATAATATAGTTTTAACTCACTGAAGTTTACCTTTTCTCAATCCTCTAGAAGTCACAGCTCAGATTTAAAAGGCTTGCATTGTGGTTGGGGGAGGAAGCAGTAAACATGTATGCTGTATCAGTTAGTATGAAGTTCTAAGTTGAAAAATAAAGTAGAGAAGAGTGTCAGGGGGTGTGGTAATTTCAGAGGGGATGGGGTTAGAGAAGACCTCATTGAGAAGGCAGGACTGACGACAGATAAATAAGTGAGGGAACAGCTAGGAGACATACAAGTGGCAGAAAGAGCAAGGGTTAAGGCCTTGAAGCAGGAACAAAAAGACCAGAGTGGATGGAGTCACGTGGCCAAGTTGGGGAGCGGTTAGGGATGAGATGGGAGAAGTTGGGAGACAGGGAATCGGGCAAGACCTTGCAGGTCTCAATAAAAACTTTACTCTGAATGAGGTGGGAAGCCATTGGGACCTTTTCATAGTGAAGCAATGTAATTTATCCTACTGTTTATCATTGCATCTGAGATACCTTAAAATGTAAGGCCTGACATTATTTTATTTACTCCTGGAAAAAATATTGTCATTTAAACTATGGCCCAAAACTTTCTTAATTGTTGTTTGTAATTCTCCTCCTGATTTCAGAAATGTTAACATGTTAAAAAAATAATAAAAGTGTTTTGGAAACATGAAATAATTGTCTAAAGAAAATTCTGTCTCCTTAATAGAAGATAGGCCATTTGGGAAGCTATTGTAATAAAACAGGCAAAGGGGTCATTGTGCTTGGACCAGATGGGTGTGTGAGCAGTGATCAGACTTTGGATATACTCAGGGTGAGAGAAGAAACTCTTAAGGTGTTTTGGTCCTGGCAACAGTAAAAATTGTCATGTACTGAGATGGGAAAATCCATAGGACAAAGAGTTTTGGTGGGAAAATCAGTGTTCTGTCTTGCATATGGTAAAGTTGAGAGTCCTTTTAAACTTCCAAAGGGAGATATTGTGTACATGTTCACACACATACACACAGTCAATCCTAATTATTTATAGATTTTATATTTCTGAATTTGACTAATCAATAAAATTCATCTGTAATTCCCAAGTTAATACTTTCAGTACATTCATAATCATTCATGGACATGTTCAGAAGAGTAGATAATTTGCACAGCTTAGTACATAAGGCCTAGTTCCCAGCTGAGATTGAGCAAGGCAATACTCTGTCTCCTTGATTCAACTCTCATACTGTAAACAGCTGTCTTCTTTGAAGTCTATTTAGCACCATGTTTTTTCCATGCTTGTGCTTTTTGTGTGGAGATTGTTCTGTCTAAAGGGACCCCAAATGGACTGCAAGTGCTGTATGTTGTCCCTAAATGTGATCAGGCTGTGATGTGCCTTATGGAAAATATTTGTGTTACATAAGTTTCATTCAGGCATAAATTATAGTGTTAGTGGGCATAAGTTTGATGTTAATTAACAATCTATGTACAATTAAGAGTCTTTAAAAAAAAAACACATGTAAAACAAAGTTATATATAGATAAGTAGATTAAAATGTTGTTACCAGAGGCTCAGAGGAACCTAACTCTATATTTTCCTCAGGAGCAAAAATTCAGTACTTGCTAATTCAGTGGTTATGGTGACTTTATATACCATAACTACCACAAATAATGAAAATCATTATAGTTCTGGAGTTCAGAATGAGATTGAACCTGGAGAGTAGGTTATTAGCAAGTACCCACATTTAAAAATCCCCGTATCTTATAATTTACACAGATTTGAAAGAAATAATAAAAAAATTGTGATTAAGCATTTAGAAGCTTTTATAGTACTTGATAGAGCAATAGAATGTTTGTTGAATATAATAAATGTTTGTATCTTACATGTTTGCCTTATAATTTTTCTAATTAACTTTTATGGTATTTTAGAAAACATCCATCTGTGATAGATTGGGGAAATAATAGTACTTTACTGCACACAGTTTGAGAAGCGCTGCTCGAAAAGTTGGTTCCACCCTATTGTGTCCCACTTTCTAAACGTCAGGTTGCTCCGAAGTAGAGATTAGCATGAAGCTTTTAAAAATAATGGATAAAAAATAAGTTTAGACTTCCAGTTTTCAGTCGGCATGTAAGGAGCTTAGAAGTTGCCATTCCATCCTAGCTACAAGTAAAAAGCGGGACAAACTGAAAAATGAACCACTCTTTTTAGGTGCATCAGAGAAGTGACATCAGTGGACAAGTTCAAAACTTAAACACTCCACAGGGGGTCCAGTCATAGAGAAACCCTAAACTTTTGCGAGATTTCCTTTCAGGAGCTACACCTGGTATGCACAGTGGACACTGGAGAAAGATTCTCTGATGAGACACAGGAGCAGAAATAATATTCGAAGGCTGGCCATGGTGGCTCACATCTGTAATCCTACCACTTTGGGGGGCCAAGGCGGGCGGATCGGTTGAGGTCAGGAGTTCGAGACCAGCCTGGCCAACATGGTAAAATCCCTCCTCTACCAAAAATACAAAAATTAGCCAGAAATTGCTTGAATCCTGGAGGCAGAGGTTGGAGTGAGCCGAATTCATGCCACTGCACTTCAGCCTGGGCAGCAGAGCAAGACTCTGTCTCAAAAAAAAAAAAAAATTGAAGCAATAATGACTGACAGTTTCCCCACATTAATGTCAGACACCAAACAGGTCCAAGAAGCTCAAAGAACACCAAGCAAGATAAATGACAAAAACATACACCTAGGCATATTGTATTCAAACTTTAGAAAGTCAAAAATAAAAAAATCTTGAAAGAAGCCAGAGGAAGAAAATTATCTTACCTATTGAGAAGGACTTTGAAAATTAAGTTTATTAATTAAAACATAAGTTTAGAATTAACAATGAAAGCCCAGTGAGATAAGAAATTAACACACGTGAACAAAAACTTTCTATTCAAAACGTGGTCTCTACACCAGCAGCCTTGGCATGATCTGGGGATCTGATAGAAATGTGGACTCTCGGGCCTCACACCAGGCCTACTGAATCAGAATCTGCATTTTAACAGGATCCCAAGTGATCCATATGCCTACTAAATGTGTGGGATGCACCGAGTTAGAGGTGTAAAATGATGATCAAATATGAAATTGACACGTTTAGATTAGTGGACATATGGTGGCAGTTGCGAGAAGTCAAATACCAGCAGGATCAGACCAAAATGTGAGTCCATATGGATGTTTGTGCCTGGCAGAAGTTATGTTGTTTGTTGCACTGGTTTGGAGAAAAGTGAAGACCCTTTAGTCTTCAAATGCATAGAGCTGGCAGGCAGGGAGTCTCAGTGCCTACTACAAAGGTCTCGTTGAGAACCTTCCTGAGCCGTGAAACTTATGCTCTTTTCATTCTCTGTGCTCAGGGACCCTGAGGCTTTGGTCCTATTTTAGGTTTATTTAGTGATGAAAAATCTTACACAGCTTCACAGGTTTCTTAGTAACTCACCAAAGAGAAAGAAGATATTAGGACTTGTTATCATTCCCTATATTATAGAAGGAATGTGCAGAATGTCTTATAGATAGAAACAAAATATTCTGATAATAGTGGCTGAGTCTGAACAAAACCTTTCAGAGGGCATTGACAAATTTCTATTCCCACGGCAGTGGGAAAACAGTTTCAAGAGAACTTCTATGTTCCATTTTAATCAAATCTTCATTTTCTTTGGATAAACTTTCTGTCTCAGGGAGATCCTGACCTCTGTGTCTCTGAGAAGGTAATATTTGGGCAATTACATTTTCAAATATACATTATTAAATAATGATACATGTCAGTAGCATCATCTTTTAAAATAGAGCCTTCTTTGTAAGGGTTAGGAAGACCAGAGTGTCTTAGTCAGCAGAATGGTCAAGTCAGATTTACTCCAAAGGGCACGGATTATCTAAATCAAAAGGAGCACACACTGTGAGAGTTCTGGGAAGGCTGGCGGTGAGGGCACCAGCACTGGCCACCCCTTCTACTACCATCAGAATTGGCTGAAATGAACAAAGAAATGCAAAAATAGAAGAAAGTCAGAATCAGTGATGGAAACTAAGAAGGGGTGCCATTCATTGCCTCAAAAACAAGTCTGTTGGTTCTCCATTGGATGGAACCAGTGTGAAAGCAATCGAAAAGCCTAGCTCATAATTGCCTTCCATGGAAAATGGAAAAGTCACAAGGAGCTACAGTATTGGTAAAGTATAGAATTGTGGGTAGGGTATGGGAGAAAGGGAAGGGGAGAGAGAGAGAGAGAGGGGAAGGGAGTGGGAGAGAGAGAGAGAGAGAGAGAGAAACAGATGGCTCCATGTGAAATGGCTTTCAGATCCAGAGGTGGCTACACTTGGAGGCTCTGGGTAAAGCTGCAAAACTAAATAGAACTTCTAGCATTTCCCCTGACTTAGTTTTTTCCAGAATATTCCACAGCTCATTTTCTTGCTGTAGGGACCCTTCTTGGACACTACAATGCTTTCTTCCGATGGGATAGGCAGTCACCAGTCAAGCTGCAGAGTGTACCCAAGATGGAGGCTTGGCTGAAGAGATGGTAGATACACAAAACCTACTTGCTATATAATATTTTCAGTAAACACAGAGAAGAAGCTGTGTAGAGACAAAACTTATCTGCTGGGACTGTCCTTAGCATCAGTTCTCTTTCTGTCTTCTTCATACTGCTAGGTCATGGATCAGAAAACTTTAAGTAAGCCGACATCATCCAACCTCCAGACAAAGACAGAGAATTCTAACATAAACTAAAGGAATAGGATGGAGAAACAGAAGCTACTTATAATCCTTTGAGGGTAAATGCCAGGACAGGCTAGACATAGCCTCATTCAAAGATGAAAAGTAAATGCTTATATCAAAAAATTAATAATACATAAGTAGTTTAACAATTCTAGACGTTATTTTTTTTTCCTTTTTGAGACAAAGTCTGACTCTGTTGCTTAGGCTGGAGTACAGTGGCATGATGATGGTTTGGTGCAGTCTCAAACTCCTAGGCTCAGGTGATCCTCCCCCTCAGCCTCCCATGTAGCTGGGACTACCATCATGTCCTGCTAATTTTTTTATTTTTATTTTTTGTAGAGACAGGGTTTCACCATGTTGCCCAGGCTGGTCTCCTAGGCTCAAGTGATCCTCCTGCCTCAGCCTCCCAAAGTATTGGGATTACAGGTGTGAGCCACCATGCCAAGCCTAGATGTTGATTTTTAAAAGGTGTCAATGGGTGTGTGGACAAAAGGCAGAGTTTGGAAAACTGGTAAGAAATGAGGAAATCAAGTAAGGTGATGAAAATTGTGATCGGGATAAAAGAAAATAAATAGGTGAGCTACTGATTACAAAAATGTTGACCAAGCTTTTCTTCTGTGAATCAGTAACTGGAAATAGACATACAGTGAAAAAGGGGGCGGGTGCTTTGGCTCATGCCTGTAATCCCAGCACTTTGGGAGGCCGAGGCAGGCAGATCACTTGAAGTCAGGAGTTCAAGACCAGCCTGGACAACATGGTGAAACCCCGCCTCTACTAAAAATACAGCGGTGGCACGTGCCTGTAACCCCAGCTACTCAAGAGTCTGAGGCAGGAGAATTGCTTGAACCTCGGAGGTAGGGGTTGGAGTGAGCTGAGATTGTGCCACTGAACATCAGCCTGGGCGACAGAGCAAGGCTCCATCTTAACAAAAACAAAAAGACATACAGCGAAAAAGATAACAGCATCAACAATAGAATAAAAACAGAAGTTCTTGGAGTATGACTTCCTCCAGTGGAATTGTCTTTTTGGAATTGGTGGATTTCTTCAGGGTGGAGAGATGGTTGAGGACAATGTGATCACTCTTAGCTTGTGCTGGTAGATGAGTGCCCCTGACAACCTCTTAGCAGCTTTACTGTGAGGCTTGGCTATGAGTCAGGAGGTGTATATCCTTAAGACCAATAAAATTCCACAGGATTGGGGGTCGGAGCTGGAGAATGGGGAGGGAGGGTGTGTGAAGGTGGGCCTGGGCTGCATGAGTTTCTCAGGTGAGAACACTAAAATGGAGATTTATCAACCCAAAGCAAAAACAGACACAGACAAAAAAGCCAACAAACAAAACCCCGAACTTGCAGAATAATGTGTTATTAAATTATAAAAGACTAAAAACAATGAAGCAAAAGCAACTGTAACTTTTGGAATACGAACCTTCTTAAGAAGCAGTAGAATTAAGCAATTGCTTTACCTGGTTGTACCCAATTATGAATATCTTTTTTAAAAGAATGACCCATTCATTATACTTAAATGAGAAAAAGGCAAAGTAAAGGCCTTAGAAAGAAATCACAGGCAACATGGCTGGGCGCAGTGGCTCACACCTGTAATCCTAGCACTTTGGGAGGCTGAGGTGGGCAGATTGCCTTAGCTCAGGAGATCGAGACCAGCCTAGCCAACATGGCAAAACCCAGTCTCTACTAAAAATACAAAATATTACCTGGCATGGTGGTGCATGCCTGTAATCCCAGCTACTTGGGAGGCTGAGGCAGGAGAATCACTTGAACCTGGGAGGCAGAGTCTTGCAGCTAGTCAGGATTGTGCCACTGAACTCCAGCCTGGGCAACAGAGTGAGACTCTGACTGGAGAAAAAAAAAAAAAAAAAAAAAAAAAAGCAACAAAAATCACAGGCAATAAAAGCAACAATAAAGTGGGAATACATCAACCTAAAAAGCCCCTGCAAAGCAAACAATCAATAAAACAAAAAGGCAACTGGCAGGTTGGGAGAAAATATTTGCAAACCACATGTCTGATAAGGGGTTTTTACTATCCAAATAATATTCAAAATAAAAAAATCATACAACTGTATAGCAAAAAACCCAAATGACCCAAACGAAAAATGGGCAAAAAACCTTAGTAGATATTTCTCTGAAGAAGACATACAAATGGCCAATAGGGATATGAAAAGGTGTTCAACATAGTCAGGGAAATGCAAATCACAACACAATGAAGTATCACTTTATGTATCAGGGTTGTTATTAGTAAAGAAATAAGTATTGGCAAGGAGGTGGAGAAAATGGGAACCCTTGTACACAGGTAGTAGGAATGTAATTTGGCATAGCCCTTTGGAAAATAGCATGAAAGTTTCTCAAAAAACTAAAAATAGGATTACCATATGATACAGCAATTCCATTACTGGGTATCTGTCCAAATAAATTGAAACTGGGATCCCAAAGAGATATCTGCACTATACAAAATAGCCAGCAAACAACCTAAATGTCCATTGATGGATGAATGGATAAAAAAAAAAACCGTAGTCCATACATGCAATGAAATACTGTTCAGCATTAAAAAGAAGGAAATCCTGCCATTTGTGACATCATAGATAGACCTGGAGGGTCATGTTGAGTGAAATAAGCAGACACGAAAAGACACATACTATATGATCTCACTTATGTGTGGACTCTAAACTAGTCCCTCTCACAGAAGCAGAGAGTAGAGTAGTGGTTGCCAGGGGCTGCAGGAAGTGGGAAATGGGGAGGTGATGATTGAAGGGTACAAAGTGTCAGTTTTGCAGGATATATAAGCTCTGGAAATCTACTTTTAACATGGAGCCTATAGCTAACAATACCTTATTATATTCTTAAAATTTCCCAAGAGAGTAGATATAATGTTAACTGTTCTTACCAAACACACACACACGCACACATATACACACACACTAATAAAAAAGGGGGCAGGAGGAAATTTTAGGAGGCGATGGATATATTTATGGCTTTGATGGTGGTAATGGTCTCATGGGTGTATGCTTATCCCCAAGCATATAAAAATGTAGACATTATGCACAGTTTAAAAAAAATGTTAAACTACAGGAAACTGATTAAGAAATGATGGCACAATTATATAATAGCATGGTCACTTATGTCATGGTTGGAAGATATTTAATAAGGAAAGTTATGTTATATTTTAAGTGGAGAAACAGGTAACAAAACAATATGCAGAGAGAATCTCCCTTCACTCACACATAGCTATCCATTGACCTATTTAATCTTTCTCTGCTTGGACTATTAGGAGAGAAGATATTACAGCGTAATGAGAGTGTGGTCCGTGGAGATGGATCTCCTTGCGTTTATATCCAAAGTCTACTTTTGGGAAATTTGTGAACCTCTTTTTGCTTCTGGGTCTTCTTTTAACATGAAAATACTAACAATATCTAGCACATGTGGCTGTTGTGGAGTACAAATGATTTAATCTGTGTAAGACCCTTAGCAGAGTACCTAGATAAAAAAAAATTAAATGTTCACTTTTAATTATATGTTACATACAAATGTATAGAACAATTAAATATTTGTAATGATTATATCTTGATGACATTACATGTGTTAATTTTTTTTATACTTTTTGATGTTTCTAAACTTTCTACAACAAATATGCACTTTATGCTAAGAAAATATATGAAATAGATATGTGGAATAAAAAAGATAACTTGAAGATTCTTAGATTGTGTCAAAAATAAAACCAAAATATATTATTTATAAAACATAGCCAAATTTATTGGCTCAGAGGGATTGAAAGTAAAAAGTTGTAGAAAGACATATAAACCCAATACAATAAAAAATGCAGTGGTTGCCGTATTAATATCATAATATTTAAAGAAAGGTCATTAAGAATTTTTAAAAATTCAATCCACAGATATGTCAAAATAGTCTGCATTTCAGGTGATATATAATCAGAATACATACAAAACAAATCCTTTATATGTAGAAATATGCAAAGACATCAAATGGCAGACAAGTTGGAGACAAGTAACAGCCTCTAATAGCATGATTATGCAAAATATAATGATGAAAAGGTTTTGGTTTTGGGTTTTGAAATCCAGGCATAGAATTTTGACTCAGCTAACAAATTTTCTACATTCAGGTGGGTAGTTGACTTCTTTAATGCTCAGTTGCTCTGCCTGTCAAATTAGATTAATGCATGTCCTTATGTTGCAAAACTGTTATAAGGACACGTGAGAGAACTCTGGGTTCATGGACTGTAGTAAGTTGAAGCGACTTGGAGTACTTGAGGCTTGAAGGATACTTAGAATTATTCTATGAGCATAAGGAGGAAGGAAAATTTTCCCTTAATGTAAGAAAAGATAGTGTATTAAACACACAGAGGAACGGAAAAGCAGGGTAATATTTTTGCCGTTGTTTTTTCTTTATTATTATGCTTTATGGGAAAAGGTAAGGCTATTAGAATGTTGGTATAGTTGTAAATGTAATGAATACAGTGTGGAAGACAATGCTGGGGAGATTGATTGAGCTCACAATGGGAGTATCTTTAGTAGTTAAGAGCCCTAGACTCTAAAATCATCTCCGAGTTTCAGATTTGTCTTTACCACCTAATACCTATCTGTGTTTGAACACATTACACCCACACACCTCAGTTTTCTCACATGTAAAATGAGGTTATTAATGATTGCTAAAATGTGGTTACTAGGCCAGGCATGGTGGCTCATGCCTGAAATCCCAATGCTTTGGGAGGATGAGGCTGAGGCAGGCGGATTACGAGGTCAAGAGATCAAGGCGGGAGAATCACTTGAACCTGGGAGGCAGGGGTTACAGTGAGCTGAGATCATGCCACTGCACTCCAGCCTGGCGACAGAGTGAGACTCTTGCCTCAAAAAAAATAAAAATAAATAAAAATAAATTTAAAAAGCCGGGCACAGTGGCTCACACCTGTAATCCTTTGGGAGGTTGAGGCAGGCGGATCACGAGGTCAGGAGATCGAGGCCATCTTGGCTAACAGGGCAAAACCCCATCTCTACTAAAACTACAAAAAATTAGCTGGTTGTGGTGGCGGGCGCCTATAGTCCCAGCTGCTCAGGAGGCTGAGGCAGGAGAATTGTTTGAATCCGGGAGGCGGAGATTGCAGTGAGCCGAGATCGCGTCATTGCTCTCCAGCCTGGGCGACAGGGCGAGACTCTGTCTCAAAAAAAAAAAAAAAAAAAAAAAATTTGGTTACTAACAAACACCACATCATAGTTTGTTTGTTTGTTTGTTTGTTTTTAACTTTTTTTGTGGTAAAATGCAAATCACAAAATTTACCATCTTAAGTTTTTTAAGTATACCTTCAGTGGTATTAAATACATTGACAATGTTGTGCAACCATCACCACTATTCATCTTTATAACTTTTTTTATCTTGTAAAACTAAAAGTCTATGACCTTTAAATGATAATTCCTATCCCTCTTCTCCCCCACCCACACAGGGCCTGGCAACCATCATTCTACTTTCTTGTCTCTATGATTTTGAACTATTCTAAGTACCTCATATGAGGGGAATCATACAAGTATTTGTCTTTTGTGACTGGCTTCTTTCACTTAACATAATGTTCTCAAAGTTTATTCATATTGTAGTATGTGTCAGGATTTATTTGCTTTTTAAAGTTGAATTACATTCCATTGTATGGATATACTGCCTTATGCCTATCCATTTGTGCATTGGTGGATACCTGGGTTGCTTCCATGTTTTAGCTACTGTGAATAATGCTGCTATGAATTTAGATATACAAATGTACCTTCAAGACCCTGCTTTCAGTTCTTTTGGGTGTACAGCCCAGTAGTGGGATTGCTGGATCATACAATAATTCTATTTTTCATTGTTTTTGAAGAAATGCCATACTGTTTTCCATAGGGGCTACACCAGTTTGACCAGTTTGCATTCCCATCAATAGTGCACAAGGGTTCCAATTTCTTCATATCTTCCCTAACACCTTTTCTTTTGCTTTTAAAATTGTAGTCCCCATCCTAATGAGTGTGAGATAGTATCACATTGTGGTTTCAGTACATATCTCCCTACTGATTAGTGATATTGAGCATCTTCTTATGTGCTCACTGGCCATTTCTATATCTTCTCATCATAAGTTCCTTAAAATGTTTAAGGAGGTGGTATATTTAAAGCTTAGGATAATCATTGGCATGCATTGTTTAGCTATTGTTACTTATCCCAACAAATAACTCTTCCCTTACCTTGTATTTTAAAGGAGTCATTAAAGGATTTTAAGCAAGGCCAGATCAACTTTGTGTTTCATAAAAATAACTCTGAAAAAAAAAACTCTGACTTCCCTGTGGTGAATGAATCACAGGGATATGAACCTGGAGGGCCACTTACAAGTCAGTTTCCTTTGTGTTTCTTCATGTTGGATAATGAGAATTGGATCAATCTGACATTTTGCTTTATTCATTTTTCATCCCACATATGCTGCTGCAGAGAGTGGCATGAGGGTCTAATGACTCAGGAGATGTTTGAAAGGTAGACGAATCCATCGCTGATGTGTTGCTCTGTTGATAGTCCAGTTTTCCTTATTACATTCTCTAGGGAGGCCCTCTGACTAATGTAAGCCATCAGCACTATTTCTGGAAGCATGGTAAACATTTTAATCTTTGTGGCCTGATCTCAATGGAAGACAGATAAACCAAATCACGCCTGGCTATAGATACATATATATCTATGGCGGGTGCCTGTAATGCCAGCTACTCAGGAGGCTGAGGCAGGAGAATCACCTGAACCTGGGAGATGGAGGTTGCAGTGAGCTGAGGTCACACAAGTGCACTCCAGCCTGGGTGACAGAGTGAGATTCTGTCTCAAAAAAAAAAAAAAAATAGAAAAGAAAAGAGAAGACACTTAGAGAGAGGTGCAAAAACCCACAAAAGGATGGAGTCAGAAAAGTCAAGGAAAAAGACTGTTGAAAAGAAGGAGTGTCAAGGATAGGTCAACTAAGACGAGGTCTGAGAAGCAACAGGGAGGTCATCAGTGACTCCCACACAGTTACGATGAAATGAATGAAACATCTTATGTGGGATTTCAGAAACTTGCTAATACCTTGTTTTATAGAAGGTGAGGAAGCACTGCCTGGCACTCAAAACCAACTATCAAATAAAGGACCACCTCAGCCACGATGCAAGAAGAATTGCTCCCGTTCCTACCAGCCTAGATACTTCACAAATAGCAGTGTTTCTACTAACTCACCTTTTCTAAGGAAACATTTTTACTTTTGTCCACCTCAGCAGTGACCTTATAGTCTCCATCGTTCTCAGTGACTCTGCATCTAATCCCCCTTCTGAACCATTTGTCATTGCAATATAAAAGATTCGAATCCCCAAGATAACATTTCTGAGGGAAAATCATTCCTGTGTTACTTGGGAGTATCCATTCAGGAAGCTTGGCTTAAGTGTTTTTCATTTTCTTCTTTGTTATTGATTATTTTGCAGGCAGAAGGGAGATTTGGTTTATCTGTCTTCCATTGAGATCAGGCCACAAAGATTAAAATGTTTACCATGCTTCCAGAAATAGTGCTGATGGCTTACATTAGTCAGAGGGCCTCCCTAGAGAATGTAATAAGGAAAACTGGACTATCAACAGAGCAACACATCAGCGATGGATTCGTCTACCTTTCAAACATCTCCTGAGTCATTAGACCCTCATGCCACTCTCTGCAGCAGCATATGTGGGATGAAAAATGAATAAAGCAAAATGTCAGATTGATCCAATTCTCATTATCCAACATGAAGAAACACAAAGGAAACTGACTTGTAAGTGGCCCTCCAGGTTCATATCCCTGTGATTCATTCACCACAGGGAAGTCAGAGTTTTTTTTTTTCAGAGTTATTTTTATGAAACACAAAGTTGATCTGGCCTTGCTTAAAATCCTTTAATGACTCCTTTAAAATACAGGGTATTTTATATATAAATGGTATAAATACATATACCCTTTATATATACAGGGTATATATATGTGTGTGTATATATATGTATAAATATATCTATCTATCTATCTATCTATCTATCTATCTATCTATCTATATTTTTGGTGGAGGCTGGGTTTCACCATGTTGGCCAAGATGGTCTTGAACTACCAACCTCAAATGATCCCTCCACCTCAGCCTCCCAAAGTGCTGGGATTACAGGCATCAACCACTGCCTAAGTATTCTTACAGGTATCGCTCCTCAGCTGTCTGTTAGTTGCCTCTGTTTTTCAGGGTTTCTACCTAGTCTGCTTTTCTTCTTACCCTACCGAAGCTCACCACACACTTTCCCTGATCCATCTCATGCCGTCCTTGTTGCCATCGTCATCTTCAACTATGGTTCTCAAATTTTTATCTCTTGCCCTAATTTCCCTCTTGAGCTCCAGACTCTTACGTTCCAAACATCCCTGCCTGACTGCTTGTCAGACATCTGAAACTCATGTCCAAACCACAAACTTTTCCCAAAAAATTGATCCTACTGCTCATTCAGCTCCCAAGCCATAGCCCTTGTATTTATCTTGTACACCTTTTGCTCTTGCCTCTCTCTGTATTTAATGAATTAAAAAATCCAGTTGTTTCTATCTCCTAAGTTGTTCATAAACCATTGGGTTCTTTCTATTTCCATTTGACAACTTTAGCTGTCACCTGGATCATGTCAACAGCACCTCATTTGGTCTCTGGTTCCAGTCTTGGTTTCTTCTAGCACAGATAACAGAGTGACTTTTTAAAAATGCCCATCTAGTTATCACCAAACACTGCTTTCTTTTCTTTTTTTTTTTTTTTGAGATGGAGTCTCCCTTTGTCACCCAGGCTGGAGTGCAGTGGTGCAGTCTCAGCTCACTGCAACCTCTGCTTCCTGGGTTCAAGCAATTCCCTGCCTCAGCCTCCTAAGTAGCTGGGATTACAGGTGCCTGCCACCACGCCTGGCTAATTTTTCTGTATTTTTAGTAGAGATGGGGTTTCGCCATGTTGGCCAGGCTGGTCTTGAACTCCTGACCTTGTGATCCACCCGCCTTGGCCTCCCAAAGTGCTGGGATTACAGGCGTGAGCCACCAGGCCCAGCCAAAACACTACTTTCTTTTTTTTTTAAATTAATTAATTAATTTATTTTTTATTATTATTATACTTTAAGTTTTAGGGTACATGTGCACAATGTGCTGGTTACATATGTATACATGTGCCATGCTAGTGTGCTGCACCCATTAACTCATCATTTAGCATTAGGTATATCTCCTAATGCTATCCCTCCCCCCTCCCCCCACCCCACAACAGTCCCCAGAGTGTGATGTTCCCCTTCCTGTGTCCATGTGTTCTCTTTGTTCAATTCCCATCTATGAGTGAGAACATGTGGTGTTTGGTTTTTTGTCCTTGAGATAGTTTACTGAGAATGATGATTTCCAATTTCATCCATGTTCTTACAAAGGACATGAACTCATCATTTTTTATGGCTGCATAGTATTCCATGGTGTATATGTGCCACATTTTCTTAATCCAGTCTATCATTGTTGGACATTTGGGTTGGTTCCAAGTCTTTGCTATTGTGAATAGTGCTGCAATAAACATACGTGTGCATGTGTCTTTATAGCAGCATGATTTAAAGTCCTTTGGGTATATACCCAGTAATGGGATGGCTGGGTCAAATGGTATTTCTAGTTCTAGATCCCTGAGGAATCGCCACACTGACTTCCACAAGGGTTGAACTAGTTTACAGTCCCACCAACAATGTAAAAGTGTTCCTATTTCTCCACATCCTCTCCAGCACCTGTTGTTTCCTGACTTTTTAATGATTGCCATTCTAACTGGTGTGAGATGATATCTCATTATGGTTTTGATTTGCATTTCTCTGATGGCCAGTGATGATGAGCATTTTTTCATGTGTCTTTTGGCTCCATAAATGTCTTCTTTTGAGAAGTGTCTGTTCATATCCTTTGCCCACTTTTTGATGGGGTTGTTTGTTTTTTTCTTGTAAATTTGTTTGAGTTCATTGTAGATTCTGGATATTAGCCCTTTGTCAGATGAGTAGGTTGCGAAAATTTTATCCAATTTTGTGGGTTGCCTGTTCACTCTGATGGTAGTTTCTTTTGCTGTGCAGAAGCTCTTTAGTTTAATTAGATCCCATTTGTCAATTTTGGCTTTTGTTGCTATTGCTTTTGGTGTTTTAGACATGAAGTCCTTGCCCATGCCTATGTCCTGAATGGTAATGCCTAGGTTTTCTTCTAGGGTTTTTATGGTTTTAGGTCTAACATTGAAGTCTTTAATCCATCTTGAATTAATTTTTGTATAAGGTGCAAGGAAGGGATCCAGTTTCAGCTTTCTACATATGGCTAGCCAGTTTTCCCAGCATCATTTATTAAATGGGGAATCCTTTCCCCATTGCTTGTTTTTCTCAGGTTTGTCAAAGATCAGATAGTTGTAGATATGCGGCATTGTTTCTGAGGGCTCTGTTCTGTTCCATTGATCTATACCTCTGTTTTGGTACCAGTACCATGCTGTTTTGGTTACTGTAGCCTTGTAGTGTAGTTTGAAGTCAGGTAGCATGATGCCTCCAGCTGTGTTCTTTTGGCTTAGGATTGACTTGGCAATGCGGGCTCTTTTTTGTTTCCATACGAACTTTAAAGTAGTTTTTTCCAATTCTGTGAAGAAAGTCATTGGTAGCTTGATGGGGATGGCATTGAATCTATAAATTACCTTGGGCAGTATGGCCATTTTCAAGATATTGATTCCTCCTACCCATGAGCATGGAATGTTCTTCCATTTCTTTGTATCCTCTTTTATTTCATTGAGCAGTGGTTTGTAGTTCTCCTTGAAGAGGTTCTTCACGTCCCTTGTAAGTTGGATTCCTAAGTATTTTATTCTCTTTGAAGCATTTGTGAATGGGAGTTCACTCATGATTTGGCTCTCTGTCTGTTATTGGTGTATAAGAATGCTTGTGATTTTTGTACATTGATTTTGTATCCTGAGACTTTGCTGAAGTTGCTTATCAGCTTAAGGAGATTTTGGGCTGAGACAGTGGGGTTTTCTAGATATACAATCATGTCATCTGCAAACAGGGACAATTTGACTTCCTCTTTTCCTAATTGAATACCCTTTATTTCCTTCTCCTGCCTGATTGCCCTGGCCAGAACTTCCAACACTATGTTGAATAGGAGTGGTGACAGAGGGCATCCCTGTCTTGTGCCCGTTTTCAAAGGGAATGCTTCCAGTTTTTGCCCATTCAGTATGATATTAGCTGTGGGTTTGTCATAGATAGCTCTTATTATTTTGAGATACGTCCCATCAATACCTAATTTATTGAGGGTTTTTAGCATGAAGGGCTGTTGAATTTTGTCAAAGGCCTTTTCTGCATCTATTGAGATAATCATGTGGTTTTTGTCTTTGGTTCTGTTTATATGCTGGATTACATTTATTGATTCGCGTATATTGAACCAGCCTTGCATCCCAGGGATGAAGCCCACTTGATCATGGCGGATAAGCTTTTTGATGTGCTGCTGGATTTGGTTTGCCAGTATTTTATTGAGGATTTTTGCATCAATGTTCATCAAGGATATTCATCTAAAACACTACTTTCAAGGCTTTCATTGTTCCCAGGTACCCTCAAGAAAAATCGAAACACCTTAATGTGGCACATAACAGTCTTATCTCCTGCTATCACTTCTTACCCAACTCTACACATTAGTCTTATTATACTAGTTTTAATTACTTGAATGATCTGTGAATTTTTTCCTGTCTCACTCTCATTAGTCTCTTCTGTTTACATCTCTCTTCGTTTCCATGCCTGTCATTTGATGGGACAAATCTCCTTCATCTTTCTGGTTTTAGCTCAGGCATCACCACCTGATGATTTTGAAGCATTTACTGATCCTGCCCTCCAAGGATGGGCTACAGGCCGTGGTTAGTATGTACTCTCATGGAGTTTTCTACTGCTCTCTGTGGAAGCACTTTTAACGCTGTGTTGTAACTGTCTTTTTTTTTTTTTTTTTTTTGTGAGACAGAGTCTTGCTCTGTATCCTAGCCTGGAGTGCAGTGGCTCGATCTTAGCTCACTGCAAGCTCTGCTTCCCAGGTTCACACCATTCTCCTGCCTCAGCCTCCGAAGCAGCTGGGACTACAGGAACCCACCATCGTGCCCGGCTCATTTTTTGTATTTTTAGTAGAGACAGGGTTTCACCGTGCTAGACAGGATGGTAACTGTCTACATTTTAAAATTTATTCCCAAAACTATAAACCTGAAGACAGATGCCATTGCCACTATGTGTGCACCACCTAGAACAATTCTAGGCTCATAGTAGGTGTTCAAAAAATATTTCTGTAAGAAAGACGAAGGAAAAAGCGAATTTGTGACATTAAAATGTTATTAAGTCCTGAGTAATTGAATTTTCAGAGAATATGGCATTAAGTACAATCCATATGAGTTTCCAACTGTGCTTAATTTCTTTCATGCTATGTTTAGCACAGAATTAAACACATTAATTAAATCAGGTTGTTCTAAAAGGTACAAATAGATTTGCATCTATTTTACAATCTTAAAGGAGAAAAGCTTCTTAAACTTCAATATATATAAACCAAACACATGATTTTTCTCCCCAAATCTTCTTACCTCAGTGTCCTTTCTATGTAGGACACAAGTCACACAGTCTGCCTTCGTTTTCCTCTGTATGTAAGCTATCTTTAACTTTTGTTGATTTTACCTACTGAATATCTACTTAATCCTTCCTCAGCCACAGGAATTTTGCATATACTCTTCCCTCACTTGGAAGGTGTTCCTTTCTAACTTCTGCTTAACACACACTTATCCTTCCATTCTCAGCTCAAAATTTTAACTTCCCTAGGAAGTTTCATTTAATCTCCTATTTTGGTCATGTTCCTCTACTATTTGACCTGATTTTTTTTTCTTTATTTCTGTGAATTTCATAAGTATATATACCATATATCATTAGCATATATATTATATATACCACATATATTAGCATGGCTATTCATTGAATATCTATTCCACTATGCTGTAAGATCTATAAGAGTAAAAACTATTTCTACTTTTTTTCAACAACAGATTACTGGTGTCTAGAATATTGTCTGCCGCATAGTAGAACCTCAATATAAATGTGTTGAATAATGAATAATAACTATAACCTTCAAGATCAATAATAGTATAATAATGCAGCTAATATGGATGTGCAAGTTCACTGCTATATCATTGAATTCATCTAATTGCCCCAGAATGATGAGTTAGTGAATGCCTCCTCTGGAAAGTGACCCATGATCAAAGCACCTCAGTGTGATCATATATGAATAAGATATTTTTCCCCAACTACTGAACTCCATTGGGCTATGTGGAACCTACTTTCTCACTGTGTAGTAGGTCCCTTAATAACATCTAGGCAGATTCTAAAACTTATCAGGCTTGTTCCGTTATTAGATCAGTTTCAAGCCAATGTTTATGACTCAGTTCTGTTCACATGAAAATGCAATCACAAACTTGATTCAAAGCTCCATATTTCCTATTTCTGCCCATCTCACTTCAGGCAGGATAAATCTGTCTCTAACTCCATTGTCCTTTCAGAACTGTGGATAATCAGATAAGTGATTAGCCACTCCCTCTCATCTCCCACATGGTTAGTGGGTATCTATACCTCAGGTAGCCTAGACCCCTGTATAACATGAACTTGGGCCTACCAATAAAATGAACTTGGGCCTACCAAGAACACTGACTGCAGCTCTCTGTGACGGCTGGGTTGATATCCCTTCACCAGTATTATTTAGGGTCACTTTTGAGTGGGGCTGCAATGCTGTAGCAGTCTATTTCCTGCTGGCATCAACACAGTTCATGAACCAATTTGTGAACTAGGCCCAAGTTATTTTCCCTATCATCATTTGGTCATAGGAAAACCTAAGGAGGACAGAAGTTTGAGTTAAGATGTAGTCATTTCTACAACGTTGGTAGGTGACCTGACCGAGAGTCTAGGCCAATTTTTCATGTAATTTGTTTTTGTGTTGCGGGTCTGCTTAGACCCAATTCAGAAATACACTTTATCCTATATAATCATTGCTGCTATATGTTCTTTAACTTGTGACTTGATAGATCTAATAATGCCCATAATGGACAGCTTCTGTAGGTCAATTATTTTTAATCTCATGGTCAGAGGCACAGACTCTCCTAGGGATCAGTAGCATACTAAGAGTTGATTTTCAAATGAAGAGTAGTCTCTACTGCAGATGGCATGGCTTTGCTCCAGAATACTATGGATCTGTGCTACAATAGCCAATTGGAACTTGCTAGAGACTCAGTAGAATGTTCTTAATCATCATCAGATTTTTCTAGCAGCAGCTCATGTTCTATTGCTTGATTTGCAAGACATTCTGCAGAGCCTTCCTTTGCTGGGCCCCACTCAAAGTGGGTAAACTTCCTTGCCACCCAATAAATGGATTAGAAAAATATTTTGATAGTGGTGTATGGTACCCCCCCAAATTTAAAGAGGTATTACTGAAACTCTAAAAACTTCATTAATGTGTGATGTCCCTGAATATTTATGGAGTTCATGTAAATCCTGCATCTCTTGTGGAGCATATGTGGGATTCTTCATAGAGTTCAGTTGAATCTCTTTATTGCCCAATTATGTAATGTGAGAAATTCAGCTTTGGCTCCACCTCCTCTTCTGCGCAAGCCTCTTCCCTGGTCTACCACCAGAAACAAACATTTTCTGGAGGAGTTTCCTCATTCACTAAAATACCATTAAGAACGTTCAAGCCCAGCTACTTTTCTGGGTGTGCATGTAGTCCCCCAAAAACCTCAAAAGTCCTTCGCACGTGAAAGAGTAGCCTTGCGGCTTCCTTCATTGCAGTCCACCCTCTCATCTACACCATCTCTCCCCAGTTCTCTTTTCATCCGTGTAAGCAGCACAGGGACATATTGAAAGGGTTACTGTATAACTCAATATCTAAAGAAAAATTCTACTTGCCATTCTTTAGGCACGCCTACTATTCTCAATTCTCTAGGATGCTTCCTTCCTTGGCTTTCTAGGGAGAGAAAAGGGAATAATCTCTCCTCATGATCAACGTTCTCCCCAAAAGACCGGCAATCTATCCCCTTTCCCTAAGTCCTCTTCATATATTGGTTAGTGATGGGTAGCCCTTTCTGTACTGATGCATCTTAGTAAATTTTGCTGGGAAGTGGTAGGTCCAGCTGCTGATACATCTTGACCTTGAAATGCAGGATCCTTAGCATACTTTCCCCCTCAGGTCTGTAACTTAGCGATAGTTTCAGGACAGCAGGAATCATTCTTCTCAACATCTCGTATGCTCAATATAATTGTCCTTTGATTATTCAGGACAAGTCTTCAAGATTGAACTTCATATTAATAAAGTCATGGTATGGCTAGAGATGTGAATTGGAAAAGTAAAACAAATATATATTATATTTGTACCCCAAGCAAGTAAAGTTAATTATATGAGTTGTAAGTGACTTTCTAAAAGATAATGAGATAAAGGATGACTGAATTCAAAGATGAACAGAAATAGATAATTTGGCTTCTAAGACATGGCTTGCTGTGTTTAATTCGTACAGGATCTTAAAGAGGTTGCACTGGGGTTTATTTTTCTGTGGTCAGTGCTGCATCGTTCTTTATGATCTTCCCCCTCTTGGGAGCACTTTATTTGGCCAAAGTCTCCCCAGTTTCTTAATTTTTATCTCAAAGTGTCCTGGAGATGTCATTGCCTATCACAATGAAATACACTGAGGCACTTTATCAGGAAGTCAAACTATTGTAGAGTCAGTGCTGAGCACTAAAATTTGGGATTATAATTCCTCATGGTTCCTAACCACTTCAAAGACCTGATGTTTTTTGAACAAACACTTGATCTTCCCTAAGGCAGAGCGATGCTAAGCACTCCTATACTGTTAGCAGATGCGGGCTCACATGTAGACTTTCACAACAGAGCTCTTCTGACACTCTTGCTGTGGCTCTGAGAGTCTCTTTCCTGTATCTCAGATAACTGTGGGGCACAGCCCTATCACAGCCCCTTTGTCCATAATCTGGGACAATGAAAAATTATGATGTACTTACTTGATTTCCTTTCTTTCCAGCAAAAGGGATGGTAGGGTACCAAACAAAGACTAAATGTCCAATAGCATTAGGCCAATTTCAGGAGATCTCTAACTTTAGTCTGGGTTTAGAGAAGTGTTCAGTTTTTTGCAGCCTCCACCTTGTCCTAGGGAAGCTATTTTATTCCATTTTTCCTAATGATATTATCCCTTGTAATTCCTAATTCTGCTGATTGTTTGACTCAGTCCTGGAACAGCTGATAGATATTCTAAGTAGGATTCCATATTCTGGGCTGTAGATTAACAACATAAGCTGGTTAAAGCTCCAGACACACTGGATTGTTGAGCTAATGTTGGAAAGAGATTGGGACATTCCTTGAGCAAAGAAAAAAAAAACCCCACAAAACTTTAAATTCTAACAATAGCAAGTCTACATTGATTTTGTACTGAATGCCAGGAACTAAACATTTTACATGCATTATATTGATTAGTCTTCAGAGTCATCCCTATGAAGTAGGCTCTATTATCTCAATTTTATTGATGGGAATGTTGAGATTAAGTGATATTCTTGCACAAGGTCACACAGTGAGTAGATGTCAGAAATAGGACAGGATTTATGTCGGTCTGATGCTGAAGTTTATGCTTTCAACCACTGTACTGTATGTCCTCCTAGAATGCTGAAAAAGCTGTCTTTGGCTTGGCCTCTTTTATGGGGCCACTTTTATCTATCAGTACCTCCAACAGGTCTGAGTGTGAAATAGTTCTTGCAGAACTTAGTCACACTAGGAGGTTATCCATTCAGGATATTGAAGAAGCTTCTGGCTAAGGGAAGATATTTAGCTCTCTGGGACTCTGTAGAGCCACCTGGCTTTGAATTAATGCTCCAGAGGGATTCAGACTCCCCTAACGTTGCAATCCCTTCATCTAACATAAAAAGAGTGGGGTCTGCATTGGGAGGGATTTCCGTCTATCAACTTTGTAGTAGATTATCTTATTCATTCTGATTTCCAAGGGAAGACAGTCTTGAATTTTGCACACATGAACAGGGTTTTAGCTTAATCACCCGAGCTTCTGTGATCCTGAGACTTGGACCAGGAAAAACTTGTACTTTATGTGGAGTCAGGATCTCTGTTTCCTGTTCTATCTTTCTTGCTTCAACACTCTCTACAAATAACAAGGTGACCTCTTCCTACCTTTCTATGGAAGTAGAGCTCCAACATTTGTTTTCATATGTGGGCCTAGCTACTACATAAGTTATTTGGTATAATTATTTTATTTCTTATAGTACCTTTATTTTTTCTGTGTCAAATATAAATTGAACTGTCACAAATCAAACTCACACAAAACTGAAACTCCATTTTCCTTTCTTTTTAATTTCCTTTATGGGTTCCCATTTCTACTCAGAAGAAGAAAATTTTATCTTGTCATTACTTACTTTCAATTTAAAAGTCTCTTTTGGGTAATATTGCTATTTAAGTGTTATCATCTCGATATTATTTCCAGCTCTTTTTATGAGTGTTCTTTTTTTTCCTTATAGTTCATTCTCACCCTTCATTTAATTTAATGGCAGCATAAAGGGTATCTTCGTATTGTTTTGTGAAGCACTTTCATTATATATTCCAAAAATCCTTATATTTTACTGCCTCAGAGAGGTAAATATGACCCGATTAGACAACTCTCTAATACAAATTTCATAACAAGTCTTCTGGCTGACTATTCTATGACATCAGCAAAGCTTTGCCTGATACCCAGCATATAATATATAACCTATGAAAAATTACCTCTGCCAAAGCACTGTCTCTTTTCTTCCTCCCTTCTCTCTGCCCTCCCCTCTCTCTGCCCTCCCCTTTCTCCCTCCCCTTTCCCCCCTAAATAGGCATTTTTCCATATATTAGCTTGAAAATGAAGACCTGGGGGAATTTTCTTGTAAGCAATCTATAAATAAGGGTAAACTTTTCATCCTAGCCACTTTGGTATTACTCATAGAAGCCTGCAATGCTCAACAAACTACCCAACAGCCTATTTTTTTATGGGGTGAAATCTTAGAGTGTTCCAGTTTCAGAGAGAACATTGAAGCTGGGGTCACAGTTCTTGTGAAGATTCTGCCTCTGTCTATACAGCCTTAGAGACCACAGGCAGTGGGGTCTGCAACTGTCGGGATAAACTAGGTTATGCTGTGAAAACCAAACGCAAGCAAATAACAACAACAAAAAGTTCAATGGCATAAAACAACAAAGGCTTGTTTCTTGTTAATGCTGGTATGCCCATTGCAGGTCAGCTGGGCCCTGTTCCCTGCAGCCTGTCAGGATGACAGAGCAGCCATCTTCTTGAATAATGCTTCACAAGCCCCAGAGAAAAGAGGATGACATCTCATGCATAGACTCTTAAGGTTTCTAGTAGAACCGAGCCTCACATTTTAAATTTATGTGATGGAATGTGATTCTACTATGTGTTTGGGAGAACAGGGGAGGGCTTGGAAAACAGTGCTGCTAAATGAGTGATAGGATGTCTCTTTCATCCTAAGATCGTTGATTTGGCTTCTACTATTGAGTCAGTTTCATAAGGAGGACAGACACAGAGAAAATGGGCACTGATAAATTTTGAATCTGGACTCTCTTACGGCTGAAAAGTTGGGTTGAATCACTCATGAAATTCAGAAGCTTATTTTGGGTCTGTGGCCTAAGACCTTTACCAGAGGGAGGCTGAGGAGACTCCTTGTCCATTTTCCCTAGATCCACAGCCTGTTTTGTCTTGCCACAGGGAAATAAATTCAAGCCTAAATAAATGATACTAAAGAGAGAATATTTTCCCCCTACAACCTAGGCTAGAGCCAACAGAAGCATGCTACTGATTGTAGAAAACATCAACCCAGCAGGTGCAGCCTCTGGCTTATCTGAACATCCCTAGATGAATACATTGAGAGAGAGATAATCCAAAGAGTTAAGACTCCAAAGAAAGTATGGCACAAAACACCATTTTATGCTCTTTGCTGTAATTCTATAAATGTCCAGTTATGGCCTAAAGGAAAAGATCTTTGCATTGCCCTCCTCAAAGTTGGAGTAAAAGGTGAATGTGCTGTTTGAATTCTTCCTCAAGGACAGCAGTGACCTTAGATGAGGATTCAACATTACCTTGTTCTTTTAGGTGGAGGTGCTCTCCGGTAACGGGAAGAAGATGTTGCTGGGGAACACTGGCTTTTTACCCTTGTTTCATTAACCATTGATTTTTAAAAAAACTGCAGTTGCTCCGATTGCCTTGGGCTCCACTGATCTCTCTCCTCTCCCATGCTGTCTAGTGTGGCATGGCTTTTGTAAGCATCTGTTTTCTAAGTAAGATACTTTTGTAAGTGTCTCTTCTTAAGCTGCCACTCCCTCCCAATGTCTAGTGCTGCTATAGGGCTATGAACCCCACTCCTGATACTTAGCCTGGATTTCATTCTTCATTCCTAGGATCTCATGTCAAGACCCGATCTTCTAAGATCTTTCAAACAGATGTTAACCTACAGATAAGACCAATTAAGCATAATAACCTGATCAGTTACTTATTACTCATTATTGTTGCTTTTTATATTCTTTAATAAAATACTGCAATATTTTTCCAGTATACGCAGTGAAAACTTTCAACGTGCAGGGGACACTGGACCTAAAACTTGGACCCTAGTATCCATGATGTCTTTCCTATTTATTTATTTGCAAAGCTACTTCACATTGATCTCAAAGGGTTGCAGCTTCTTTTTCACACTTTAAGCCCATTTTAGTGAACCATTTAAATTTCCCTGTTTGATTTTTTGCACTCCGGGTTCACATTTTGTTCTGGATTCTGCTCAGTCGCATGATTTTGACACTTCCTGGCAGCTCCCATACCCAACTGCCTAGACTAATAAAAAATGGAGCTTGAAGGGAGAATTAGAACAGTCTATGTTCTGGGAGGACCTCAAAACACAACTATTTTTTGGTATTTAATTTTAGTTTTAGTTTTTACACATGATAGTGTATATATTAATGGAATACATAGGATGTTTCAATACATACAGTGTATAGTGATCAGATCAGGGTAATTAGCATATCTATCATCTCAAACATTTATCATTTCTCTGTGTTGGGAACATTCAACATCCTTCTAGCTATTCGAAACTATATATTGTTAATGATGGTCATTCTACAATGGTATAGAACACTAGAACTTATTCGTTTTATTTATCTAGCTTTAATTTAACACAACCATCGTAACTCACTGGCATTATCAGGTTGGGTCTTTGTGGCAGATAAACTCTATGGTAGCTTCCATGGTCTATGCCTTCTGGTGTTCATGCCTTTATGTAAACCCCTTTCTGTGTGTGGGTGGGGCCTGTGATTTGCTTCTAACCAATGGAATATGGCAAAGGTGATGGGCTCTCATTCCATGATTACTTCATGTAAGTCTCTGGCTCGTTAGCAGTCTCCTGCTAGCCTTTCCCTCTCTTTTCTAGCTTTGAAGAAGCAAGATGCTGTGACTCCTTCAGCTGCTAGGAAATGAATGCTGCAGACAACCACATGAGCAGGGAAGGAGGTGCTTTGTGAGCCCCGAGGCAGGGGACCCAGCTGAGGAAATCCCAACCCCTGACCCACAGGAACTGTTAGATAATAAGTGTGTGTTATTTTTTGCTACAGAGTTTGTGGTAATTAGTTATGCAGCCACTGAAAACTAATTCAGTCCCTGAACACTCAGGAACAATTTTAAGGAGGCCACAACTATGTCTGGTTTGGAATATTTCTTCTCAACAGGGTGACAGCCACTGTTACTAAGAGAAGTAAATATTTGAGGGGTCACTCTAAGCCCTGTGAACTAGACTGGTTCCACAAACAACTTCCAAACCCACATCAACTTTACTCCAATGGGTGAGAAATAGACAAATTAGAGGCCAAACACAGTTTAGTTCCAGGCTGCTCTTGAAGGCTGTCACTCTGAGAAAGCCCTAGTTCAACTCTTTGTGTTGTTTGTGGCTAGTGGTGCTGCAGATGAACCCCAAAATTGTGACAGCCTGGAGGGTTCTTGGCTTCAGGCAGGAAAAAAAAATTTATGAGGAAGACAACAGAGCAAAGTGAAAGCAAGTTTATTAGAGCAACAGAGTACAGGAACATGAGCGCTCTGTAGACAGAGGAGTTGTAGTAGCAGTAGGAGTGGCAGCAGTGGCAGAAGCCCCTGCCTCATGGATTGCTGGCTAGCTGTATGTAGGCTATTCTCTGATTATATGCTAAATTAGGAGCAGGTCATTTATAAATTTTTTTGGAAAAGGGGCAGGGAGTCACCAGAACAAAGGGCTCCTCCCCTTTTAAGCCATATAAGGTAACTTCTGGGGGTTGCCATGGCATTTGTAAACTGTCTTGGTGCTGATGGGAGTGTCTTTTAACATGCTAATGTATTATAATTAGTGTATAATGAGCAATGAGGGCAACTAGAGGCTGCTCTTGTCACCATGTTGGTTTTAGCTGATTTTGGCCAGTTTCTTTGCTGCATTGAGTCTTAATCAGCTCCTGATTTGTTCAGCGGGGTCTTGTGACTGGTGCTAGGAAAGCAAGTCCTGCTGATCTCCTACCTTGGTTTAACCTGGAAGCCTGCCTTGCCAAACCACCATGCTCCTTACACCTAGCTGTGTCCCCCAGTGGGTCAGGGATGCGCATGGTGGTTGCTGATGGTGCAAAGTTCTCTTTTCCTATGTCCTTGCCGGACCTTCAGGTCCATTGTATTCCACGATGTGTCTTGTTTGTTCTGAATGGCACCCTAATTTCCTTTCGATGAAGTCTTGTATTCCTTACAATTTTTTCACATAGTATACTACATGTTCAATTTTAACATTACATGGATTTTTGCTCTTTTCTCTTTTACAAGTTCCTCTTTTGCCCCTGACAACCACCCAGCATTCCATCCTTCTTTCATTTCTCTGCTGCTACCCAACTGGTCAGGGCAGGAAAGAAATATGGAGGTTACTGGAGGGAGGGAAGCAGGGTTGATGGGTTCAGAGGATCATTTTAGCTGCTTATTATAGAATACCCAACTAAGAGTGGCTTAATCATAAAAAGTTAATTATTTTACCTTCCATGGGGGGAGGGGAGTCCTTTAATGTAATCATGTGCTGAGGCACATAGGGGCCTTCCATTGTCTTGTTCTGCCATCCTTGGTGTGAGGATGGTAATTTTCCTCATGGTCACAGTACGACTGCCACAGCTCCAAACATGAATTATATCCTCATAAGAGAAGAACCAAAAGCAGGGAGAAGCACGTCCTCATCTGTGTCCCTTCTAAAGACTGAGAAAAATGTCCTCAGAGGCCTGCTGTAGTTTCAGATCTTATTTGTTAGATTATATAACATATCCATGTTCATACTAATAGCAATGAGGGGAATGAAAGTATCATAATTGATATTCCTCTCCTGGGGCTAGGAAGTAGTCATCTTCCTTGAGCACAGGGGAGGCTGACTATCCAAATGAAAATGGGGTTCTGCCAACAAGAAGTACGTGTAGGTACTGATACACCTCTTGGCAACCAATAATATCTGCCTCCAAATTAAGATGCAGAAAGAGAATGTGGTTTCTTTTGATTATGTGGGAAGTTAGTGGCAGAGATGGGTCTAGAACATCGGCCTTCTGTTCTCTCAGCACTGTGACTTTTTTTTTCCCCCCTGTGTCTTTGTTTCTTCTTCTATAAATAGGATTGGGATAGTGCTTGCATGAGTTCTATGGTGATAAGCATCCTACTAATAATTAAAAAAGAAAACCTGCATAAGAGATTACTTCCATGTGGGACAATGAAACAATAACTTAAATAGCCACAGCTGAATTTCACAGATGCTGCTGCCTGGATACAGGGAAGACTGCTGACTTATTATGCAGCTCTGCTGGACTGGTTCCCTGTCCCACCTCTGACAGCTGGTACACCTTGTCTCATCTATTTCCTCGCATTTGCTGCCTCTAATGTATGTCCCCTGTACTAAGGCAGAAAAAAATCCCTACTGGGGGTTTGGACTGCAGACCAGCCATCCATTCCTTTTGCACCGATTTGTCTACAGAGCTGACATAACTTCTGTGGAGTTCCTGGAACCATGCTCTTCCTCATTGCACTTGATCCAGAGAAAGGGCTAGGGCTGGAGAATCACCCATCAGAGCAGCTTGATATTCCCTCTCTGCTTTTTGCCTTCTAGAAACTTGCTTTGGAATTGCAAAAAAAGATGCAATTCTTTTTTTTTTTTTTTTTTTTTTCTTTGGAATTTGTAATCACAAAAGAGAGAAGATGGGCTAGGCACCCACCCTTTGGTTGACACTGGGTAACTCGACTTCGTCCGATTGAGCAAATGGGGTGTGGTGGACTCATAAGAGAGGGGAGCCTACAGTTCAGGCAACCAGCGCCAAGTCCTGAGTCAGCATCACCTCCTCCTGCACCTCTCTCAGGCGATCTTCTGGTCAAGGACACTGCAGGAAGAACAAAGGCATGTGGCTGAGCACAGAAAATGGATGCTTTGAAAGCAGGCTGGCATTTGCTTTTTAATTATCTCCTCTTGGCTTCTCGTGATGAATTTTCTTTTCATAGCAAAGAGCCAGGAAGAAAACAAAATGTTCTTTCTCATTTCTATGGAGCTAACCATGTCTATACATTAACCTTTAGCACTGATTAAGATAAATGGCATTTCTACCCATTATGCTTTTAGATTAGATTTGAATTCATCAGCCCAGCTTTTGACAAGCTTGTATTCAGTGTCTCTGAGTTATGCCCCCTTAATCGCCTAGTCAGAGAGGAGGTGAACCGATCCCGTCCCCTAGTATTAGTTTGATCAAGATGAATGAGGACTCTTGGGCTGGGGTGCTTATTCCTGTTTCCTGGGTGGTTTCTCAGGCACCATCTAAAAGGTCTTTGTGCTCATAATTAGCTGTAAGACAATCCATGCGACACCCCGTGTAGCGGGGCCAAACCAAAATGCAATAGTAATTCAGAGCAGAAATGTCCTTCTTGCAGAGGTTATCATGACAAGGTTTGTGGAGGAAATTGATTATTGGATTGAGGAAGTAATAATGTTTAAAATATCAGATCCATACTCTTTGGGAGGGGGTGTAAACGATGAATAATTCATACAGCTTATTTAATTTTTAAAAACATACTGGAAGCTCATCTTTGGTTCATGAAAACAGCACCAGCCTGTAAGTCAGTGCACTGAGTTATTAGCGTGGTGGTGATGATGGGCTGGTGTGTCGGGTGTATAGGCAAGGTGGAGGTGCTCAGTAGAGTTTCTTTTGCTCAGAGAAAGCATTTCTTCCTTAAGTTTTAAATCTAAAATTCTGAGAACTGCTGCTGTTGGGAAACAGGGGGTCTGAGTTGAATTTTTCTGCCACACATCCAGTTGTCTGCCCCCTCACTCCCCGATAGAAATTCCTGTGGGTTCTGCCTGAAGCAAATTCTACTGTGAGCTTTTATAAGCTTTTAGATTTCCAGAAGTAAGATTGTATTTCCTTGTTTCTTTTTCTTGAAGGCAGAGACTTGATGCGGCAATTGAGCAGCTTGTAACTGGAACAACCTGGCCCGCAGAGATAAAGGGTTTGAAAAAGCTACCTCGCCCTCCTTGCAGCAATCTTCTGCTCTCAGAGAAAGTGTACCTGTGTACCTCCCAGATAGGTGGCTCAGACAAACTGCCCTTCACAGGGGCAGGTGAACAGATCAGCCCACCAGGAAAGACTTCATTCATGTGGACCCCGAATTTATTTGCAATTCGTGGAAGCAGCTCTCTGCAGCTGTTAGTAACTTGCTTTTTTTTTTTTTTTTTTTTTTTTTTTTTTTTTTTTTTTAATGAGGGAATAAGGAAGGTGACTAAAGACCAGCTTGCTCCTGTGTCTTCATCCTTTTAAGAATTCGGTCGAGTTTTGGGGAACATTGTGTCTCGGTTATTGATGGTTTAGCTCATACCCTATATAGCGTACACTCCTGCATAAAAGGAACAAAGCTAAAAAGGGGCAGTAGAGAATAAAGGAGAGAAGCAAAGGTCAATGGAGCTGGTCGCTCAGGAGCTGAAATCCCAGCTGGGCTCCCCTCCCCTTCTGCCTCTGAATGCAATTTGTACTCTGCATCCTTTGCTTTCCAGCTTCCTGCTTCTTTGCTGTCTCCCAGGGGGAGTTTATGGTTGCAGAGACAGTTTCCTTCAAAGGCAGCCGCCTGTAGCAATTTGCTCAGGGGGAGGAAATGAGCAGGACACATTGTCACAGGAGCCTCATTCTGGGAGGATCTGGAGAGGTTTTGGGTCTCCAGTACTGCTTAAGATACATCACGGGTAAATCAGGCCAGGCAACTGATCTGTCTTAGATTCTTAGAGGACTTTTACTGGGGAGTATGGAGCATCTTTGATGACACTTGCAGAGAGAATATTTCACATTCTGAGGGGAGACATATTAAAGATGGGTTTGATTGTGCATTCACGTTCTGAGGCCAGGGCAAACAAGTTTCCACAGGCGATGGTACCCACTGACCAGCGTTCTTCTCTCCAGAGGCTCCAAGGTCATTACAGAATACATGGAAGGGCAAATTTCCAAACTACTGGCCTTAGATAAAAGCTTGGACTCCTCCTGGGAGTGTGGGCTGTGTATTCCTCCACCCATTACTCATCCTCACCGCTGTCTTGTGTCTTTCACATCCTCTTAACCTCTTCCTTCCCTTCCTTCCTTCCTGGCTTGCAGAGATTCTTGTCCCCCATCACCACCCCGTCACCCCCCACCAATTTCCAACAGGGATCAAGTTTCCTTTCTGGTGAAGATGCCTTATTTTTCACTCTAAATATAAGGATATCCATCTTTACTTCTAGCACTGGAATTATGTATTCCTAAAATCATTTTAACCCTGAGAGAGGCTTTTCCAGCCCTTCACGAAGTGAACCTTGGAGAATTCTGCTAGAAACAACAACAACAACAACAACAACAACAAAACACAAGAAGTACCACGTCAAAATATTCTTCGGTTAAGACAGTCATGCCCCAAATACTATCCAAGTTGCCTTCAGAGGAAAAGCCATCTGTACATCAAAGTTAATATTGCTTTGAATTATTTATACCAATTCAGTTACATAAACATTTACAAATGTAGCAGTGACAATGGATTAGCAACACTTAATGAAAGGAGAATGGTCACAGGCTAGAGATGTCTTTTGTCAATCTCTTGTTGTGTATGTGTGTGAATCTTTCTACTGATGTCTGTCTCTCTGTCGTTGTTACATCTCAGATTCATGTTGTCTCTCATACTCAGAGCAAGATGACCTGCGTGTGCTTAAAGGCATCGCCTATCATGTTTTCATTTCCTCTTGTATTGGTGCAATACTGCATATTGTCTTAGTTTAATATGGTATATTGTATGAGGTCCTAAGTTTGAAGGTGCATTCATAGCGTATCAGGCTATGAAGTAAAGATCCTGCTGTTTCACAAGCCTAATTTTAAAAGAATAAATTTCAGAGAGACTGGCATTTTGGATGTTGCTATTTGTTTGTGTCTGGAAAACAAAACAAAACTAGCACAAGGAATAGAAAACCCCCAGAAGCCTAGAACCCATGAAAGAAAGCCTAGGCATCTTCAGCACTCAAGTTCCTCTAGCTGCCCTGCCGTTCTCACCCTGGGTTGCAGGAACCTAGTGCCTTCAGGCTAGATGCAGCTGCCTGGAGACCTGGACTAGGGTGTCTTTTCTATGACTGCACACTTTAACATTTCTCTCTTGTTTACTCCATCAAGATATTTGAACGTGTGTTCTAATCCTGCTCAGCCAAGCACTCAGTTAA
Source organism: Homo sapiens (assembly GCF_000001405.40). Taxonomy (NCBI): domain Eukaryota; kingdom Metazoa; phylum Chordata; class Mammalia; order Primates; family Hominidae; genus Homo; species Homo sapiens. Next base: position 24,764,968 of record NC_000008.11, on the reverse strand, counting down.
ATAATCTCATACCTAAAGGCCTATGAAAACTTTATTTGCTGGGATTTTCCTGAGCCACCACCAGCGCAATGTCTTTGACAGACCTGGGAAAGGGGAGTAAAATGTGAACTTAGATAGGAAAGAAAAAAAAGGGAGATATGGAAAGTTAATATGCTTTTGCTCACCAGAGTCCATGTCTGCCTCCTAACTAAGGCTTGGAGCTTTGCACACCATCTGCATTTGGAGCTAGATGGTGTCAAATTGCAAGAAGAAAAGAGAGCAAAGGTGATTTAGAGGACTACCGTATCTAGATATATTTTAAATTTGCAACTGTGCATAAGATCTTGTGATATGTAACAAGTCAGGTGTTGGAAAGGGAACTATAAGTAGTTCGGATGGTCAATTATGATGGAAAAATAGGGTGATGGCAGAATTTCAATGCATAAGAAAAGCATTGCTCACTAAATGAAGGTAATAAGCAAATGAAAAACTCTGAATCAATAATAGTAAGAAAAATTATGAAAAATAGACAATCATTAAGAAGATGAAAACCCTAATAGAAAAAATAGTAAGTTTGAACTGACAATTCAAAACTGAAAGAACAAATGCTCAATAGGTGTGAAAAGTAATTAAAGATATAGAAGTTAAATGAAATAAGATTTTTTTCTGTGATTCTGGCGGCAAAGTGTTTGTATTTTGGTTTTTATAAATGCTAACCTGAATTGATGAGGTAACAATAAAAAGATGAACACATTTTATAGTGATAAGAACATATATCAGTACAACTTTTTTAGAGGGAAATTTGGTGTTTTTGTGAAAAATTTAATTCTCAGTTCATATTTTTTGACAATACAACTCAACTTCCAGAAATCAATTACCATGAGATAATTAAAGTAGTATACAAAGATTTAATATAAATATATTGATTTCAATTTCAAATAGTGAGAAATGGAAAATAAATACCTGTAAGAAGTTAGGTTCAGGTTGGGAAGCTATTACTTTGCTATTAAAATATGGGACCCAGGAATGAGTCAGTTCTGCTTGACTTCATCACATCTCTTCTCCAAGAATACCAGAGGGAAATTATATTCTCACATGCAGGAAAAGAAAACTGGTAGTGTGAGGCAAGATAATACTTTAGCTGGGTTCTGACTCTGTACTTCAGATGGTCTGGGACATGTAGAAACATTCTTTTTACCAGATAAGCTTGAATAAGCTAGAGGAGAGAAAGACGGAGAGAGAGAGAAAAGAAAGAGAGAAAAAATATATAAATACATTCTTCCCAGTAACTGTCTCCAGACCTGCTACCTAACTGAGGCTACCACCTTTAGCTATTCAGGGTCGCATGTAACTTTTCCAAGCATAGGTTCTACTTGGAAGAAACAGAGAATTAGAGAAACATATGAGTAGATCTTCTGCCATTTCAGAAGAAGCTGTGCTTGGACCAACGTGGCTTCAAAGAAAGGAGAGAGAGTGAAAAATGGCAATGGCTGAGAACATGGAGGACTCTATCCATTTAAAGCATCACTGCCAGAAAAATACAGTCTTAATCTGTTCTTAAACTTGAGCAATGTTCTCTCCTCCTTGAAATTACAGTGGAGGCCAAGAATGTCCATATATTTCATAATTCTTGGGGCATATATTTGTGTGATTTAATAAGATAATAGTATTAGTAAACATGAATATAAAGAGTAGAATGAGAAAATGGGGAGTTTTTTTTTTTTTTTGAACAAAGCTAGCTATAGTTTATATGGTCCAGGTTTAACAGTATAAGAATTATACATATTTATAGAAAAAAACACTATGTATGATAATGATAGAGGATATCTCAAAGTAGTGAAATTAGAGGTAAGTCAAATTTACTTCTTTTATGCAAAATTTAAAAAACATGATTATGGAATAGTACAAAGTTCAACTTCCACTTCTAGCCCGATGAAGTAACTGCTATCAGTTTTCCCCTCCTGACATAAACAACTAGGAAACTAAGCATAAAGAAAAAAATGAATGTTTGCAGACATTGGAAAACAGCACAGAACTAAGATCCTTGAGATAAGGGTTAAAAACAAGATGAGCAAGAAAATTACCCTGGTTTTCTGCTTAAAAGCACTTTCTAACTGTAGTGTGGGAAAGAGGGATCCAAGCAGAGAAAGGAGATACTCCAAAGCTGAAAAGACAGAGATGGGAGTTTGGGGAGCCTGAAGCATCTGGAATATGTGGGAAAGAATACTGAAGAGGTGGGAGCTAGACAAAGATTCCTGTTGAGATCTTGGCTGAACACTAAGGTATGTGTGTAGAGAGTTGAGAGTCCATGAGCTCACAATGGAGTGAGGTATGTTTAAGTTTTTATGAGCCATAGTAGAGATACCTCATGGAGCAAAGTATTCTGTGGATGGCTCAGAAGGGTCATGCCTTAATAGTAGTTCTGAACTCATCAGAGTAAGAGGTGCTGTAGACATACCCTAACAAACCTTAAAAATAAGTTTCGGAAGGGTTGAGGAGGCCCACATGTACCTTAATGGGGCACCAAAACAAAAAACTCACATTTTAAAAGCAGTTAAAATCCAGATACTCAATAGAGTAACATTTATTCTGCATCCAGAAAAATATACTTGATATGCAAAGAAGCAATAATTACATCCAATAACCAGGATAAAAATCTATCAAGAAATGATAGAATTAGCAGAAAAGGGACTTTAAAGCAGCTATAATAAATGTATTCAAGGATTTCAAGGAAAACATAAACATAATAAGGAGAGGACAGAAGGATATAAAATGATTTTTGTGTTGAGAAAGGTAATATCTGAAATTAGTACTTTACTAGAAAGGCTTATCAGCAGATGTGGTGCTGAAAAAGAAAAAAAAAATCAGAGAATTTGAAGGCAGTATAATAAAATTACCCTAACTGAAACATAGAGATAATGAAAGGCTGAAAAAAAATTTAAAGAGATTTATTGACCTATGAGCAAAAACAGTCTATCCATGTAATTATAATCTTAGAAGGAGAACAACTGGGGCAAGTGTAGGGGCAGAAAAAATGTTGGAAGAAGCAGTGGCCAACATTTTTCCAAATGTGATGCAAAATATCAACTACAGGTAGATAAATTTTACTGTATCCTAAGTAGGATAAACCCAAAGACAACCACAACAAGGCACATTATAATCAAACTGATGAAAACCAACAATAAAGCAAAAATCTCAATAACAGACAGAGAAACCTCTTTATATTATATTAAGCCAAATTATGTTAACAGAAATAACAATTAAGATAGATTTCTTGTCAGAAACAATGCATGCCATAAGACAAGGAACTTGAAAGTGCCAAAAGAAAAGCTGTGAACTTAAAGTTGTATAGTAAGTAAAAATACTTTTTTTTTTTTTTAAAAAAAGAGAATTTAGTGCCAGCAGACAGGCACTAACAGTGTTACGAGAAGTTCTTCAGAATGATAGAACGTTAAAACAGATGGCAACTCACATCTATACAAAGGAATGACGATTACTGCACATGCTGAACAAGTTAGACAATGTAAATACATTTGTATTGTTTTTACACTGTAAAAATATGATTGACAGTTTAAGGTATAAATTGTAGCAATGTATCTTTGTGATCTTATAATTTTCTGTAGTGGTAAGCTTTGATTGCTTTCTCTTTATTATTTGTATATCTTCTGTGGTTTTTGTTTTGTTTTGTGGTTACCATGAAGCTTACATAAAATTTATTTTATTTATAATCAATTTTAAGCTGATAATAACTTCACTTCTCTTGCATTGGGATTTTTACCCTCCCAACAACTACTTGTTTTTGATGACACAATTTACATATTTTTATATTTTGTATTCCTTAACATTTATCATAGCTTTAGTTATTTTAACCATTTTGACTTTCAGTTGTCATACTAGAGATATGTATGGTTTGTACATCCTCAGTGTAGTATTGGAGTATTCTGGGTTTGATTATGTATTCACCTCTACCGGTGAGTTTTATGCTTTCAGATGTATTTATGATAGTTTGAATCATCCTTTCATTTCTTCTTGAATAATTTGCTTATGCATTTCTTGTAGTGTGGGACTAGTGAAGATAAATTCCTTCAGCTTTTTCTTGCCTGAGAAAGACTATTTCTGCTTCATTTCCAAAGGATAGATTTGCTGGGTATAACATTCTTCTCTGGCAGCTTTTTTCCTTTCAGCACTTTGAATAAATCATTCCATTCTCTCCTGGCCTGCAAGATTTTTGCTGGGAAATCTGATAGCCTAATGTGGATTCATATATATGTGACTTGACATTTTTCTCTAGCAGCTTTAAAAATTCTCACCTTGTCTTTGATTTTTGACAGTTTTATTATAACATGCCTTGGAGAGGACCTCTTTGGGTTCTATCTATTTGGGAAAATTTGGACTTCATAAACCTGCATGTCCATCTCTCTCCCAATTTCTGGGAAGTTTTCAGCAATTATTTCATTAAATATGCTTTCTGTTCCTTTCTCTGTCTCTTTGCCTTCTTTAAATCCTATAAAGTGACTATTTGTTCACTTAATGGCAGCCAATAAGTCCCACAGTCTGTCTTTGTTCTTTTTATTCTTTTTTTTCCCTCTGACTAAATAATTTCAAAATTACTATCTATCTTCACGTTCACAGATTCTTTCTTCTACTTGATCTAGTCTGCTGCTGAAGCTCTTATATATATATATATATATGTGTATATTTTTAAATTTCATTAGCTTACTTCCTTAGCTCAAAGATTTCTGTTTGGTTCTTTTTAAAATACCTATTGAATATTTCCTTCAGATATTGAATGATTTTCCTGATTTTATTGAATTATCCATTTTTATTCTCTTATGTCTCACTGAGTTTCTTAAGATCATTATTTTGAATTCCCTTTCAGGCAATTTGTTAATTTCTATCTTTGGGATCAGTTACTAGAGAATTATTGTGTTTCTTTGGTGATGTTATGTTTCCTTGTTTTTTCATGTTTCTTGCATTCCTGTATTAATGTCTGTGCATCTGCTGGTGCAATCACCTCAGTGATCTAGTCTGCAGGAGTTTGTGGCAGTGATGGTGCTGCACAGGTTATTAGGGTAAAAGCTTTAGGGATCTTCCTGTTCTTGTTTTTCCTAGAACAGGGAATCTTAGCTGAAGGGGAGTCTTAGCTGAGGGGATATCTCTTGGTCCTGGGTCTGACGTGGCCCATGGGCAGCCACAATGGTACTGGGATCCAGGACACAGATGCTTGGAACAGCTGTGGAGCTGGATTCCTGGGCTCAGGGTCTTTTGAAACTGTGATAGCATTTGGTGTTTGAAGTGAAGGGTTCACTTTCCAAGGCATGGGTGGATGCAGATCTGCTACTAAGCTAAGATCTATTGCTCTGGGACATATTCCAGCATTCCAGTGGTCTGGAATGTAGCTGTGATTCTGACTCTGAGGGACAAGGTGCAGCATTGGTATGGCTCAGGAGAAGAAAGGGCACTTCAGAGGCTTGGGTCCTGGGGAACAGGGCACAGCTGCAGTTTGGAACTCAGAACTAACCAACAGGACACAGTGGGAGCTCTGGCTCCAGGGGATGAGGTACCATGTACTAGTGACTCTGGACCTTGGGATGGTGGGGCACAGTCATAGCCCAGGCTCTGTGAGGCCAGATGCAGCAATAGTAAGGATCCAAGAATGGCAAAATGCCACTGTTGCTCGGGCTGCAGGGAGAGGGGAACAATGCAACAGTGACTCTATTCATTGGTGGGGCACCTCAGCAGCTTGGACTGTTGTGCGGGGGGTGAAGTCCAGTTCCAGGTAGGCAGAGCACTATGGCTGTTCAGCCAGGAGATTGAAGATGGTGCAGCTCAGCCTGGGCTCTGATTCCCTGTGATATGAGGTGCTGCATCTGCGTGGCCCAAAATGTACAGCTACATGGGTTGGCAGAATCTCTGTCTCGTATGACCTGGGGCACTATGTCAGCTGTGGCACTGAGGGGTGCAACTGCTTGGGTGTGGCAGAGGCTCAGAGCCCTTGGGGGTGTGGTGCTGCCACATTTGTGTCCTGTGTGTGGGAGTCAACTGCTTTGGTGTGCAGGAGCCTGAGGTCCCTGAGGGACTGCCTCAGTTGTGGTGCTGGGGGTAGACTGTTCTAGTGTGCAGGAGGATTGTGGTTCCTGGGGATAGGGTACCACTTTAACTTTGGTGTACAGAAGATGTACAGAAGAGGGGGAAGCAATGACTGGACTGGGGGGATATGGAACAACTCTGCAGTGGCTTGGCCCTATGGGGTAAGGTATAGCAGAAGCTCAGCCCAGGGATGGCATGCTACCAGGTGAGCATTGTGCAGGGGCAACAAAGCCTCAGGGATGGAAGGATGCATGGATCCTCAATCCTGGAGCAGAACCCACTCTAGAAGTAGCTCTGGTTCTAAGATGGTACAGCACAGTAGCAGCACAGGCCAGTGAGGTGGGGTGTGGGCACAGCATTGGCTTTTTCTTTGGGAGTAATTCAGTGTCTGGATTCTGGGCAGCTCCTTCAGCTGCGCTCACAGTCCGTGAGGACTGCACAAGTCTCTGGTAGCGAAGACTGCAGGTGTCTGTGGTGGTGGCTGGGGCTGCTGACATCCTCTTGCTTACGTTTTCCCTGCCGGAAGGAGTCACTCCTGGTTCCAAGCTGATCTTGACTGGGGAGATGGGGTGTTGGGTGCAAGGTGTTTTTCCTTCTTCTCTAGGTGGCCATCCTGGGTTTCTGTGCTCTGCAGGATTTGTGTTGCTTCTTTGCTATTGTCCACATCTTTCCTTTAGTTGTTTTGGTTGAAATGGCATTTTAAAAAATTATGTATTTATTTCTGTGGGAGCTTCTAGTTGACTGTCTTCCTCTGAAGCTACAAAATATTTCTTTTAACCTAATTGCAGTTTTGTAGTTTATACTTATAACTGGGATATTTTCTCCTCTGTTTAGTTTTGTATCTCCAAACCTGTATTCCTTTCCTGTTCTTGTGGAGTTGTGGTCACAATGATCTTAGTGCCATTCTGTGTAGGTGATAGAGAGCTGAGATGCAGAAAGAAGGGAAGAAAGGAAGTCCTTGTAGGAAGGATTTGAAAGGTTTGATGAGACACTAGGAGGAATGTGAGTTCAGAAAAGGGACTGCTCTGGGATTGTCTTAGCATAATGGTGACTGCATTGTAAATTGAAGACATGGTATTGCTTATGATTCAATAGTTATGACCTTGGAAAACACAGTGATGTTGGAAGAAGGTTGTCTGGTGCAACAAGAGGAGGCTGTTGAAAGATAGAGCAACACCTCAGAGACAGACTCTGGTCGAGGGGTCCAGCTGTAACAAGATTGGTTTAAGGAACATTTAAATGCTCCCCAGTGATAAAATCCCTAGTTCTTCAGAAATATCACAGTGACCTTCAATAGTTCATTTTCATTTTAAAAGAGGAAAGGATCTCCACTTACAATCTTACATAGCAATGTATTGGAGAATAACATTGGTCAAATACTGGATCAAACAGGCTGGGGTTTGAACCTATGTTTTCATCATTAAAGTAAAATAAGACCCCCATAGACTGGTTAAATTTATATTTTGATTACAGCTGAAGTCAGTACTCACTGTAAATATTATACATAATAAATAAGTTATTATTTGATAATAACATGAACTATTATTTGATGCATAAATATAGTGATAAAATGTCATTTAAAAATTATAACATAATATTTGGTTAAAACTTGGTTGGTGGAAAAATGTAACTAGTGCTATTGACAAAGACACAAGATGGTACTTAACCATGTAAAACTTTTTAATTTTTATATTTGCCAAAGTGATATCATTTTTTTCAGGATGAACCAGATAATTTACCTTAATCATCTGAAAGGCAAAGTGTTTTCTCTGACATTATCTCATTATTCATGAATAAGTTGACCTCAGTTCTAAAACAATGAAGAAAGGGCAAAAGTCCATGGAACTCCATTGAAATTCACGCTTAATCTTTTTATAAATTAAGTGCAAAATTTAGCATAGACACCTGCTTAAACTTCAGATGCATTCATTTCATCCAGCTTAGGAGTGGTTACTGAGATAAAAATAAAATGGGATATAATAATGTTAGCAACAGCTGTCAGTTTTGAGGTTTATATTTAATTTAGTTTGGATTGGATACTAGGAGGAACACATAGCCCTGAGATCATATAAAAATATACAGGATTAAGGCTGAGCACAGTGGCTAATACCTGTAATCCCAGCCTTTTTGGAGACCAAAGCGAGTGGATCACTTGAGGCCATGAGTTCAAGACTAGCCTGGCCAACATGGTGAAACCCTGTCTCTACTAAAAATACAAAAACTTAGCCAGGTAACTATTGTATATATATATATATATACACACACACACACACACACACACACACACACACACACGCACACATATAATACAATATAAATGTAAATGTGTATACAGAAATAAATATATATATAAATAAGTAAATACACACACACACACACACGATTAAGATTCTGGATGGAGTCCAGTTCCAAGTTACTTCAGTGATGTGCTTTGCTGTTAGCTCTTTTCGTATCCTCCTCACCCTTCTTCTCTTTCTCTCTCTTCTTCTCCTTCCCTTCCCCTTTCTCCTCTTCTCTTCCTCCTCCTTCTTCATCATCATCCTAACACAGCAGTTGAGAACATCATTTGCAGCAGTCAAGGGCTTATAAATTAACATTAATAATAGTGCTTTAAAGATATAAAGTAGAACTGAATTTTTAATTTATATAGTAGGGAAGACAGAAGGAATGAAACATTTAAAACTTATTAGGTGTTAGATTTGACAGCTTGTAAAAAACCATATTTTCCCATTTCACACAGAAGTCCTCAGGTTAAGGAAGTTGTTCAATGACACATAGCTAGTATGTGCGGGTGAATCAGAGGTCATAAATCATTCTCCCTAATTCTGAAGGCTGTTCTTTGCCCATGATATCATCCAGCTTTCCATGTGATCTCAGTGACTAGATAAACCTGGAAATGCGGTTTTACAACTAATTGCTGGAGATGAACAAATTTCTGAACAATTTTCAGAAAGAAACTATGTGAAAGAGATTCAGTGTCTGCTGCAAAGACATATGACGAGAGCTACTTTGTGATGCTAAAAAAGGTCCTGAGCAGTGGGTTCACATGAATTGCTGGAAGTAGAGTGTGAAGAATGATACCTCTGAGGCTGGCTACATAGAATGGCTCTGAGTGAATGTTCAATATCGTAGATTGTGACTCAAGGAACCAATTTGTTTTCCAATATAGTATATGTAACTTTCAAGGAAATTTCACTTTTGTTATCACATTTTAGTTTTCATAACAATTATGACACCTAGGTAGGGGGAACCTATTCATTTCATTGTATAGATGAAAAAAATTAAAATCTAGAAAAGTTAAGTAGCTAATTAGTGGCAGGTTTTCTAATATTTCTGAATACACTATTTCTCTTGCTCGTGATCTTTCCAGATTTGCTTGAAATGTAGAGCACTTTGTGTTCCTTTTCTATCCCTCTTCCCCAGTCTCCTACTCATGAATCTGACATTCAATTCACATTGACCCCTCAATGTCTCCTAAACTGCTTTGGGCTTTCTTGTATTTCTATGGTCATATTTTATTCCTCTGAAATATTAATACTTCCTGCTTCCTGCTGCCTGTTGAAATCCTATTGGTCTTTGAGTTCAGCTGACATGTCTTTCCTCCAAGAAATATCTTGAGAAAACTGAAATTGGAAATGATCTTTGCCTCCTCTGCATTCTAACAGAATTGGTTGTATCATTTGTGTGCCATTTGTTGCTTATTGCTGTGTATTATTTTTGTGTCACTTTTTAATTTCTCCATTTAGTTCAAGGTTTTTGAGGTGGAGAACCACACCTATTAAATCTCATCTCAATGACAAGCATGGTGGCACAGAACAGACATTCAATAAATATTGTTTAAATTCAAGTAGGGAATAATTAGTGACCAACTAATTCGGTCCAGACATACAGAAGGCCAGACCTTGCTAATAAGCAATCTTAAGTCGTTTTAGTTATTGGCAGCAACATCAACCAAGCTAACAAGGTTGCCAAATGGAGGTTCTTGTAGTACTGGTTAAATTCTGTAATACTGACAATTTGTCCTAGTCCACTTATTGTATTCTTTTCGTGGATAGAATGTAAAGCCCTTGTATTTCTCATTTTTGAAAATTAAGGTAAGGTTTTCCCTCCTTCTGTTTCTGTTGACAATATTTCTTTGCTCACTCCGTTTTTATATGCTTTCTACACAGCACTAAAGTAAATGCCAGTCTAGCTCCTGTCAAAATAATTACAAGTGGACCCAATCTGAACTGATGGGCTTTTATGGAATCTTTGAAAATCTTCCTGGTACAGATGAGAAGCATGAATATTTTAGGTTTTGTTGCACAGAAGATAGTAAACTTGTCTTGTAAATCTAGGACTGAGAACTGACTTTTCTGCAAACAAGGAAAGTTAAGAGTTCTACTCTTTTCCTGTGGCAACCTCCCTCAGCTTTAAGGTCCAGCTGAAATTTCAGTTCTCCAAGAAAGGTCTTGAGAAAGGTGGAAGTGGAAGTGATCTTTGCCTCCTCTGGATTCTAAAAGAACTTGGTTGTGTCATTTGTTGCCCATTGTTGTTAATTAGTTTTGAATATAATACTATAATTAATAATAATGGGGTATATCATATGTGCTTAATGTGTGTTAGCTGAAATGTAGAAATCTAATATTTTGTAAATGCCCTATTGAATGTCACCTCTGGAAGAACTGAAGTGCTCTCAAATTATCTTTCTGTCTAGCTCTATGTAGGAAGGATCTTAATATTAAAGCTTAGGGCTAGAGAATAACAACTCACACTTTTGAGAGGCCAGTGTATGTAGGTGGAATGAAGCCAGTGGTTCAATTACCAAAATGGGAATAAGCCTGATTAAGCTTCATTTGACCTGCAGGGTTTTCAATCTTGTTTGAAGACTTATGACATACTGCAGTTATATCCTCAGAGTTTCCAAAGGCTAAAAGCACTGATGATGTTTAATTAAAACTTTTAGTGTTTTAAAAGTTGAGTAATACAAAAATTAAGCATCTTTTAGCAATGCAGTGGCACTAACTTATAAATTGAGCTGAGGAAGCTAATTTAAAATCTCCAACAACCATGAATCAGATACTTGCTGGGGAAGAAGCTGAAATTTGCAAGTTCCATTAACAAATCGATACAAAGAAAAATTTTTAATTGTCAAGAATTCACCTTTGCTTCTAAGAAAAGTTAATTATTATGTGGCACTTGAATGGTATTTTTATTTTTGGAAAGCACTTTTCTATTGACAATCTCATTCAATTCATTATAATTAAGTGTTAGGTTTTATTTATTAAATTACAGATGTAACAACTTATTTGTAGATTTATAAGACCAAATTTTAAGCAATATGTCAGCTACAAATGCTTTAATGCATTGCTGTGGTGAAATTCTATATGGATCTGAGGCTTTCACAACACAGAAGTCCATATAGACTATACCTCAGTGCAAGTTAATTTCTCCCAAACATGTTTATAGACTCAAGAAGGACCTTCTTTTATCAATTTATTAGTTAGGCTAAAGCAACTTGATGTAATGTGAAGTCTAAGATTTCAGTGGCTTAGCACAGAGTAGTCCAATGAAATCATTTGTGATCTATGCCCTTCCTTGAGGTCAGTCATTCAAGGACCCAGTTTCCTTTCATCTATGTCTTTGCCTCTTCTCCAGGGCTTCAGAGGACTATGCATTAAGCTGGCTGATGGCGGAAAGGGTAAAGAAGGTGCATCTACTTCTTAACCACATTGGCCTAAAGATTACATACGTTATTTCCACTCACAGCCCATCATTGAGAACTAGTAACCAAGGTAGACTTTCTGGGTGTCCCAAAAGAGAAGAAACTGGGCTTGGTAAACAGCCAACCCACCTATTTTATTTTTGACTTACTTAAAATGGCTTCACTTCCCCAAACACCTCCTTTTCTATACTGTCAGATATCTAAAATTTTTACAACTAGAATCAAATTTTCAAAAATTTTACTTTTAAAAATTTGCATAAGAGTTATGGACACATATGGATGTAAGGTCTGGAAAAAAAGATATGTTGGTGCTAGGGACATATTGATGCATTGAAATATGAGTATGACTTTGGCTCAACAAGGCAGTCTGATCACATGTTTATATTTTTCTTTCTCCAAAAGTTATTAAAATGATAATAAAGAATTAAACAATCAAGGAAAACCAAAACAAAGCATCATCTCTAACATAGGGTTGGGGTGGTAGACCATTAGTGGAAAAGAGAGATCAGTAACTTCGTGAAGATTACAAGCATGCCTGAGTCTCCACTTTTACTCTACATCAAAATCCTCTGAATGGCATAGTAAAACACAGGTTACTGGGGCTCATTCCCAGAGTTGCTGATTCAGTAGAACTGGGATAGGACCTGTGAGTCAGCATTTCTAGCAGGTACCCAGGTGACGATGATGCTGCTGATGTGGGAACCTCACTTCAAGAATCACTACTCTACAGTTCTGTGAAGGAGAGCTCTCCCTTTTCAGTTGACCTCATCAGCACCATCTAGTTTAGAGCCCAATTTCCTTCACTCCGTTTCCCATCACTGCTACCCTATTCCATGTGCAGCATATTAGACGTTCAAGTATTATGCCTTCCCTAGGCCAAACTGAAAACTAGAAAAAGAAAGGATTCACTGGAAGAAATTGAATAAACTATCGTGCAACAATCAAGGAAGCCGATCTGATTGTGGCGTCGCTTCATGAAGTCTTGTGCATCCTGGCACTTAGGAACCCCCCAGTTACCTGCCAAATGACTCTAAAGTGAAGCCTCGTGATGGATTTTTTATCTGCACACACAGAATTAACCAATCAGTGTGAGGCACGTTTGCAATATTCCAGGAAAAAAAAAAGCAAAACTCATAGGAAAATGACCTTAACAAAAAGTAACTCAGGATGTAGAAAAAAATTTTAAAATAGCTGATTGTCCTCAGAAAGATTTAGGAAAATATTAACTCTGCAAATAAGATCAGATGATCCTTGAAACATTAGTAAGTTAGAGAATAAGAATTAGTGTTTGGAAATTATCAGGAATCTATAATTCAGTGATACGGTTGCTTGTAATGTTGAGGAAACTTTTAATAGCTACAGAAAAAGAGAAGTAGAGAGAAAGATAAATGAAAAGATGAGGGACATGGAGGACTGAAACTGGAAGTAAACGTTTGACTAAGAGAAGGTTCAGAGAAAATAGACAGAAGGACATTGTAGAAAAATACTAAAAGAGAACCCTTAAGAGCCAAAGTGTACTGCCTAGAGATGGAAAGGATTCAGTGAGGAGGGAAGCACATAAGTAACTGCAGAAAGGCCTGCGCCCAGACAAATTGCTGTGAACCTTTAGAATACCATAGTCAATGAGAGATTCTCAAAGCTCCCAGAAAGCAAAGCCGGGTCACATACAAAGAAATGAGACTCAGGCAAGTATTACGTTCACATCCACAATACTAGATGCTGAAAGGAAATGGAGAAGTGATTTCAAAGATCTGAGGGAAAATTATTTTCCAGGATTGTTAAAAAAAATACCAAGCCAAACACTCAATCTGGATGAGTAGATAATAAAAAATAGAGACATTTACAGAAACTAAGAAGTTACTTCTCAAACTTTCTTAGGATGTTACTGGAGGATTTTCTTCAGCAAAATGAGGAGGCTAAGAGTGTGGAAGACATGGGAGCCAAAGAAAGGTGGATCCAGGGTGACCGAGAGAAGCAGGAGTACCAGGATGCCGCTTTGCAGCAGGCCTGGAAGCAGCAGTCCAGACAGAAGAAAGAAAACAGAGGCTCCAACAGGGAGGCATTTAGCAAAAAATGGTGTTTCATAGATTTCGTATGATCTCTGGGAAGGTCAAGCTGCTTAAAAATGTATTAAAGACAATAGGAAGAAATAAGACAACTAGAAACTCCAGAAAAATCCAAAAAGCTCTACAAGACCAGCGAAATCAATCCTAAGCAATGACTTGGTTCTGCAGCAAATAGTACTCGGAAGAGGAATAACAAACAAAACATGATTCACTTCCTGATTTCATAATAAACCGTAGATAAAGCACAGAAGACAGGTATGGCCTTGGAAAGGAATGCAAGTATTATCAACCTTGACAATTTACAAGATTCAGATTTAAGAAAATATTATCTCTACAAATAAGATCAGGTGATCTTTCAAACATTAGCAAATTAGAGAATAACCGTTATCTCAACTAGACAAGAGATATTTCCTATAGTTGCTGTAAAAAGAAATATAATGGTGAACATTTATTTAAAGTTACAAAAGTAATTAATAGAAAAAAAGTAGGCAAAGAATCATACTGGCAGGAGTATGAAGGGAAGGCTTGGGATGACATAAGAGAGTTAAATCTTTTGTCAGAATAGCGAGTCAGTAAACACTATTTCAAATTTGTCAAGGAATATAGTGCAATAGCAGATTATTTAAAGGTGGATGATAATCAGAAATGTAAGTTTAGAAATAGTTTTTTTGTGTGTTGGCAGGGGGAGGGGGACAGAATCTTGCTCTATTGCCCAGGCTGGAGTGCAGTGGCGTGATCTCAGCTCACTGCAACCTCAGCCTCCTGCCAGGTTCAAGCAATTCTCTCACCTCAGCCTCCCAAGTGGCTGGGAATACAGGCATGCACCACCAAGCCCAGCTAATTTTTATATTTTTAGTAGAAACGGGGTTTCACCATGTTGGCCAGGCTGGTCTTGAACTCCTGACCTCAAGTGATCCGCCCTCCTTGGCCTCCCAAAGTGCTGGGAATACAGGCGTGAGTCACCACGCCCTGCTAAGAAATAGTTTTAAGAGTTAAATAGTGTTATTGATACAGTTTGGATATTTGTCCCTTCCAAATCGCATGTTGAAATGTAATCCCCAGCATTGGTGATGAGGCCTGGTGGGAGGTGTTCGGATCATGAGGGCAGATCCCTCATGAATGGTTTGGTGTTCTACCCATGGTAATGAATGGTAATATGTTCACATGAGATGTGGTTGTTTAAAAGAGAATGGTGCCTCCTGACTCCCTTCTCTCTTTTGCTCCCACTCTCACTGTGTGACGTGCCTGCTCCTGCTTCACCTTCTGCCATGGGTAAAAGCTCCCTGAGGCCTCACCAGAAGCTAAGAAGATGCTGGCACTACACTTTTTGTATAGCCTGCAGAACCGGGAGTCAATTAAACCTCTTTTCTTTATAAATTATCCAGCCTCAGATTTTTTTTGTAGCAATGCAAAAACAGCCTAACACAGTTACCCTGTAAGAAAAACTAGAGACTGTTAGGCATGGGGCAGAGAAGTTTATTTTTAATTTTAATCTATTTGATTTAATTTTTCAAACCATATGAATAGATCCATTTGATCAAAAACTTAAAAACACTTTCTAAGAGTTGGAGTTAAGATAACTGATACCCTTTTGTGTCTATGGCTGGTCTCATATAATGAGGACAGCATTTGACAGCAGGATCTCAGATGAGACTTTACAGGCCTACCTGGGAATCAGGTAATCACCAGGCCACATTTGACTCTGAGATAAATTTTCTCCAAGATTTTTAAGCTCCAAAACCCACAGTATCATTTCAGGATATCATCAAATTCTTTTACTGATACAAAAATTGGGTAATAATTCACATTTGTATGTAAGGGTAGGAGTGGGTGATGTAGAAGACTTACCAGAAATGAATTTATTGCTAAAAAATTTTGCAGCAGTTGAGAAATTTCTGACCTCTTTTTATTGAATGGCCTTGTCTCATGCTTTGATATTTCTCATAGGCCATGGTCAGCATCTTTAATGCCCAGGGCAAACTTCAAAAACTCTAGAGTTACTGTAAATTAGCTATTGCAAGCATACGACTGCCCTGTTCGCTCAAAGTTATCCTGTATTCAGTTAGAGCAAATAGGAGAAAAATGATGTTTTTACTGAATGCTTAGCCCATTTGTAATTATTACCAAACTTGTAAGATACAAGGTTATAATAGCCTTCTATTTTGCAAACAAAAGCGAAGACAAATAGTTGTAGGATAGAAATAAAATCAAGTTTCCCTAACACTGAAGCTTGTGTACATTCTAGTATCTTGCTCTTCACTCTTTACAAAGCTCCCTTACGACTAAATCAAACCAAACAAACAGGGCAACAGGGCTGGTTTTTTGGTGATGGTGGTGGGTGGTGGGCGAGTTCTCCGGCACGGAGGCTTTCAGGCATCAGCTCCAAGAACATTCTTTTTCAGGTTGCTTTAGAGAAGTTTCAAGCACAAGTGGGTTGGAATTGGGCTCTGAAATCTCTCCCAACAATGGGATTATATTTATGTTATCTCAAGAGCATGTTCAAAGAAAAATTACTCAGATCAGATCATCCACCTAGGATGTGAGGTGATAAACTCAAAGTCATACTCCTATTTGATAAAAACAAACAAAACAAACAAAAAACAGCTTAACTTGAACCTAAGTTTTGTAGGTCTCAGCCTTGAGTCTTCGTATTAACTCGTGCTAACATCCAGAGCAGATAAGTTGCCCCCATGCACATTGGTGCTGATAGTTCTGTTGTAGGAAGAGGGACTTAGCAATTCCAATGAAGAGCAGGGCTGGGATCAAAACAATCAACTCAGGAAATCCCAGAAATTATTTATCTCTTGACTTTTCATTGCCTAGGCTGTCTTTGCACATAGCTAATATGAACCTGAAGAGGGGCCATCTCACAAATGACAGCCAGAGGAGAGACTTGTAATTTGGCATGAGCTTTGATGGAGATATTCTGCGATTTATGGTTTCGGCAAGTGGAGACTAAAGGTAAAATAAATCCATCACAGCTTTTGGGAACAAATATTTTTTGGTAAGTTTCCTCTGGCAGTTAGTTTGTCTTTGACAGATTACTCTCAAAGTAATGGAGATGAATAGAAATGACTTTACCCAGAATGGCCTTATTACGGTGCCTAATGATTTTAATGTCTCATTTTATAGGGCCTAGAATCTTTAGGATTTGGCAACAGAGACCTGATCAAGAATGTCTCTCCTTGTTTTTTTTTTTTTAAACATAGGAAGTCATTTTTTTAAAAGTCAAAGTGCCATCAAATCTATGGTCTAATGCTTTTTATATGCAAGGAGACACCTGCTTGCATAGAGATGAGACTATTGAGAGTATTAATATGTTTTCCATTTTTTAAAATAAAGTGAACTAATGTAACCCAACATCTCATTAATGGACAGAGTTAGGGCCATATATAAGATTAGATTCTACAAAATTCTGGCTCATATATGGTTACCTAAATGACTGTTTCTTTGTATTTTCCAAACTAGACAAGTTCATTGAGTTGTCATCTCAATAGGCAATTAAATATCTAAGGTCAATGCTTCAGTGTTTTTTTGGAAGATAGACTTCAGTTTGCCATAAAGTGTCAAAGAGGAACCAGCTGGATCTGAGTAATCTTAGATACCCGTGGCCCAGGCTGGATCTACTCTTGAAGCTTTCTTGAAGTGTGAGAAGTTTTCCTAAGAAGAATATTAAGGGCTTTTAAAACTTTTTAATGACATCCCTCTTTCTTCACCAACCTTCTATTTTCCAAGTTGCTTCTGGAATAACGGGCATTTCTGTTTGTGGTCTCTAGGTAGGAAAAATGATAGACTTAATTGCTCTTGCTCTTGGCAACTATTCTCTTTCCACAGAACTCTAGCCAGCTGTTTTACACTGACCTTCTTTTGTTTCCTGATATTTCCACCACCTGCTGGCTGCCCTTGTATTCTCTGGTTGTGACACTATAGGCACTATTAGTTTGAAGATATTAAGTGTTTGAAGCTTCTGATTTTATTTTATTTTTGTATATTATTTACCCTTAGGACTCATGATTCTACAAAGTGGAAAGGAGTAAAGATATTTTGATAGATGCCATGAATTCAAGCAGTGATCCCAAAGCTCATAGCTTATATCAGTGACGCTTCTTACATGCATGTCAATTTTCTCACCTTTGTAGAATCAACTAGTTGCCTTTTAGCTTACACTCTTTAAGAATATGTTCTTTATAAATCTTAAGAAACAAAGAAATAAATCCAGCGTGATAGTGGCTATTCATATTCTAAAAGCATTATTTGTCTTAAGACAATATCAACAGACACAGATTCTGAATTTTTTTCTCAACATGAAATTGTATTAGTTTATAAATCATTAAATATTAAAAGGAGAGAGAAAAAGGTAGGTGCTGAAAAATCAGAATGTGGCTTTAAAAATTGTAGGCAAATGCTGTGATCTACTAAGAAATATTGCATCCGTTGTGTAAAATACCTTTAAAAGGATGATAAAAGCAAACTTCCAAACTGTTATTTTTTAAAAAGAAACTTTTTATAATGCATTTCAACCAATAAGTCCATTAAATGTTTAATGAATGTCTACCAAAATTTTGCCCAGTGTTACATATGTTGAGAAGAACAAAGAATAAATGCAAGTTCTTGAGCCTTTGAGAAGCTTCCATTTTAGTTGAGGAGGCATGATATTCTACAGGCAATTAAGGCAAACCACAGGGTACAGAAATAGTCCACAGCTTCATTTAGTAAAACAATCCCCAAGCACTGTTACTGTTCCATACACAGAAATAATCAAATCAACAAGAGTCCCTTTTAGCATGCGGCTCCATGGAGGAGATGGGAAAATTACTCTCACAATCATGGAGCTTCCTAGTTCTTAATTTGTTCTATGCTTTGCTATGTTAAGGTCAAAAAAGTCAAGGTGAATGGAAAACGAAGGATTTCTATTGTGGATGTTCAAATATTAGAAGTGGAATGATTGTGCAAAGTCTCCTATCACTTTCCAAGCATGTTATTTAGTGTTAGGAGAAAGAACAGGATGAAGGGGAGATCTGGGGAAATGGAGGAAGAAAGACCTTTAAAACCTCCTGAGAGAATTCTCTATTTGTTCTCTTTCAATAATGATCGGATGGAATTTACACTAACAGCAAGTCAAAGTATAATTCTCAATCTGCCATTTCCATGAACTCCACTGTGTAATTAACCTGCATTCCCTTTGCATATTAAAATCAAATTTGGTTAAAGAAGAGGCATCAGTGGGTACACAGTGAACTGCTGAAGGCATTTTTATGAAGGATTTTCAGAGCTTCCTTCCTAAACATCCTCTCATTACCTAATCCTACCCCCAAGGAGAAAAAAGAAAAAAAAAAAAAGAAAGAAATGTTTTTTGGTTTCTTTCTGATCTATCAAAACCCCAAAATGCAACACAGGCACTCCCTGGATACTATTAACTTTCAAAGGCCTTTGTATGAGATACTCAGGAGTCAATTTTCCTTCTTTGCAAGGTGAGCTTTTTGCCTACATTTTCCTTTACTTCTTATCACACTGTACTCCCTTAATTTCACAAGTCTTTTTCTTGCACGGGTCTCATTTTCCCTACCAAATTATGTGAGCTTTGAAAGCAGGGTTACTTCTTATACAACTCTCTTCCCCATCCCTCATAGATGGCCTGGTTCATAATAGACAGTAGACAGGCCTTTGTTATGTTGGATGTTATAATGGATGATATGAAAGCTGGTTCACATGCTTTCAGGAAGATGTCTGGCAAATTGTAGTTAATGGAGTCTAAACAATTGATCCTAAATAAGATACAATAAGTAAGTAGCTCTCAACATGTTCCTAAGTCTTACCTTGGGATTGAGTTTTGAAGCCATGAAGGCACGGCTCTACCCTTGTAGGTGGTGATGGGCTTTTCCAGAAAGAGCTGTGTATTCCCACGGGCAATCATCCTAAACGTGGGATGAGCCACGAGGCAGGCCTTGAGGTTGGAAGAGGCGCAGGGATTCTTCCACTTCTCATTACCCCTGGCTCTTAGGCAGAGACCCTGGAGCTGGCTTTGTGGTGGGAACTTGCTCTTTCTTTCCTGAGGAAAAAGAAAAGCATGACCACAACTTCCCTGGAAATAATGGTAGTAACTGTGGCAGCCATACTCTAGATAGCAAATCCTTTAGAACCACCAAGGAAGAAATCTTGTCCTAGAGCAAGCTCTGAAGAGCTGGGACTCCTGTCTTCCACTGGAGAAGGGCAGTGTCCTATCTGGTAGAATACAAGGAGAGCTGGTCTCTGAGCACAGGGTTTAGATGATGGCTCCCAGACTGCTTCTTACAGAAAACAGTCCTCTGTCTCTGTGTGTGTGTGTTTGCATGTGCACGTGTATGCGTGTGTACGTGTATGCGTGTGTATTTATTTTACAGATGGAATACTAACAGCTGTAACTCTGTCCTTCACCACTTGCAGCTATGACACAGCTCTAAAAGTCACACAGAAGAAAAGGCCATTGCTCTTTGTTGCCCAAGAAGCTGGGGGCTTTGGTAGCCCAGGGGCACCTGCACTCGCAGGTATGAAAGTGATGCAGCAGGCACAGGGACCACCAGGAGGGCAGTGGTAATAGCCAGAATGTTTTAATCAGATGTGCAGAATGGCTGAGGTCTTTTAGTCCTGTTATTTTCACTAAATAGACTTTAGCTGTAGAATCTGTACTTTATTAAACCCATGTTGCTTCTATAGCATTCACTTTATTAGGAGCAATTTCTTTTACGCACACCTGTTACGGGTCTATTGGTCCCCACCTCCCTGAATGAAAAGATTTTTTCCACATGCTTTGGGATTCTGTATTCCCTGTGCATGCTAAAGACTACATTATTTCCTAAACATGCTCTTTGGGGCTTTTGTCAGCATGATTTTTCTTTAGTTAAAAGGTTGAATGAGCTGGTAAGTATTTTACTCTAAGATTGATGGTGCAATGGAACATATCTCAGTGGTGTGGCACTTCAGGTTCTATTTTGCAGATCCCAAAGTAATTCATTTAGAGCCATGACTTACTCATGTGTGGAACATTTGACTTTTAAAACCATCTGGCTTATAGTTGCAGGAATAATGCAGCAGGATTTTGATTGTCCCCTGATCTCCCATTCTTGGAGAAGCCATGCCATTTAATTTCAGAAATGGAGAGATCTTGACTGGCTGCCAAGAATCAGTTTTCAGTACAGATTTTATAGTTCCATTTATACACCCTTCCAAAGATCTGGGTTACATGGAAAGGTTTATGGTCTCTTTGCTCTGGTTTTGCTGGTAAAACAAATGAAGTTGCAATACAAATCTATCTACACAGCTTTGGATCCTACAGGATTATTTCTTCCAATTTTCAATAGAGGCCAAAATACAGCAAGAACCAGAAATTCTTCAGATAGCTTCTTGACTTTGAGATCAACACTGATTTCTCTTCCTGTCTCTCTTTGCTGTGCATGTTTATTTTTCTATTTAGCCTTTGCTATTTGCTCTGACTTGGGATATGTATCTTTTGGTAGGATTGGAAAATTATTTCATTTATCATCTAAATATCCAGAGGAAAACCTCATGTAGCTTTTTGGCATTATAAACAAGAAAGTATTGGGAATAAAGCAAGAATATGTGTGTGTGTGTGTGTGTGTGTGTGTGTGTGTGTGTGTGTGTGTGTCTGTGTGTATGTGTGTGTGTGTGTGTGTGTATATGTATATATATATATATATTTTTTTTTTTTTTTTGAAACAGAGTCTTACTCTATCACCCAGGCTGGAGTGCAGTGCACGATCTCGGCTCCCTGCAGCCTCCGCCTCCTGGGTTCCAGGGATTCTCCTGCCTCAGCCTCCTGAGTAGCTGGGATTACAGGCATCTGCCACCATGCCTGGCTAATTTTTGTATTTTTAGTAGAGATGGGGTTTCTCCATGTTGGCCAGGCTGGTCTCGAACTCCTGACCTCAAGTGATCTGCCCTCCTCGGCCTCCCAAAGGCAAGAATATATTTTATTTTAAAAATACCTTGGTGTTTATTTGGTGACTGTTTTCATGATCCTAGTTTATATAGAAAGTTCATAATTAGTTATACTAAAAATTTAGTAGGCAAGAGAAATAATGTTTTTAATTTTTGTTTCTGACAGTTTGTGTATGTAATGTTTCACCCCTGGAATGTAAGTTCCCTTGAACTACATTGTGAATCTTGTTTCTGGCAATTTCCTCATACTCTCTGTGCTCCCGCCAAACAGAACCACTTCCTTTTTTCTAAATATTTTCACGCTTTCCTACTTTGTAGCTTTCTCTGCTTTTTCTCCTCCTTCGAGCTCCATTTTGTCTCTCTAAAAGAGCACTTTTCATTGCTACATATCCACACTATTTTTTTCTTACTTCTTCTGGATTCTAACCCACAACTTGGCAACTTTCCTATGGACATAGAAAATTTCTCTTTTGACCTCCCACAGTACTTGCATTCCATCATTTCAATCTTCTTCTCTTTTCTCTTGTATTTTATACTTTTTCTCCCCCATCTTTATTTATCTTTTATCTATCCTATCTATCTATATCTAATCTATCAATTTTCCTCTGTTTGTTTCATTTTTCTCTAGTAGTTCTAATCTCCTTGTTCCCTCATTTATCCTTATATCTCCTTGCCATATCAGTATATCTTACTTATAATAGCTATTCATTAAATATTTTCTTGTAAGTCAATGAACAAAAATCCCTGCAAATCATTGATGCATAATAGATGATTTTTATTTCCTAATAATTATGGATTCCCTAACTGGATCCTTGTAACCACTTCAGGTTTTGCTTTCAATTCAGGCATTTTTAAGAATCACTCTGATTATGTAAAACAGGTAGGTAGTGGGCTAGAAATAATTAAGATCAGAGATGTAAAAGTGGAAGGAGGAAATAAGAAAAGTTTTTCTCATATTCTCTTTATTTTCTACCATTATATTGTTCTCTTTACAGGAAAAAAGGCAGAAAACACATCACCTTTCTTCTGCGTTATAAAATCCAGCAACTTTATTTTCTTTCCAAACTGAATAAGTTAATCTTTACTCTCCAGTGGGGTGAGGTTCTTTTCAGAAACAGCTTTATAGTGACCAGCTGCATTCTAGGTATTTCTCGAAATTTAAACAAAGACCACTTCTTTTTGCAGCAGTTGGTTTTTATTTTTACCAGTATGTAATTTTTTCAAATTGCCTCTGACACAATCTGCTGTGTATCTTTTACCACATACCATGACATTTGGAAAGGAAATGAGAGGTTTCAAGAGTGATTGTAAATCATTTTTGTCATAGTCATTGAGAGATATTTTGCAGCACGGCAAGGCGGCATTGACTTCAAGAGTGCAGGGAAAAATCATGTGTTATAGTTTTCATTATTATTATTATTATTATTATTATTATTATTATTATTATTATTTTTAAGATGGAGTCTTTCTCTGTCGCCCAGGCTTGAGTGCGGTGGGGTGATCTCGGCTCACTGCAACCTCTGCCTCCCAGGTTCATGCCATTCTCCTGCCTCAGCCTCCTGAGTAGCTGGGATTACAGGTGCCTGTCACCACACCCAGCTAATCTTTTGTATTTTTAGTAGAGACAGGGTTTCACCGTGTTATCCAGGATGACCAAGTGTGGTGGCTCACGCCTGTAATCCCAGCGCTTTGGGAGGCCGAGGCGTGCAGATCACAAGGTCAGGAGATAGTTTTCTTTATAAAACAGTATTATGTATAAATAATTGGAAATGTCTACGATTATCTTAAATTTTATTTTTAGCCTGCACAACTTTAAGAGAAATGAGTGCTATAATTTTAGAATTTTCTATGTAAATATGTTACAAAAGCTGGTTTATGCATATAGGATCATTTTAGTTAAAGACCCATGGACATATCTAGGAATTGCCTAAGTATATGCTCTTATGATGAACTTTGACAAGAGGATGCCACCAGAGGTATGAGAATCATTATTAGATAGTAGTGCCTTTCATGCTGTGAACAAGGTGGAAGAGACCAGCTTAAGAGAAGAGAACATTAGATAAACGGGGAAACATCTGAGTTAGAAGCTGAGGCCCATCTGCAAACCAAGATAGACAAGTCTCAATGAATGTAGAAAGACTTTGTTCCATTCCAGGCAGCTATCAGATTAATATGTCATAAGACAGGTCTTTTGAGGTTAGGAATGATGCTGCCTGCTTTGAAATTTCTAGACAGATCTCATGTTCATTTCTGGTACAGACAAGACCTTTTAGATGGAGAGTTGTACGCAAGGCAAGGAAGGTTGTTGCAGTGGATAGTTAAAATTCCTGGGAAAAAATGTTGCCAGTCTCCTGAGTAGAAAAGATCCTGCTAAAATGTGTATTACCGGTGTTTCTCTAGACAGCAGAGAACCAAATTTACAGAGAAACAAACTCTAGAAACCAGGGAATCTTTCTTCCTATCTTCAAATGATTGGCAAGTAAATTTAAATGTTGTTGTTCATTCATTCATTCATTCATTCATTCATTCATTCAAGTTAACATTTATTGAGAGCTACACTGAGCCTTTTAGCACTTTAGGTACTGGGCATGTAAGAATGAATAAGACAGAATACACCGGGCGTGGTGGCTCATGCCTGTAATCCCAGCACTTTGGGAGGCCAAGGTGGGCAGATCACTTGAGGCCAGGAGTTTGAGACTGGCCTGGCAAACATGGTGAAACCCCGTCTCTACTAAAAGTAGAAAAATTAGATGGGCGTGGTGGCACGTGCTTGTAATCCCAGCAAATCTGGAGGCCAAAGTGGAGGAATAACTTGAACCCAGGAGGTGGAGATTGCGGTGAGCTGAGATTGCACTACTGCATTCCAGCCTGGATGAAAAAGCGAGACTCCATCTCAAAAAACAAAACAAAACAAAACAAAAACAGAATACCTCACCTTGCTCTTAAGGAGCTTACCTTTTGACGTTTTGAGCAACGTGGTAGACTGATTGTATGAATGGCTCCAATTTTTCACCTTATCTGTTTATGTTTGCTTTGCTATGAGATTTTGAGTTCCTCTCACTAAAATGATAGTCTGTCTCTATGCATCTTGATTCTGCATGTAGCTATATGACTTGCTATGACCAATGACATTTTAGCAGATGGGAGTCACCTGAGGCATGAAAAACCATCTTCGCTCTTTTGTTTCTATTTTTACACCTTTGCCTTCAATTGTGAGAATACATCAGGATTAGCCTCCTGGAGGGATATGAAAAGCATATGGAACAAAGCCAAGTGACTCTAGCTGACAGCTGATCCACTCTCAGATATGTGAATGAGCCCAGCAGAGCTCAGAAGAAGTGTCAAGTCTAAATCACCAATCCATGGATTCATGGGCTAGATAAAAGCAGGAATTTTTAAATCTCTGAGTTTGAGGGGTTTGTCCTACAGCACTCTTATGGCAACCACATGATGTGGGAGATACAGATAAGTAAACAACCACAATACAGAGTGAGAAAGGGTGTGATAAAATGCACACCAGGGAGACTTTTGCTTCTGAAAAGGTGGAGTCATTTTTCCCTAGTTCTCTTGATAAGCACAGCTAAACACCCTGGCCTTTAAATTGAAGCAAACATAAGAAGGCTTGGAACGGTGTAGAGAAGGCAGACAGGTCAGGGTACTCATGACCTACATGCTTGCAGGGTGAGTTAAGTTTAAGTGAGTTCTTTTTCTGTCTCATATATCCCAGACTTGGAGTTGGAGAAACTGGAAACCCAGAAATGCCAACAGGTGCAGGAAAAAAAGAAAAAAAAAGCCCCAACCAAAGCCTGATTTCTGAGCAAAGAACCAGGAAAGAAGCAGCTTAGCAAGACAAAAAAAAGTTCGTTGATAACTGTTCTATTCCAGACCAGCATCACAAAAAGTACTGTGATCCCACCATAAGCCCCACCAGCAAATTTAAATTTAAATTTTAAAAAAAGCACATAGGGTGCTGAGGAGCTTTCTGCTGCCCCTGAGTTTTAAAATATCTTCTCAGGGGTTTTGCTCCTTGACGACGGAACCGCAAATGACCACCGTGGATTTGGATCAACGAAAAGAGTAGTAAGAAAACATTCTAGGCAGATAAATAGCAAAAGGATGTCTCTGGAGGCTTGAATGTGAATGTATTTATGAGTTCTCATGGCTCTGGCTTGATTATGATGTTGTTACAACTGCTGAGTCTACACCCATGAGTCCTCAAGTCTTTTTACTATCAATTCCTATTCCCCTTCTTTTCTCCTGCCTGTTGGTTTACCTCATGTGCCTCCTAGTACTAGGAATTTTGGAGGCCTGAGCTGTAGGTCTAATATCTTTAGGAAAGTTCTGCATCTACAGTCATGGTAACTGGAAAACTAAGCTAAAGCTTATAAAGCTGTTCTTTCTATATTTAAACATTTTTTTCATTGAAGTAAAATTTGCATACATTGAAATGCACAGACTGTACAATCTTGTGAGTTCTATAAATGCATACATAGAATTAACCGTGACCTCAATCAGAATATGAAATGATTCCATCATCTAGAACGTGCCTTTATTACCCCTTCCAGTCAGTCCTCACCTGGCATATACAGTCACTCTTCTAGTATTTCTTACTGTAGATTAGTTTGGCCTTTTCCTGTACTTTATATAAATAGATTCATTCAGAATATGGGGTTTTTGGAGTGTGTGTGTGCCTTAGGGTTGTACCAGTTTGCTTTCCTATGAATAGTGTTTTAGATTTCATTTCATATGACAGAGGAAAATGACAAATATTCAAAAGAGATTTGTCCTTCAGAAAAGTTAATTCCATGTAGTAGGTAATTTTCATATTTGTGCCTGATCATCATCTTTTTTTTCTTATTTTATTTATTTATTTATTTTTGAGACAGTCTCGCTCTGTCACCCAAACTGGAGCACAGTGGCACGATCTCAGCTCACTGCAACCTCCGTCTCCCAGGTTCAGGCAATTCTTGTGCCTCAGCCTCCCGAGTAGCTGGGATTACAAGGGTGTGCCACGATGCCTGGCTAATTTTTTTGTATTTTTCGTAGAGACAGGGTTTCACCATGTTGGCCAGTCTGGTCTTAAACTCCTTACCTCAGGTGATCTGCCTGCCTTGGCCTCCCAAAGTGCTAGCATTACAGGCATGAGCCACCATGCCAGGACTGATTATCATCTTTTGAATGCCCTTCCAATTTGGAGCAAAATTCCCATATTGTGAGTCCCAAATCTCCAATATATAATTCAGAACTCAGAATCAGCCTCTTGGCTGCTAGGATGCTGACATCTATTTAAGCTCCTCCTAGCAGACATTCTCTCAGGGAGCTTTGCTTTGGAAATGAACAAGGGGAACAGGCTCAGCAACAAACTTCAATTTTGCTTGTAGATGTACCCCTCTTTTGGTTTTGGAACAATGTTCTTGAAAATGTAGCCTTGGGTCTGTTGCTCCAGGTGTTCTTGTGATTCTGTGAGCTAACTAATATCTTTAATATTCAGCTTAAAAGATCCGGAGTGGATTCTGTTACTTGCAACCAAGAACTGTGAGTAGCGTACTCCATATGCCATGCAATTCACCTGTTCTCTCTCCCACCACCAGTATAAACAAATATTTATTGGAATTATGCCAAGTCACAAAAACATTTTAATGTGCCTTAAAAATAATCACAGAATACACAGCTTTTGGTTCAGTGGATGTTTCAGATATGACGTATTTTGGTGCACTTTAATTCATTGCAAGTTGATTATTCCTAATATAGCTTAGAATTTCTCAAGTGGTATTATATTCACAAGAGAGTCAAAACTGTTTATTAGCACATCTGATGGAAATATAATGCAAGCCACACATATAATTTAAAATTTTCTAGTAGTCACATTAGAAAAGCAGAAATAAACATGTATGATTTATATTAACAATATATTTTATTTAATCTAATATACACAAAATAGTGAGATCATTTTAATTATTTGCACTAAGTCTTGAAAATTCAGGGTGTCTTTTATACTTATGTTACATCTTAGTTTATTCTATCCACATTTCAAGAGCTCAAAAGCTACAAAGGCTAGTAGCTGTCAGACTGGGTAGCAGTAGCACCTCTCTGGGTGTGCTACCTTCAGCAATTTCTACATGTTCAGCTATCTAGAATCTCCTTAGATCCAGTTTGTTGTTGTTGTTGTTGTTACAGAGGTTTCATTACATAGGTATGACTAATTAAATCATTGACCAATAATCATCAATTCAATCTTTAGCCTCTCTTCCCTCCGCAGAGGTGGGGGTAGGGCTGAAAGTCCCAACCCTCTAGTCTCTTGGTTGGTTCCCGTGGCAACCAGACCCCATCCTGAGGCTATCCAGGAGCCCAAAGCCACCAGTCTTCTCACTGGCATTCACAAAGGCACTTATCACTTAAGAGATTCCAAAACTTTTAGTTATTGTGTGCCAGGAAACAGAGGAGGAAACCACATATATATTTCACAGTATCACAAGGTCGTAATACAAGGTCGTAATAAGCAGCATGGTAGTTGCATTGAACAAAGTTTTATTGTAGTTGCAGATCTCATTTTCAAAGGCCACACTGACATTGACATTGGTGTTGGGTAGAAGGGAGAGAAGTAAAGAATCACGTTTAGCTTTAGTTACAGAGTGGTGGTATATAAATAAACATGGTAGCCACCAACCTGGATAGAAAAATGGAAGACCAAAGCATTTCAGTAACATTTGTCTCAGTAGGACTGCAAACATAGCAGGTGTCTTCTGTGGGACACAGTGAAATCCCTCTTTCATTGCTGCTGTCACTTCTGCTGTTCCTGTGTGTTTTTTATCTTGACCTCTCTGCTGCTGGTGTTGCCACTTTTAATGCTGTTAAATACATTTCTTGGTTTAGAGGCCAGTGGCTTGGACCTTTAGTTATAGAGATCCTTTTTATTCTTTGTCTCTTTCTACACACACACACAAACACACACATGCACAAACACACACATATGCATGTATGCAACTACTTGATTAATCAACTACAAGCGGTTATGTTAAAGTCTCCCATACATTTTATTTTATTTTAAGTTCTGGGGAACATGTGCAGGATGCGTAAGTTTGCTACATAGGTAAACATGTGCCATGGTGGTTTGCTGCACCTATCAACCCATCACCTAGGTATTAAGCCCAGCCTGCATTAACTATTTTTCTTGATGCTCTCCTTCTACCCACCTGCCCCACTGACAGGCCCCAATATGTGTTATTCTCCTCCCTGTGTCCATGTGTTCATCGTTCAGCTCTCTCTTATGAGTAAGAACATGGTTTTCTGTTCCTGTGTTAGTTTGTGGAGGTTAATGGCTTCCAGCTCCATCCATGTCCCTGCAAAGGACATGATCTCATGGTTTTTTTTTCTAATGGCAACATAGTATTCTATGGTGTATAAATACCACATTTTCTTTATCCAGTCTATAATTGATGGGCATTTGGGTTGATTCCATGTCTTTGCTATTATTGTGAATAGTGCTGCGATGAACATACATGTGCATGTATCTTTGTAATAGAATGATTTCTATTCGTTTGAAGTCTCCCATACCTTTTTTAGTTCTCTATTTCTCTATGTGTTTCTAATGATTTTTGTTTTGATTTAATGCTGTGCAATTTGATGTGTAAACATCCATGACTGATATATGTCCTCATTTTGGATTATATTTGTTATCAAAGACATAATTGCACTGTTTATGTCTTGTAATGCTTTTTTGCTTTGAATTCTGCCTTACATTAATACTCTACCTTTCTTCCATTTTCTTTTTTATTGTTTTGTATATCTTTGTTCATTCCTTTACTACTGTTATCTTTGTCACTTTATTTGAGATGTGTCTGTTATAGGCAAGCATATATATACTTATAACCCCATCATCAGTTAATAGTATTGGGGGAATCATATATTTAATATGTTTAGTTTTATTTGTGTCACCAATTTTAATATTTTTGTGTGATTTCTTGTTCTTTCATTAAAAATATGCTTTGTACTATTTTTTAGTAATTTTAGAAAAAGTATATATACATATTTAGTATATCTATTCCTTTAATACTTAATATTAACACGAGCAATACCCAGGTTCTTCCCTATGTAATATGAAAATACTGGTATAATTTCATTTCCTTCTAGCTTTTTCCCTCTCATTTCCTCATTTTTGTTAGTACAGTCTAGAATTTTATACCACTTATAAATATGGGTCTCTTTTGACTGGCAGGACTATGTTTTGGAGACTTTGCCTTTTTCTTTGTTTCTCCCTTTTTGGAAAGAACCTCAGGTGGTGTATTTTCTGATGTCTTGCATTTTGAGAATGCAAGACAGTAATTAATGCAAAATTATTAATCAGTATTTTTGAGTGTTATAAGTCCCAGATCACAACCTTTGCCCTGAAACCTCCTTTTAATTTAATGCATTTGCTTAAATAAACAAATATTAAGGACAGCACAGAACTGAAGCAAT
The DNA here is from genome assembly GCF_000001405.40 of Homo sapiens. NCBI lineage: Eukaryota > Metazoa > Chordata > Mammalia > Primates > Hominidae > Homo > Homo sapiens. Next base: position 24,734,737 of record NC_000008.11, on the reverse strand, counting down.
GATACAATCCATTTCTGTACAGTTAATTCTTAAAACTTCTTTTCTGCTACCTTTATTCTGTCTTAACTCCCAATCATTATGTCTTATAAAATTCTCCTTGTCTTGAAATTTTATTGGTAGTGCAAAATAGATGTAAAATTGTCATTTTTCTCCTTTTCAAAAATCGTTATTTTTTTTATTCTCTTGAGTATACTATTTTCTCCATTTATGATGCAGAATTTTTTCATGTGCTTTGCTGTGTTTGCTCTGTTCATTTGTCTTTGTTTCAGGAGAGCTTTCTCCTGGCTTGATACTTGGCTTACTGCTGGGTCGCTGGACTGGTGCCTTATCACCGTGTTGGCGTTGGGTTGCTGGATCCCTTTACACTCTGCTCCATGGAAGGCTGCATTCAGTGATTCAGTGATCCAGCTGCCCAAGGGAGTGGAGAGGGACCAAGATTGTGGTTGAACTGCAGAGTTTCTTTCCCATGATAATGAAGCTGTTGAGTTAGAAGCCAACCTTCTTCTAGGTTTTCCTTCATCTTGGCCTATAATGACAGTTCAACAGTTCCCAAACTTGCTTGCAAAAATTAAATCAGAATGTCTGGGAAAAAATAGCGAGGCATGAATATTGTTTAAAGGTCCTAAATGCTTCTGTCACATAGCTGGACTTGAGAATCATGGCAATGGGTGGCTGTGAACGGACTCCTAGGAGTTACTGCAGCAGAAGCCTCATCACCTGCTGATGTTCTCCTTAGTTCTCCTAGAACAATTGCTTTTGTGTGCTGTTGTTCAGTGGTGGTGAAAATGACGTTAAGTGGAATTTACTCCTCATTTGAAAACCTTCATTTGTCTTTAGATTTTTTTTCTTCAAATGTGAACATTTATGACATTTTGCATGTCTGTCCTGTCTACCACCTGAGGCATCATCCTGCTTTCTCTGTAATGAAATTTGTGAGTTGATTGTTTGCAACACAACTAGAATATCTACCTACTTGATTGAACTTTTGCTTGTTTTTCATTGTGGATGCTGGATTTTTCTTTTTTTTTTCTTTTCTTTTTTTTTTTTTTGAGACAGAGTCTTGCTCTGTCACCCAGGCTGGAGTGCAGTGGCGCAATCTCAGCTCACTGCAAGCTCTGCCTCCCAGGTTCACACCATTCTCCTGCCTCAGCCTCCTGAGTAGCTGGGACTACAGGCGCCTGCCACTACGCCCGGCTAATTTTTTGTATTTTTAGTAGAGACGGGGTTTCACCACGTTAGCCAGGATGGTCTCGATCTCCTGACCTTGTGATCCACCCGCCTTGGCCTCCCAAAGTGCTGGGATTACTGGCATGAGCCACCGCGCCCAGCTCTCTGTATTTTTATATTTCTCTTTTTTGTGGGACAGAGTCTTGCTCTGTCATTCAGGCTGGAGTGCAATGGTATGATCTCAGTTCACTGCAACTTCCGCCTCCTGGGTTCAGGAGATTCTCCCGCCTCAGCCTCACAAGTAGTTTGGATTACAGGCACATGCCACCACGCCCAGCTAATTTTTTTGCATTTTTAGTAGGGACAGGTTTCACCATTTTGGGCGGGTTGATCTTGAACTCCTGACCTCAAGTGATCAGCCCGCCTTGGCCTCCCAAAGTGCTGGGATTACAGGCATGAGCCACCATACCTGGCCTATTTTTATATTTCTTTGGGCATTTTAATTGTTAGTTAAGAGGGACAAAGATGCTATGCTTCATAATAATTATTAGAATTATTATAACTACTGTGTAATGAGTACATAGTATTCTTAGACACCATAGCTATAAACCCTACAGGAATTATTATATTTAATTTTCACAACAATTTTGAAAGGTAGACATGCTATGGCCATTTTATAAATGTCATAGTTATCATTTTATAAATGTCATTAGTTGTCTTCTTACCTGAAAATCTTCAGTGGAATTGTGAAAAATAATGAAAATCACTCCACCATGTGCTACTGTGATGACGGTTTCCAAGAGGATAGATAAAATGGTTAATTGAAGGCATTTCGCTACTGCAAATTCAGGCCAACCCAGGACCAGGCTCAATGAGAATCAAACCTGATGGTACCACTGAAAACCATTCTCTAGCAAATATTAGCTAGAACTAACCTTATTAGCCCAGTTCCTTTCATTCTTCCAGCATTAATTCCCAGCACTCCTAGTGCCTTAGACCTAATGATGAATTTGGAATTTGGTGCCTACATGAATCCTGAAACTTACCTAATGAATCTGCTCACACCGTGTGTGGGTTAGTTTGTTTGAATGGTCCTCAACTCAGTTACCTGTTGCCTGGCCCTTCCATGGTTACCTTTGGAGAACGTAACCTCATTTTGAATGCCTGAGAGTTGACTAAGAGTCATGGCCTTTTCATCTTTTGTTTACCTGTTCTTTTCCGTAGGGCTCTGTTTGGCTTCACATCTCCCTTGTCCTACCTTAAATGGGCTTATTTTACCTGCTGAGAATGGCTCCTGCCTTACAATCTAGATATTGCTTTCCTGGGTTGTCTTTGAGTGGACTCCATCTTGCTCATCGAGTTTTAGTTATGCTGATTTTTTCTTTTCCCCAGTCTCTTGGGTACACACATGCATGCTGCTGTTCCCTTCAGGAAGGAAATGCTCCTGCTGCCCGGTCAGTTTTCCCAGTTTCCCACTGGGCGCTGGTATCAATCTCTTCTTTTGTCCACCATAATAAAATACTTCACATGCCATGAGGTCAGGAGAAAATTGCTTCTGACACTTGTGAGTGTGTGGCTTGAATTTCTCACCTCTCTTTTTGCAGGGAGGTTCCTTTGTTTCTCATGCAATTGAGATTCCTAGAGGCCTACCCTATTTTTTTTCTCCCTGTGGTAGAAACTCCCTTTCAGAACTTCTGTGACATAAACTTTAGTAAAACTCCAAAAATATTTACTTTGCCATTAAAAATTTTCCGTCTTGAAGTCTCAACCAGAACTAAGTATCACCTGTCTCTGGTTATGAAGGCAGAAGAGCATAAAATCTTTGGACACTGAGAAAATTTCAGTCTACCTAGGCACATCACAATTAAAGAATGTGTGATATATTTGGATTGGTGTTAAGAATGTTGGCCACAAGTATTAAGCTCTCATTCCTTTTAAATCATTGTGTATCCATCTCCTGAACGCTGAAGGTTTTCAGTATGTTGACGAGCCCACTCTATTATTTGTCTGTCTTATCTCACCAGGAGGTTCTCACCCAGGTGTTCAAAAATGTCAATCTTTGAAATTTCAGCAGTGTTCTCAATTCCAGAAAGACAGCACTTAGCTGGGGAATTGATTGGAAGCTTTGAACAAGAAGGTCAGGTGGCTAAGGAATAGAGCACCACAGCAGGGACAGCAATGAGAAAAGAGTGTTTAGAAAGTTTATTTTGAGTCCTTGGCTGACTTTATTCTCACGATGTGAGAAGATTGGTGGAGGAAAGAGCTTACAGCTTGATACCTTGGGACGTCAGCTCCTCCAAAATACACTTGTCTCTTCAGGTGTTTGCTGAGACCTGGCATGAAAACAAGCCCCCACACTGTAGCAGGCAAGACACAATCCAGCAACAGAACTTTTTTTTTTTTTTTTTTTTTTTTTTTTTTCAGATGTATTCTAACAGGAAATTACTCTTGCACTGCAGGTTTGGAGGTGGAGACCCTTGGGAGTAAGTGACAGAAAGGAATTAAACAGGAGGACCTTTTCATTACTTAAGGGCAGTAGGGGGTGTGATTTTTTCAGCTTCTGCTTTTCAGCCCTAGTAGTTAAAAATAAAACTCATAGTTGTTCTTCCAAAAATCTTCTGACCCTGGCCAATTCCATGGTTCCCCATTAATTATTTCTATGTTAAGAACTCTTCTTTTTCTCTTGGTTTTTGAACAAGACAAATGTTTTCTATCTTAGAGGCAAGTGTGTTTTTAATCAGGGCATGTTGCAACTGATGTCTATATTGAACCACACTAGGAGGAAGAATTCTATTTCCTCACTAATAGATCTCATAGGGAAAAAAATATCAACTTCTTTATATTTAAAAAATTTCCTTGCAAAGAAACGCATCCCTTTGAGCCACCAACTCAAGGGGATATTTGCTTCCAATTTTACGTCTCCCTCCTGCCTCCTAAACAAATCTTTGTCGTTAGCAAGAGGAATGAGTATTTCTCTTAAATTTCAAATAGTCTTCCTTGAAATAACATGAGCTCAATAGAACAGAAAAGAAGACACTAGGTGTCAAATAATAGAAATAGGTAACATTTATTAAGTGCATATAATATGCCAGACATAGTACTCAGCTCTTTTGATACAACATGTTTTTAATTCTTACAGAGATTTTATGAAATGTCACTGTCCTCATTTAACAGATTCAGAACTAAAGGTTCATAGATGTTAAGGAGGTTGTTCAGGGTTGTACAATTTATGAAGGTCAGGGCTTGGTTTTAAACCTGGGATTGTCTGCTTTCAGAACCCCACTTTGTATCCATTATGCGGTGATTACTCTTGCTAAGGAATTATCATTTAAGACTGGTGGGAATGTGTATTTTATTTCATTATTAATTTAAGGTAATCACTCAAGCAGGCAGAGTATTTATTCAGCATTTACAGCCTTTGTGGCCATCACTGCATCAGGCATCAGTTCTATTGTGTTAAAATCTAAGCAGAATGTAGAATATAAATTATTGAGTTGCTAAGTTTTAAGATCACCTGGAGCAATGACAGGAGCTTTTGAGAGCACCTAGTGGAATGAGAGCTGAATGCGGTATCAGAACGCAGATGCTCCTTGACTTACAGTGGGGTTACGTCCCAATAAATCCATAATGAGTCAAAACCATTGTAAGTTAAAAATGCATTTGATACCTCAATAAACACATTATCAGGTCAAAAAATTGTAAATCAAGCCACCATTAAGTTGGGCACCATCTGTATACTAATATCAGAAATCTGCAAGGAGGACTTACTAGGTATATAACATTCAAAACATTACCAGTCTTTTCCAGCTTCAGTGCCTCCATCTGCAAAATAGTTGCTTGTGTTGGTAACATGCTTTATTGCTGACAGAAATTTCGCTGTAATACATTTTCTTATTTTGATCTCACTAGAACCAAATAAAACAAGAATAATTTTACAGATGATAAAACAAGTTCAAAGAAGCTAAGTGGCTTGCCTGAAGCCAAATAGATACTAAGTGGCAGAGAGGGGAATGTACATCAATTCTAATGTAAAATCAAGTGCCCCAAATACTTCACACAATTGTGAGAAACAAGTAACATAAACTGTGGAAATGCTTTACAGTCTACAAAACTCTATGAATATTAGCCATAGTGATAATGAAATTTTAACTATTCAGCATATTTATTATTGGAAACATAATTCTTAGTGAAGAGTTACACCTTTGGTACCCAGGATGTTTGTAGTGGGATAGGGGAATATGATAGAAAAGGACTCTCTTTGGCTGAAATATGTGTGCAACAAAACCCCGTAGTTACGCAGCATCCAGATCTTAGAAACATTTTATATTCACGATGGAAGATATCTCATTAAAAGGAAACTGCCTATACAAATGTAAACTACCATATGCATAATATCTCTGAAAGTCCCACAATATCTCAGGCTCTTGGAAATGACAGAGAAGTATGACCCTGTCCTTCCAGGCATTTGAGAAGGGGGAAAAGTCTTTTAGACACTGGATGCTTGGAGTTTGTTTCAGGGCCCTAGGATGCCTGCATGCTATACTTCTGGGTCTACCTGAGCTGGGGGAGCCTGCCTTGACTTCCCTGGCAGTCTCACTGCCCTCTCCTTCTTCTCTATTATCCTAGGAGCCCATAGCCCCCTGGAGCACCCCCTGCTGTCCCCTTAGGCTTCCTCTCTAGTGATGCCACTACTTTTTGTTAATTTATCTTGAAGACTAAACCTTTCATAGAATGTGAAGAGTTCATAACCAAGCCCATAATAAAATGTGGAAATGATCAATTCAAAGTACTTGGGTACAAAAATGAGTAGAACACACACACACACACACACACACACACACACACACACACACACAGAGAGAGAGAGAGAGAGAAAGTCACAACTAAAAGAACATGAAAAAAACAACATAGTTCTAAGCAGATCTGGAGAGGAACACAGGACTGGAGGACAGAGAGGAATCTAGTTCTTTGTTCACTAGTGTGTGTTCACGAATTGCCTGACAATTCTGTGGGTGAATTATAATTGTTGGGCTCCAAGAGGAAGACAGGCAAAGGAGAAACCAGAATATTGACTGAAGGTATTAGAGGAATCAGAAATACAATACTTGTTGTTGGAAAATCTAGGATGTGTTAGGCTTTATGTTAGACCAAACTTTCTCAATCCGGATACTATCAATATTTTAGACTGGATAATTCCCTGTTTTGGGGACTATACTGAGCATTTTAGTCCATTTACATGCATCCATGGCCTCCATCCACTAGATGCTAGTAGCATCCCCCTCCAAGCTGTGGCAACCAAAAATGCCTCCAGACTTTGTCAAATATGTTTTGGTAGAAGGAAGGAAAGAATTGTCTAGGCAAAATCATCACTGATAGAAAATCACTGGTTTAAACTTTTGATCTAAAAATTTGCCGAGTTAGAAAAAAAAATGGAGACCCAATATAGAATATGGTAGATTATTGACAGTGATAATCTTTTGCAATAATGAGGATACAGATAGCTTTTTATCCTCGTTTGCTTCTCTACACTTTTAAAAAATGAAGAACGTGCATTACTTGTGCAATCAGAGATAAAGAATTATTAATAATGTTCTTGAAAGTAAAGATACTCAGACTAGGTTAATGGGTACTCTGGTAAGCAAGGGTACACTCTGATAAAATAGGGACTCTTGGTGTTCTACTGAGATGAAATAGAGAAGAAAATCAGATCAGATCGGGGAAGCAGGGCATTCACAAAATAAGAAGAAAGGATGAAGAGAACAAAGAATCAGGATGAAAATGAGGCTTCCAAGTATCAAAGACTCCTTTCATCTGCTCTGGGATGGGGCTGAGCTCCCAAACACTAAAGCATTGAATGGTGACATTTGATTGTGTACCATATGAAAATGTGTTAAAAGTAAGCATTGACAAATACAAATGATTGTACATGGTGGATGGTGTTTCTACAACTTTATATCTGTATTATTTTCTTGCTTATCACTCAGAAGTATTGCAGTCTTTGTCAGGCTGTCTTGCCTATTAAGGGGTCTTCAGCAAATCCTCCCTTAACTAGAGGGATGCCTATGATCACAAGATGAGAGAAGGCACAGAAGGATTAAGCACTCCATTCAGATGATGATTGTTGTAGGACACAGGCTTCTTTCCTTCCTTTCCTTCAAGGTTTCCATCATAACAAGATTAAAGCCTTTGAATGTAAAATGCAGTTCAAGCTACCAGTGTGACCTCATTGCACATGGACCTGGGAAGAAATGCAAACAACAAAAAGATGCCTTCATTAGCTGGTATGAGCTGGCTCCAGCACACCAAAGCCTATGACAGAAGGTTCTGGGAGGACTCAGTAAAAATCTGCTGGAAAAGTGCTGAGCATGGTATCTGGAAAACAGCAGGTGTTCAGTAATATTTGCATGTGCCTCCTGGTGCTCCTGACTTTTCGCAGCATGCCTTTTCCACAACATCAGGCCGCTTTTCTATGATGCTGTGCACTGCCTATGAATCACGTCGGCAGTCGACCGGGCTGGAATGATTAATACAAGTGCGGCGTTGCTTGTCCCTAGATGCTGCCAGAGCTCACTTAATGCATTCCTGTTGTTTTGGAATCACAGTTAAAATCATTTATCAAAGTCAGGCTGCCTGAGAGTTTTCTCCCCACTTGAGCGGCATCACTCCATTCTTTATCTCCTATACTACAAGGTCAGCCTCTGGGTCTATCCTCATCTTGGAGGATTTCAATCGTTTTTGGCAAGAAGCATCTGTTCCACTTGCAAACAGTCCTTCAGGTTTCTGCTGCCATTGCCTCTGGTGGCCAGAGGACAGCCTGAGCATGCTTGTGTTTCTGGGAAGCCTGTATTTACAGTAATAGGGTACTTCTTTCTTGGCTAAGGGGCTATCTCACCTAATAATAATTCAAATCATAATGGAAAATCTTTTCCAAACATACACTCTGTGATCCTCCAGTTCTCTGTTATCTAAATCATATTATATTTACAAACATTTAAATGCACTTAAATCTTAGTGAAGGTTGTAAAGCGAAAATGGAATTTGTCTGCTTTTGCTTCTAATTCATTTCTCCCTCTGTGTCTTTTTAGAATACTGTCCTTTTCACATGATATGCTCAAAACCACAAGCTGATTTTCCACTCTCACTCTTGCTGAATCTTTCTTCTCATTATTTCCAAGCTCCTGTCTGCTAAACAATAAAAGGAAGTTCCAAGTTAATCTAAGAAAATGATTTCTGCTGACTTTAGCTCTCACTGTGTAGTTCTTTTTAAATCATGCAACTAATATTATTGGAAATATTAATATATGTACCTCCCAAAGGTCCTGAGAAATGTGACTAATTGTGTCAGGGACAGACAGGATTGTAGAAGAATGTGTACAGGTGGGAGAGAGGGATTTTGTCAAGGACAAACAGGATTGTAGAAGAATGCAGGTAGGAGAGAGGGATTTTTGGGATGCAGGTGGCCCTAAAACATTGCAATGTAGGCGTCATGACAGTGTAACCAAACAAGCTTCTCTGACTCCGGTGGGGATAACAATATAACCTAGAGAATAATTTCTAAAACTCTCATTCAAACTTTTAAAATGATCAGGTCTATAGCTTCCTTATTACATTGGGCTTAATGAACTATGGCTCACAAGAGACATACATGGAAAGGAAGGATGATGTTTTGCTGGAACAGTTTCTCAGGCTCTGAGTCTAGCAAAATTCTGTATTATATTTTTCTAGAACAAACAGAACTGTTAAAGCAAACTACCGTATGCTAAGTGGGTAGTGATTCCTATGAGTTTAGGTGAATTAGATCACAGAGATATTCCACTTACATGGTATCTTTTATTGGAGTCCTGAATTCTTCCTAGTACAAGCATACATTGGAGACATTGTGGGTTCATTTCCAGAGCACCACAACGAAGAGGCTATCACAATAAAGTGAGTCATATGAAATCTAGATTTAGTCATTCTACAATGTATATATACTTCAATAAATCATATTACACATGATAAATACATACAACTTTATCTGTTAATTACAAATAATAGAAATTTTACAAAATAAAAAAATCTTTGCTTTCCTGGTGCATATAAAACTTATGTTTATACTATACTGTAGTCTATTGTGTGCAATAGCATTAGTCTAAAAAGTTAAAGTACATACCTTAACTAAAATATACCTTATTGCTTAAAAAATGCTAATAGTCACCTGAGACTTCAGCAAATTGTAAATGTGTTGCTGATGGAGGGTCTTGCCTCAATGTTGATGGCAGCTGACTGATTAGGGTTGTGATTGCTGAAGGTTAGAGTGGGTATAGCAGTATCTTAGAACCTCTATACAACAATGAAGTATGCTACATTGACGAACTCTTTATTTTATGAAAGGTTTCTCTGTATCATGTAATGCTGTTTGATAACATTTTATCTATAGTAGAACTTCTTTCAAATTAAAGTCAATGCTCTCAAACCCTGCAGCTGCTTTATCAACTACGTTTATGTAATATTCTAAACCCTTTGATGTCATTCCAATAATGTTCACAGCAGCTTTACCAGGAGTAGATTCCATCTCAAGAAACCACTTTCTTTGCTCATCCGTAGGAAGCGTCTTCTCATCTTTCCAAGTTTTATCATGACATTGCAGCAATTCAATCATATCTTCAGCTTCCACTTTTAATTCTAGTTTTCTTGCTGTTTCCACCACATCTGCAGCTACTTCCTTCACAGAAACCTCGAACCCCTCAGAGTCACTCATGAGGGTTGGAATCAACTTCTTCCAAACTCCTGTTCATGTAGATATTTTGACCTCCTCCCATGAATCATGAAAGTTCTTAATGGCATCTAGAATGGTAAATCCTTTCCAGAAGGTTTTCAATTGATTTTGCTCAGATCCATCACAGGAATCACAAATAATAGGACTTGAAAATCACAATTACTCCTTAATCCATGGGTTACAGATACTGTAGATTTGTGGATACTGTGTTAGCAGGTGTGAAAACATTAATCTCCTTATACATCTCCATCAGAGCTCTTTGGTACCTAGATGCATTATCAATGAGCAGTCATAGTTTGAAAAAAAGTATTTTTTTTTTCTGAGGAGTAAGTCTCAACAGTGGGCCAAAAATATTCAGTAAACCATGCCACAAACAGATGGGCTGCCATCCACACTTTGTTTTTACATTTATAAGAGCATAGCCAGAGTAGATTTAGCAGCATTCTTAAGGACCCTAGGATTTTCAGAATGGTAAATGAGCATTGGTTTCAATTTGAATTCACCAGCTGCATTAGCCCCCAACAAAAGTCAGCCTGTCCTTCAAAAACTTTGAAGCCAGACCTTGACTTCTCTCTAGCCATGAAAGTCATAGATGGCATCTTCTTCCAATGGAAGGCTGTTTTGTCTGTATTGAAAATTGGTCACTTAATGTGGCCCCCTTCATCAATGATCTCAGCTAGATCTTCTGCATAACCTGCTGCAGCTTCTATATCAGCATTTGCTGCTTCAACTTGAACTTTTGTGTTACAGAGATGGCTGGTTTCCTTAGACCTCATGAACAAACCTCTGTTAGCTTCAAACTCTTCTTCTGCAGCTCCCTTACCTTTTTTAGACTTAATAGAAATTGAAGAGAGTTAGGACTTTGCTCTGGTTTATGCTTTGGCTTAAAAATATTTTTTGGCTGGTTTGATCTTCTATCCAGACCGCCAAAACTTTCTTCATATCAGCAACAGGCTGTTTTGCTTTCTTACCATTCATGTGTTTGCTGGAGTAGCACATTTAATTTTCTTCAAGAGCTGTGCCTTTGCATTCACAATTTGGCTAACTCTTTGGTATAAGAAGCCTAGCTTTTGGCCTACTTTGGCTATTGACATGCCTTCTCAACTAAACTTAACCATTTCTAGCTTTTTTTTTTTTTTGGACAGGATTTTGTACTGTTGCCTAGGCTGGAGTGGAATGGCACAATCACGGCTCACAGCAGCCTCAACCTCCTGGGTTCAAGGGAGCCTCCCCACCTCTGCCTCCTGAGTAGCTGGGACTACAGGCATGTACCGCCATGCCCAGCTGATTTTTAATTTTTTGTAGGGACAGAGTCTCTGTGTGTTGTCCAGGCTGGTCTCAAACTCCTTCCTCAAATAATCTTCCCGCCTCCACCTCCCAAAGTGCAGGGACTACAGGCTTGAGCCACCATACCTTGCCCATTTCTAGCTTTTGATTAAAGTGAGGGACTCACTCTTCCTTCCACTCGAACACTTAGGTGCCATTGTAGGGGTAATTAATTGTCTAATTTTAATATTGGTGTGTCTCAGAGAATAGGGAGGCCTGAGGAAAGGGAGAGGGATGGGGAAACGGCTCATCAGTGGGCAGTCAGAGCATACACACATAGCATTTATTAAGTTTGCCATCTTATATGGGCACAGTTCATATTGCCTTAAAGCACATACAATAGTAACATCAAAAATTATTGATCACAGACTACCATAACAGAGAGAAAATAGTAACAAAAATGCTGAAATATTGCAAGAATTACCAAAATGTTACATGGAGGCATGAAGTGAGCACACATTGTTGGAGAGATGGTGCCGAAAGACTTGCTGGCTGTAGGGTTGCCACAAACCTTTAATTTGTAAAAGCAATATCTGCAAAGCGCTATGAAGCAAAGCACAACAAAACCAGCTGTGCCTGTAAATGGAACTTTGCCCTTTATAAATATTTGTTAATGTCACTAGTTTCTGTTGTCCTTTCATGTCACTGGATTTACTTATTTTGCCAGGATGACTTGGATTTTCGACATACTGTTACTCTATGTCTTACTTTGTCCCTGGAATGTCTCTCTTGACTCAGAAGAGAGGAGACATTTACATCTGCACACTTGGTGGAGGTTCTGCTGAATCTGTTTTAATGGGGGCTGTTTTCTAGTGTAGATTTCTCACATGGACACCTTCAGTTGGTGAACCGATCTATCAACCAACATTATTGATTGAGCACTTTTGTTTACAAGACAGCAGGCTGCAGTTGGTTACAAGAACAATAATGTATTATATATCTGTCAGAGGTCTTTTTGGCAAAGGAAAGCTCTGAATACACAATCTTATTTTATTCTCTCTGAGGGATATTCATGGAAAATAGATTGTATTCCAGCTCTGCATCTATTCACACAAACTCAAAGATAGTTCATGAGTTGCTCAAGGTCATGGAGAGTGAGAGTGAAAGCTGACATCTTATGTCATAATCAAAGAGGTAAATTAAATGGTCATAGAATACTTTCAAGTCATTCAGCTAATGCGGTACCTAAGATCTCCATTCTGCATATTCTTGAGAGCTTGTTTCAGCAAAAACAATTTTTGCAGGAGGTAATCAGATTATTGACACTATCAATCTTCAGAACACGGGGTCAGCATTGACTTGCCTCTTGGCCATTCTCAATAGCTGGACAAGGTAAGCATAATCACGGGCAGATTTCATTTCTCCTTGTTCAATTTGTGCTTACCTACAGGGGTTCTTCAAATACAAGCTGCTGCCTCAGAACCACTCAAGTGTATTGTAATTTTTGCCTCTCAAAGCTGAGATCTTCTGATTAGGAGTTGACAAGAATAAGACTTTGACCTTCTATCCAGTGGTGGGGAAATATGTGTTGGCATTTATTTTTAAAATGCTGAAGTAGAGGTTAAATTGACAGCCACCATTGACCTTGAGGAAATGTTGGGGTCTTGCTACCAGAAAAAATGTCTAAGTCTTACAACCACTTAACGAAGTACAGTCATGATGGGGATACATTCTGAGAAATGCATTGTTAGGCGATTTCATCATTGTATGAACATCATAAAGTGTACTTTCACAAACCTAGATGATATAGCCTACTATACACTTAGGCTATGTGGCATATAGCCTATTGATCCTAGGCTGCAAACCTGTACAGCAGGCTACTATATTGAATACTATAGGTAATTGTAAAATGATGGTATTTGTGTTATCTAAACATATCTAAACATAGAAAAGGTACAGTAAAAAATAAGATATAAAAGGTAAAAATTTGGTACATTTGTATAGGGCACCTACCATGGATGGAGCCTGCAGGACTAGAAGTTGCTCTGGGTGAGTCTATGAGTGATTGATGAGTTAATGTGAAGGCTTAAGACATTGCCGTATGCTACTGTAGACTTTGTAAACACTACACTTAGGCTACATTAAATGTATAAAAATATTTTTTCTTTGTTCAATAATAAATTAACCTTAGCTTACTGTGACTTATTTACTTCATAGTTTTTTTTAAACCTTTTGACTCTTTTGTAATAATACAGCTTAAAACACAAACATATTGTACAGTTGTACAAAAATGTTTTCTTTTTTAATATCCTTATTGTATAAGCTTTTTTCTATTTTTAGAATTTGTTATTCTTCTTTTAACTTTTTAAACTACTGGCATCATGCAGCAGGTTTCTTTACAACAGAATCACCATAAGCACGTGAAGAATGCATTGCACTGTAACATCACGACAGCTACGAAGTCACTACAGTTACATCACTAGGCCGCTGGAAATTTTTACCTTCATTATAATCTTATGGGTTCACAGCTGTATATAAGATTCATTGTTGACTGAAATGTTGTTATGCAATGCAAGACTGTAAATGGCTTCAGCACTGTTTCCTAAAGAGATCATAAAAAACCAAAATATTGAAGTCATAACTTGTAGACACCAATTTTGTTAATTTTGGATAACAGTAAATGTCAGTTGCCATGGTTATGAGTGGTGAGATGGGGAGGGTCAGGCTTATTAGCCATGTTATTACGAGTCATAATTTTTGGCCTTCTTCATGACTAATGACCTTTGATTGGGTGCCAACACTGTGCATTTTTCCTTTCTTCTTTTTTGCTGGATATTTTTGTATTACTATGAATATTCTTTACTTTTGTTTTGGCATGCAGTTATTTGGAAACAGTTTAATCCTTTGGAATCTGGCTTTTAAGATTTGTTAGGTGGGATCAGGGCAGTACATTTGCCCACTCCTGAGGCAAAATTATTCTGAGTATTCTACCCAACACTCCATAAAACGTAAGGTTTTCCAATCTATCTCCTGACAACAGAAATGATCTCTAGACCTGTGTGACCACTGGGTATAGATTTCACTGATCCTTAAGAGGGTTCTTTCTCCTGGCCAGCAGCCATTTTCTCATGGGTGTGCATGTCATTAATTCCAGCAGGACCTTCTGCAGATCTCCAAGTCACTCTGTGCAGCATCTCCTCTTTGATATGCCGTCCTGAGATGTCTGATTGCCTTGCTCTCCTTAAATTTAGTTCTGTCTCCTTAACTCACTGAGTCTGGGGCCTCTGCTTGGATTCCCCCCTCCCTGCGTTGGAGTCCAGAGACTCTCAAGGAAATAACCTGGGGAAACTGTAGGTCTGATGTGATTTGTTTTTCTTCTCTCAGGCAACACTGTCTTTTGTTGCCTGATGTACACTTTCTTAAAATTGTCGTTTTATATATTTTGTCTTGTCGATGTTCTTTCAGGTGAGACAGTAAATCTGGTCCCTGTTACCATATCTTAGCCAGAAGTAGAAGTTCGTTTTGATTATATGAACAATAGCAACTGTAACCAATAAATCAAATAAAGCTATTGTCAAAAGCCAAATCCAACCAAGAGAGGCTGGAGCCAAGAAAAATGCCATTTTACAACAGCTAGCTCCTGATGGCTGCCAGATCGGATAAAGGGATGGGTTGAGACAAAAGAATAAGGACCCAGGTGCTTGAATGCTGGCTCAGAGACTAAGTTTTCATAACATTTCTATGCCCTTTCATTTATTTTTTAAAAGTGGCAGTGCTCTTGAGTTATCAATCAACATTTATCCATCTATTTAAATATTAATACAGTACAATTTTTTGTGACATACCAATATCTGGCATGGGAGGTTATTTGCTCTATCATTATGAACAGACTTCTTCTAATTTAGGGGAACCACTCTTTTTTTTTTTTTAATTTGATCCAAAAGATTAGTAAATCCGTATAGAGCATTTTTGCCCTTAACACAGAAGATTGTCTTCCAAGGAGGAATTTGTGAGAGATTGCTGTTGGTTTCCTCTATTCTTTCTAGGATTTGATCCTCAATCATGAGTTGAGAGCCTTCATCAAAGTCTTTTCAGTTTTTATTTTTTTTTGGAGACACAGTTTCACTCTGTCACCCAGGCTGGAGTGCGGTAGCGCAATCTCGGTTCACTGCAACATCCACCTCCCGGATTCAAGCGATTTTCCTGCCTCAGCCTCCTGAATAGCTGGGATTACAGGTGTGTGCTGCCACGCCCAGCTAATTTTTGTATTTTTGGTAGAGATGAGGTTTCTCCATCTTGGCTGAACTAGACTGGAACTCCTGACCTCAGGTGATCTGCCTGCCTCGGCCTCCTAAAAGTGCTAGGATTACAGGTGTGAGCTGCCACGCCCAGCTCACTTCAGTTCTATCAGTGTCTGCTACATGTATTTTGATGCTTTGTTTGGTGCATGCACTTTTAGGAATACTATGTAGATTGACCTTTGTATGATTACATAATGTTCCTTTTTGTCTCTGGTAATTTTCTTTGCTCTGAAGTCTATTTTATCTGCTATTAATATAGTCTCTCCTTTTCTTTCACTGATGGTCTTATGGGATATGTTTTTCTATCCTTTAACTTTCAACCTGCTTGTGTCATTATGTTTGAAGTCAGTTTCTTGTAGACATTATGTAATCGGGGCATGCTTTTTACTCTGACAGTCTCTGTCTTGTAACTGGTGCATTTAAACTATTTACAGTTAGGACCAGGTGTGGTGGCTCATGCCTGTAATCCCAGCACTTTAGGAGGCCAAGGCGGGTGGATCACATGAGGTCAGGAGTTCAAGACCAGCCTGGCCAACATGAGAATACCCCAGCTCTACTAAAAATACAAAAATTAGCTTGGTGTGTTAGCAGGTGCCTGTAGTCCCAGCTTCTTGGGAGGCTGAGGCAGGAGAATCACTTGAACCTGGGAGGCAGAGGTTGCAGTGAGCTCAGATGGTATCACTGCACTCCAGCCTGGGTGACAGAGCAAGACTCTGCTCAAAAACAAACAAAATAAATACAATAAAATAAGAAATAAAAAATAAAAATAAATTATTTACATTTAAAGTAATTATTGACATGCTAAGGTGTAAGCATGCCATTTTATTCATTTTTGTGTGTGTTCCCTCTACTTCTCATTTCTCTGATACACTTTTCTTGACTTCCTTTGGTTTTCTTGAGTTTTTTTAAGAATCTATTTTGATTTATTAAGAGTGTTTTGGAATATGTCTTTTGATATTGTTTTCTTAGTGGTTGTTCTAGGTATTACAATATACACGTGTAACTTATCACTGCCTATTTATAATAAAGTTTTACTAATAGCACCTTGAGTGAAGTATGGAAATCATACTTTCATTTCCATACTTTACCCTCCTCCCTTTAAAAATATAGTTGCCTTGAGTATTTCCATAAGTATGTTGAGCACCACATTGGAAGGTATTATATTTTTCCCAACCATCAAAATAGCTTTAAAAACTCAAGAGGGGAAGGAGGACATGTTTTATTTATCCCCATTTTTACTCATTCCATTGATATCTTTTCCTTTTTTGAATTTTTCCAAGTCTCTTTCTGTTATCCTAAAATACTGTTTGGAGAATTTTCTTCAGCCCTTCTCTTAGGGTAGGTTTGCTGACTACAAATTTTCTTAGTTTTCTGTTGGGGTGATCAGACCCAACACCAGGTCGTGGGAGTGACAAAGTCCGGCAGTGTCAAAGGATTGAGAAAAGACAGCTTGAGAGAGAAAGGTGGGCACCAGGGGGCCATCGCAATTGTGGAGGCTGTGAAGACCCCAAGGTCTGGGAGCCCATGCTATTTATTGGTAATCCAACAGAGAAACAGGTGGTGAGAATGTGGAGGTCAAAAGGACGCGTTGCATTAAACACATGATTTACAGCTGTGATGGTTTAGCATTTGTTTTGCTACTTGAGATGAATGGAGAGCAGGTTCTTTTAACTCAAGATATATTCGATCCTGGGAGAGCAAGGAGCAAGGAGCCAGCAAGTCTAGACACATTCCAGAGCCACGAGCCCTGGATTCTATCCAAGCCACGAGGGGTTTTATGTCCTGGGCTTAGATTATGGTATGTGAGGGTAGCCTTCCACCCTTTAGTACAGAGCTTAGTGTTCCAGAGGCCACAAGGGGTTTTAGACCCTGGACCCCAGACATGTTCCAAGACTCTTTTACATTATGTCAGACGTGTAAGACCTGCCTCAGCTTCTGCCAACACTCAGCTTTTCCCCAACAGTTTTCTTTTATCTGAGAAGTGTTTATTTCTCCTTCATTGCTGAAGAATAATTTTATTGGATATAGAGCTCAAAGTTAGCCATTCTTTTGTATTAGCATTTGAAAAATGTGCCAATTCCTTTTGGCTTCATGGTTTCACCTTAAAAATCCACAGTAATTCACATCAGTGTTCTCCCTCATGTGTTGCTTCTTTCTAGCTACGTTCAAGATTTTTCTTTGTATTTATTTTTAGAAGTTTGATTGTGATATGTCTTGGTACGAATTTCTTTGAGCAAAAGTAGTTTGAGATTTTCTCAATTTCTTGAATTTGTAGGTTTAGGTATATCACAAATTTGGGAAATCTTCAGTCATTAGTTCTGTGAATATTTTTCAGCTCCACACTTTTTCCCCTGTTGTTCTGTGACTCTGATGACATAAGTGTTAATTTTTTTGTGACTGTCCAACAGGTCTCTGAAACTCTGTTTCATTACTTTCTATCAGTCTGTTTTCTGTTGTTCCAATTGGATATATTCTATTGATCTGTCCTCTAGTTCAGTGATGCTTTACCTTGCCAATGATGATAGTATTTATGACTGAGCCATCTGGTAAATTAAAAAATTCAGTTATTATATTTTTCAGGTCTGTATTTTCTATTTGGTTCCTTTTTTACTATAACATGTATTTCTTATTGTTGAAATTTTCTCTTTTTTGTTTCAAGATAATTTGTAATTGCTTATTAAAGTATTTTTACAATGGATACTTTAAAATCTTTGTTAGATAATTTCAGTATCTCAATGTTTCAGTATCTGTTAATTGTCTTTTCTCAGTCAAATTGTGATCTTCTTAGTTCTTTGTATTTTCTATCTGCTATTTTAGCCAAATGTTACTTTGTCTAGGTTTAGAACATGTGTTCTGTCCTGCTTTTGTGGAATGTAATACCAATAACATGTGTTCACAGCTCTCGCAGTCCAAATTGGTTCTACTTCATATTTGTGCTCCTTAGAGTTCATTCTTAAAATCTAAGTGGAATTCCATGCCATAGTTTGGTCCTCAAACCTTTTGGCGTGTTGATTCTGGAGAGTTTCATGTTTGACTTATTAGGCCTTCCTATACAGATTTAGGAATCCTTTCTCCAGCCATCTCTTCTCGAAGATCCTCACCCAGCCCTTTCGTTTGGAGGGTGATGGATGCTGCCTGCTACTCCTGGGCAGGATTGGGAGTCCACCCTTTCCTGCCTGTCTCCAGTAGTAAGTTAGAGAAAGCGGGGTGCTGCACTCGGTCTCCTGCTGTTCTTGGGGGTTGGGAAGTGGGATGTCAAATCCCCTGCCTGGTTTCCACTTGCACTACTAGTATGGGAGCAAGGGGCTTAGCCTGGCCTATCCACTATCGTGAAGTGGCAATCAGGAGATGAGGCTCCCGACTCAGTCTCTGTCAGTGCTGTAGCCATGGGCACAGGTGGTCATTCATGGTACTTGCCTAGCATAGGACTAGTTTTGTTAAAAAGACTTCTGCCTTGCTGAGTTGCCCCTTTTCCCATTCTTTGGGCTCTTCTTCTTCTGGTCTCTGACTGTTGGAGGTCTGGGAAGACCTCTCTAGCCCACAGTCTGGGATATAGGGCAGATAAAAAGAAAACCCTGGGATCTCACTCCCATATCATTCTTCAAGTCCTGAGGTCTCCAGTACATCTGTCTTCCTCCTTCTATCTTTCAGAGTCCTTTTGTCATTGTTTGATTATTTCCAGAATGTTTAGTTGTATTCAGAGGAGAGGAGCAGTGATAAGTGAGTCTATACCTATATTTTCCCCCAAACGTGTGAGCCTCACCAAAGCCTTTTAAAATTTAAACTTAGGATATAACTCTTGGCTTTTCTCTATTTTTGGCTCAGGTGGTTGGTTTTACAGTTCATTTAATGGCATAACCTGAGAAGATAATTTCCAATTTAATTCAACAAACAGTTATTATGTATCCATTGTGTTTGTGTCAGGCCCTTTTTCTTACAACAGACTATGTGCTGTATACATACGTCTAGTTTGTTTCTTTCAATGGTTTTGCATTGAGCTATACTTTGCAAGGTAGTGGGATTTCAACATTCGGAGAAAAACACAACCTCACTTTCTAGCCAGGGAGACAGACCTGGCAACAAATAACACCAGGTCATTGAGGCTTGGCTTTAGTTGAAGCTTGTTTAAAGTGTAACAGGGAAATAGATGTGGGAGCAGCAGGTCATAATGCCTGGTCAAGAAATCAGGGAACCAGAGAGAAATTCATGAAAGAGAAGATATGTTGTAGGCGTTGATGGGTATGTAGGAATTCATCTGACAGTAAAATCAGGGGATAGCATTCTGGGCAGAGAACAAGCCTGAGCAAAAACTTAGAATGTGATGGTACCTGGCAGTATAAAAACAGGTGGGTATCTGATTTTCCAAAAGTAAAGGGCTCATGGACTTAGATTGGCTGAAGTTTAGAAAGTTTTGAGCAGACTGCAAAGGACCTTTCATGCCATGCTAGGAGCTTAGATGTTGTTTTATGGGCAATGGGAGCCGCCAGAAGGTTTTTAAGTAGAAACTTAATAGGATCACATGCACATTTTAGAATGATTCCAATACCAGTGTGGAAATAAATGATTGAAGGTGAAACTGGAAGAGTAGAGAGCAGAAGTTAATTTAAAAGGCCAAACTAATATTTAAATAGATGTTACATAGACATAAGGTAAAAATTCTAACAATGCGAAAGTAACAAAAAGTTCCTCTTTCCCTCTCTGTTAATCTCCAATTCCTCTTTCCAAAAGTCACCAACATTTAGTTTGTTGTGTATATTCCTAGAAAAGTGTTCATGAATATTGTAGCTCATACACACACATGTATACACACAACCACATTCCCACCCACTCAACACACGTCTTTATTACTTTTCTTTTCCATTTTTGTTGAACTCGAGGTGCAGAGATTTGAATTTGTCATCCCCCTCAGTTCATGACATACCGTCATCATTACAGGTCTGTATAATGGAATTCTAAAAATTTGTCTCCCTTCACAATTAAATGCCTACTCCCATTTCCTCCCCATGGCCACATGCTCTAAAGTCTTTTATACATGACCTTGAATTTGTATGCGTCCTTGCAAAATATCAGTGCTGTTTTGCATGTGTCTTTCATTTACGTAAAGGATACCTGTCAGTTTCTTTTTCTTACAATAGGCTATGTGCTGTACATACATCTAGTTTGTTTCTTTCAATGGTTTTGCACTGAACTCTACAAAAGGCATCCACTACAACTTATTCAGTGATGGGCACTCAGCTTAACTTCAATTCCCTACTGTAATAAGCAACACTGCAATAATTCTTCTCATTTCAGTTTCTTTGCAGACTTGCATGAGAATTTCCCTGGGACATGTTAGCAGGGTTGGGATCTCAGGTTGTTCATAGCTATGCAAACTCAATTTCACAAAGATTGACAGGTTGATTTCCCAAATGGCTGCTCCAGTCTACTCTCTCCCAGGTAGCGTACAAGATTCCTGTCTAAATACTCCTTGCCAACATTTGGTATTTTATAATGGACCTAAAGGGTGGTTTTATTTTACATTTATCTGATTGCTAGAGAATTTGAACATTTCTTCCCATACTTATTTGCCAAAGCCCTACAAAAATGAAAGGAAAGCTAACTCATATTGAATCCCTTACGCATGTGTATTTTACATATTTAATGCCACCAATTTGTGCTGGAGGCATTGCTGCTATTCTCCTGTTTCAGATGAGAAAGCCAAAGCTTAGATGATTATGTGACTAATCTAACTTCACACAGAGCCCCCTTTGTAATCTGATCTGTCTGCCCACAAAGGTCATGGTTAATACACTGCACTACATTGGGTGCTAGAATGTTTAATGAAGAGGTTAAACTGGATTTCTTCCTCTTAGCAGAAGTAAGGTAATGGAGGTAATGGATTTTTTTTTTTTTTTTGGCTTTTGCTCATAGCAGAAGTAAGGAAATTAAGTGGGGGAAACAGGTGCAGTCTCATAGCTCCTTAATTTTTTTGTAAGTAAAGCACAGATTGCCAACACGGTTATAAGGGTATGTAAATTTGGTCAGGCTGACATCTCACTTCCATGTTCTGAGTAATTAAAATTCATTTGCAAGCATTCATGGTACTTTGCATGGTACTGTAAAGAGACTGAAAGCTGGTCAAGTAAATTAGAAATAAGCCCTGCTTTCAAGATACATTTCATCTGTCATTTGATTAAGGTACACATAACCACAATTATAAGCAGAGTGCAATAAGGAGGAGGCACTGACTTCATCTTCTTAGAGGAATTCAGTGTCAGATGCATGACACGCTATGGCCTATGAGTGTAAAACCAGGTGGGAATGAACTTCAACTATCTTTGTTGTTTTTAGTATATTCTAAATTAAATTGTCTGATGTTTAAGAAATATACGCAACAGATATTGGAGAGGCTGAAACTTTGATGACTTTTTAAATGAAAATTCTAGAGCCCCAAATATGGTGAAAATGAATTTAGAAAACTAAGATTAGTTTCATACTAAGGTAAAAAATAAACATATTTAAAAAAAAGTCTTTGGAGACCCACATACTGCTCTAACCCAGCTTAGAGAAGTGTTCTATAACTACCCGAAAGAGAAGCCTCATTGAAAAAGCCTAACTTGTTCCTCAATTCACCAGCTTTTCTCCCCTCTCCCCCTATCTGCCTTGCCAAGGCTCCCCTAGTGCAGTCCAGTTGACCTGCTGCTGGAGTGACCACCTGGACAGTCCAGAAGGGATAAATTATTGCAGACTGGGTAACTATCACATTACTAAACTGCTGTGATGTTTGGTGCCCTGCGTCCTTTCTCCTCCCCTCCCTAATGACTCTCTGAGATGTTAAAGCAGTAATCAGAGAGAAGAGAGTTGCAAAAATTATCTGAGACCTATGTGTTCTTCAGTATCAGCTTTCATTGACACAGAATAGCGTATATGCCTGACACCAGAGACTTTGTACATATTCATTATTGAATTTAATTCTCGCATAGCCTGGAAAAGTAGGTATTATCATTTTCATTTTACAGATGAAAAAACTAAGGCTTATCAAGGTTAAGTAACTTCATCTAAGAAGAAGGTTGCTGAATTCTAAAACCCATGTTTTTTTATCCCATCATTCTAACATGAAGTATGGTAAAGAGGGAAACGTTGGGCTTTCTTTTTTTCAATTCTTAGAGCTCAGTTTCATGGACTTTATTTTAAAGTCGTGTTCATGAGGCAATTAAACCAGAAAAATAAAATCATACATAGAAAAATATGGTGAAAATGGATCTGAAAAAAATAAAACCAAGTGAAATAATAAAGGAGAGAAAATACACCTCTGTTTTTTCATAAGTCTTTAATAAATTATTCTGGGTTGGTGCAGATGGCTTTTCTATTCCAGGGAGACAAGAGTAGGGAACTGGCTTTAAAAATGCTATTAGATTAATGCATGAAATATACTGCAGTACTAAATAGCTTTCATCATTTCATTATGTAAAATCCATAGAGGCTGTGTATTGCCAGCTCCAAGACATGGGCTCTGTTGCTAGAATGTTGGGTCTCTTGGGTCAGCCTGGTAATGGCTCTGGGTTCCTCCAAACCAATCCATCTCAGCCACTGGAATGACATTTATAGGAAAGTTAAACAAACCTTTGGCCCAGCTGAAAAAACTCTCAAAGTAGAAAATATTGCTTAGATATACAGCTAGAAGAGAATTTGGCAGCACATTAAGCAGATGCACAAGTAGTATCGTGGGTGAGGCAGCTGCACGTTGGTGAAGCTGACTATGTTTTAGATGAAGGAGAAATACAATACAGTAATTTCTTGGCACCATTGGGTAAGATGTTTAGAAGTAGAGATTGCCAGAATTTTTGTTTGGAGAAGAGATGATGCTTGTGAGTATAGAGAAAATGGAAATTTAAGGCTATATTGCATGGTTTTGTTGATTAGGTCAGTGAAATTTGCAAATGGAAAGAAAAGAGCAAGACAGGTGAAGGGCAGAGGGATCATAGCTGTAGTCAGCGAAAGGGTGGAATTAATTGCAATTGATGTCTGTCTCTAGGACATGAGATATTTGAACAAGTGAAATGTTTGCATACCTCAATCTGTAGCTAGGGTAAAAGTTAATAAATAGAGAGTGATGCAGTCTCTCGGAAGTGAACCAGCTCCTGTTTTAATCAGCTAAGTATCTCCTTTGGACAAAAGTGGAGAAAAGGAGCCATCTTTCCTTTCTTTGTCTAGGCAGTTTCAAAGTATCCTCAAAACTCCTTTGGCTGTTCCCTTATTTTATTCTCTTCTTCCTCTTCCTTCCAGGTCGGTGTCTGTCTGTCCCTGTCTGTTTGTCTGTCTGTCTCTCTCTCTCTCTCTCTCTCTCTCTGTCTCTCTCACTTTTACTTTAACAAATGTTTTCATGCATTGGTTCTAAATTTACAGCACTGAATTAACCTCTTCACATATAAATCATCTAAATGGAGAAATGGCAAGAACTCCTGAATACTATGTATATTTAAGAACAGTGTGTAATATGGGGAAAAGAAGAATCAAATCCATCGTCTCTTCCACCTTTTCTTCCCTCATTCCTTTCTCCTCTTTCCCTCCCTCCCTCCCTCCCTCCTTACTCTGTTCCTCCATGCTAGGTACTAGGAGCATGAACTCACAGTTTCTACAATAAAAAAAAAGCTTATGCTCAGTAGGGAAAGAAAGAGACAAACCAAAATTATGAACAGTTGTGGAAAGTGCTATGATTAGAAGAATGTACAAGTTTCATGGGAACACAAAGGAGGGAAAGATTATTTCTCTCTGAGGGTAAAGCAGCATTTACGTTAGATGAGCTTGAAAACATGAGTTAATCATACAGATAAACAAAGAGAAAAAGACATATCAGTCAGTTACTTTGAAGTTCAATTTTTGTATTTGTTTCTGTTTTCATTTTGCATCTCAAACACTAACACACATAAGCCAGTAGAGAGTAGTGGTTGACGGTGTGGGCTTTGGACCTAGTTTTCCTGGCTTCAAATCCTAGCCCTACTCCTTACAGGAGAGTGATTTGGAAATGTTGTTTAACCTCTCTGTGCCTTGGTTTCCTGATTCATAAAATGAAAGATAATAATGGTCATGCTTTATAGGCTTATGATTGTCAAAGTTAATAATATATATGAAGCACTTAAAAGTGGTGCCTGGTACATAGTGAGCTGTTATTATTATAAGAGTTTAGTAAATAAAATAATGAGTATGATATATGGACATGCAATGCAATTTGAATAAATTTGATTATTATTTTCACTATGCCTGACCACCTTGCTGAAATGAGATTTTTAGGCATTGCCATTAACTGGTGTCTAATGGATCTGCCAAAGCCATCAAGCTGTTGAAATTAAGAAAGGGTGGAATGCTAAAGAGTTTGGATTGTCTTCTGAAAAATAATGAACATGAATTCCATGGGGTTATACTTGTTACAGAAACGATTAGGCCTTAAGGTGTTATGTTTATGGACCCTGACATACATGACCAACAGCAAGGAAATACATACTCTCACCAAACATAGGATTCCTGATCAGTCAACATTGATGCCTTGGCCTCAAGTTCATAGAAATAAAAAATGATTCTCCCACAATCATGTTTTTAAGTGTTGGTGCTCTTCCCAGAAATTGGGGAGAATGTGCTTTCCTCACCTTTTCTCTTCCTTTTTGGATAAGCTCATCCAGTTCCTTACAACTTTATTTTTCCTGTTTTGTTGAGTTAGGATTGTTTTCGCTTATATAGAATGACTATTTCTGCACTCGTATTTTATAGTATTTTCATCCATATTAAACCAGAGAAGAATAATATTCCTGACACTCTTTACCATGTATGTATGATGTCTTTTGTTTTTTCCCACAAATTTATGTGATAGCAAATTTTATGATTTCCACCCATCAGATGGTGGGAATTACATGGTTTATAGGATTTCACTTTTTGGGTCTTTTTTCTTGCACGGAATTTTTTGCTGCAAACCTAACAGCTAATACAGTTATTTCTCATGACTAATTAACTTACCATTAGTAGAGATTCAGTGTAGAGCAGTGAACACACACTGTAACCCTAGCTGGTGGTTAGTGTCCATACAGTAAATGTTAGCAGTTAAAATGCAGCATTTAAATAAATTAGAAGTAGCTTATAATAACGGACAAATATGAAATGAGAAAAAAATACTGAGTACAATGTGCCAAGTGTTGAGAATAAGTGTTTTATGTGGTTTTGCTTATTTAATCTTCACAAAATCCCATAAGGTAGGTGTTACTGTTATCTCAATTTTACAGATAAAGAAACTCAGGGTTAGAGCAGCTATATAAATTGTCAAAGGTCATATAGCTGCTAAGTGGCTGAGCTCCAATTTGAGTGCATGCACTGTGATTCCATAGAGCTCATTCTTAGCCACTACATTATACTCATTCTCCAACAAAAATAGATAAATAGGCCAGAGTATTAACCACATCATTGGACACTGAATTTGACTTAAAAGGCCCTGGCTAACACAACTAAAATGGGAAATAACCTGTTTTACATAATACTTAATATCTAATGGAAAGATATACAAGTCAAATATCCATACCTCAAAGAAGACAAAGTTTTGCTAAGTTTCAAAAGGAATTTGTCATGTGGGACTTCATGCAGGAGGTATTGAATAGTGATACAGTTTGGCTCTGTGTCCCCACCCAAATCTCATC